>NC_000005.10:170306778-170609808 GCF_000001405.40 Homo sapiens | reverse complement strand
TATAGCTCACTGCAACCTCGAATTTCTGGGCTTAAGACATCTTCCTGCCTCAGTCTCCCAAGTAGTTGGGACTACAGGAGTGTGCCACCATGCTTGGCTAATTTTTTGTATTATTTTTATTTTTTGTTTTATTTTTAGTGAGGTCTCGCTATGTTGCCCAGGCTGGTCTTGAACTCCTGGCCTCAAGTGATTCTGCTGCTTTAGCCTCCCAAAGTGCTGAGATTACAGGAGTGAGCTGCCATGCCAGGCCCAAACTAGTACTCTAAAAAAATTTTATGCATCACCAAAAGTCTGTGAAATTGCACAAAAAATAATCAAAAAGTCTGAGTAAATGGATAAGCTCTTGGATCCTCATGTTAGGCTAACATGAGCGTCACACTCAACCTCTCTATGCATGAGTTTCCTCATCTGTAAAATAACTCCTGCTTCCTAATCCCTTTGGAAAGATTGCTTGCGATAACTCATGCAGTGAAGTGCCTAGCCCGGTGCCTGACACAGACAACTCAATAAATGCAAGTGATTATTATAATTATTATCAGGCAAAAAATAAATAAATAGCCTCAGGACAGTCATTGCTCTCTGTTGACCTCCCCATGTGACTGAAAGGAAGAGAGGAAGCGCCTTCTCATTATATTTGTTAGGAAGCCACCCTGGGGAAGACAGTTTTCTCGTTTCCAGTCTTTGCTGTGTACATTCTGCAGGAGAATTGCACCTTTTTCCTGCCCAGAGCACGTGATTCTGAGGAGCACCAGGAGGCCCCATTATATTACTATCACACTGAGGGGAGACAGACATCTCCCTGTTGGAGAGTGATGAAAGGGAACGTGGAGGCACAAAATCCAGGTAGACAGAGCCCGACTCAGAGCCAGGATAGCCTTCCCTGCCTCCGCCCGGGACTGTGCTTCCCACTTGGACTTTTAACTCTTCCTCTAGCAAAGGAGATTTTACAGAGTAAGGGGGGAGTAATATGACTTTGTGGCCATCATTTCTCTGAGCAAAGGGTTTTCCCACACTAATTTTGTCTTTGCATTAATTTTTTTTTTTTTTTGAGACAGTTTCACCCTGTCGCCCAGGCTGGAGTGCATCTCAGCTCACTGCAACCTCTGCCTCCCGGGTTCAAGCGATTCTCCTACCTCAGCCTCCCGAGTCGCTGGGATTACTGGTGCCCATCACCACACCTGGCCAATTTTTGTATTTTTAGTAGAGACGGGGTTTTACCATGTTGGCCAGGCTGGTCTCAAACTCCTGACCTCAGATGATCCACATGCCTCGGCCTCCCAAAGTGCTGGGATTACTGGCGTGAGCCACTGCGCCCAGCCTTGTCTTTGTGTTAATTTCATCTTCATCACGAGTCAGTCAGGTAGACGTGGTTCTCCCCATTTTATGGGTGAGTAAACTGAGGCTCAGAGAAACAAAGTGAATTGCCAAGATCACACAACTGATCTTGTCTGACTTTGGCAATTGTCTTTACAATACTATGACATGAAGCCCAAAAGATCTGCTGCCCCAGAGTTGGGAGCCTGTTCCCCTTTAACTGTGCTTCCTGCTCTTCTATCAGCAGCTCTCAGCAGCAAAGGTTTGCTTTTCGGCTCTGAGGATGGCTGGCAGACAAAAGGGGTCTTTTCTGGAATGAATGTAGTGGTGTCCTTGTTCCTAGGAGACAGATAATGGGGGGCTGGAGAAGGATGTGGGGTGTGTGTGTGTCACAGGCTTCTGGGTCAAGTTCTAGTGCCTACCTTCTTCTGTCCTCACTCCTTGATCTGGACCTTCTAGCCTTCAGGGCAGTGAGAGAATAAATGTCTATTGTTTTAAACCCACTCAGTTTGTGGTAATTTGTTGTAGCAGTCATGGGAAACAAATACAGCCCCCCAAATTCATTCTCCAAGAATATTGGCAAGCCATGTAGATTTTGTTGCGGGCTGTGAGGGGAGAAGAGGGAAAACTTTCTCGTCACACATCCTGTGGCTGGAAGGCTCCACCTTAGGGATCGCTGCCCTCCGGAATCCCTCCCCGCCGGCTGAGACCCTCATCTCACCTCCACAAACCTCTCTGTGACCTTGGAGTGTCCTGGCCAGTTTCTCCATTGTCACTTTCAGTGTGAATAGTCTATCTGGGCAAACCAAAGGGCCCTCCTTGAAACAGCCACTGAGGAGGCAGGGATGAACCCTTCGTGAGAAGACACTGCATTTTCTTTGCCATGATTGGAATGAGCATGAACTTTAGAGTCAGACAGATTTGGGGTTCACCTCAGGCTCTGTCACTCACTGCTGGGAGATCATGACCTCTCAGCACCTCGTCACATTATCCCTAAAGTGGGGGCTAGACTGCTCACCTCTAAGGGTCACTGTAGAAGTAGGAAAGGCCCCCAGCCCTGGGTTTGGAGCATACGGTGGTCATCACTCTGTAAATGATTGTTTATGTTTGATAATGATGCTTAGATAAACTGAGCACTTACTGTGGCTCAGGAGTTAAAGCTTTTTACTGGGATTAGCTCATTTACTCTTCATCACTACTCTACGAAACGGGAATTGTTTTCATCATCCCACTACACCCCTGAGAAAATGGAAGCACTGGAGGCTAAATAACGAGCTGAAAGTGACAGTGACAATTAAGTAGATCCGAACCAGGGCAGGCTGATCCCAGAGCCACACCCTTGGGCATGAGAGACCAACAGAAGCGCGACAGACGGAGCCGTCCTGTCTAGTCTGTGCATGCTGGTGAACAGGAGGTGGTCCTTCCTCTAGCCTCAACAGGAGGCTTGAGGCATTGCCCGCTTGAGAACACATCCTGGGGAAAGGAACTCTCAGGGGCAGCTGTGCAGCTAAGAATCTGATCTCAGGCCAGGGGACAGAAGCCTGTGGTTGATACTGGCTAGTTTGGCCCCAGCCTAGGGCGCTGCCTGGTGGGAAGGAGCAGTTTCTTGGACAAAGTAGTGCTTCGGTGGAGGGGAACCAGAGCAGCAGAAGAAGGAAACAGTGGATGCTGCATTCATCATGAGGTTCTGCAAAGAACAAGTGAGAGTGGGCCTGGGACACTGCAGGGACGGCTGTGAGCGTGGCCGTGTGGACATAGACTGGTGGGGTAATGGTTAAGAATTTTAGTAAGTGTTACTATGAGGATCGGATGAGGTCGCACATGTGCACTAGACAGGTCTCACGGCCTGCCCCTCCCGGGTCCCAAACTGCCCAGTCCACAGCCCTGGAAGATGGAAAAAACATTTGAGATGGCCACCTTCTGGGTCAGGGACTCCAGGCTCCTCTCATCTTCCTGTTCTCCAGCCAGTCTGATTGATCACAAAGGCTATCAGTCATTTAATCATTTTATAGTTGGTTGAGAGATCTCTGCCTGGTGATTAAAAAGTAAAAAGAGCCTCACACCCACTGGAAGGACCATAAAAACAAGAACATTGATGAGGATGTGGGGAAACTGATACCCTTGCACCTTGCTTGAGGGATCGTACAATGGTGCAGCTGTTATGGAAAACTGTTGGGCAGTTTCTCAATAAGTTAAACACAGAGTTACCATATGAGCCAACGATTCCACTCCTGGGTATATACCCCAAAGAATTAGAGACAAGTGTTCAAATAAAAACTTGTACATGAATATTTATAGCAGCATGATTCACAATGGTCAAAATGTGAGACAATCCAAAGGTTCATCAACTGATGAATAAACAAAACCGTGTGGTATATCCACACAATGGAATGTTACTCAGCCATAAAAAGGGATGAAGTGGCCAGGCGTGGTGGCTCACGCCTGTAATCCCACCACTTTGAGAGGCCGAGGTGGGCAGATCACCTGAGGTCAGGAGTTCAAAACCAGCCTGGCCAACATGGCAAAACCCCGTCGCTACTAAAAATACAAAACTTAGCCAGGTGTGGTGGTACGTGCCTGTAATCCCAGCTACATGGGAGGCTGAGGCAGGAGAATGACTTGAACCCAGGGGGCAGAGGTTACAGGGAGCTGAGGTCGTGCCACTGCACTTCAGCCTGAGCAACAGAGGGATACTCCATCTCAAAAAAAAAAAAAAAAAAAAAAGAACAGGGTTGAAGTACTGACCCATGCTACAACGTAGATAGACCCTAAAACATGGTGCTGAGAGAAAGAAGCCAGGCACAAAAGGCCACATATTGCACGATGCCTTTAAATGAAATATCCAGAATAGGCAAATCCACAGAAACAGAAAGCAGATTGGTGGTTGCCAGGAGTTGGGGGAGGTGGGAATGGGGAGTGGCTTCTTAGTGAATACGGGGCTTCCATCTGAGGTGATGAGAAAGTTCTGGAACCAGATAGTGGTGATGGCTGCATGCCGTTGTGAATGTAATTAATGCCACTGAATTGCATCCTTTAAAATGGTTAAAATAGTACATTTTATGTTATGTGTATTTTCCCACAGTAAAAAAATTAAGATGGGCTGAGTATATCCAATCCTTTCCCTGTCTTGCAAAGAAATTGCAGCTGGGAAATAGCAAGAAAATAAGGAAGCAGGAGCAGAGGCTAAATGGTCTTGAAGCAGAGTAGGGCCAGAGGGGTTCCCAGACCAGCCGTCATAGTGAGGACAGAGGGACTCAGATGAGCAGCACCCATGGGAGGTCGGGGCACATGATAAGGGAGGGTGGGCAGGTGGCTGGTGGGCAGGGGCATGGCAGATTCTCATCCCCATTCTGAAATGAGGGAGCTAAGAGGTGAGCACATCTCATGAGGCCTGTGACACAGAGCCAAAAATCAAACCCAAGTTGGCCTGCGAAGCCCAGGCCTTTCACTGCTGTGCCACACTCTCCTGCAGGTTGGGTGGACATGTGCCTGAGTCCTTTCCTGAGCTGGAGGAGGGAAAGAGGGAGACCCCCTGGCTCAGAACCAAGTCTGCTCAGGAAAGAAGCAGCACAGGTGGCCAGTGCAAATGGCCTCTTTTTTGTTGAAGGTTGTTTGCCAGATCTTCCTTGCTTCTGTGCTGTGTGTGGACACGCACACCAGCAGGTCCTCTCCTGGGGGGGCTGAACCTGTCTTGGGTGCAGTTCCCAGTCTTCTGGTGGGGCAAGGCCACTGAGCCAGTTCCCAGGGGTGGGACAGATCTGGGAAATGCCCTGAGCAGCTCTGCATGAAACCTCCTGCTGTCAGTGCCTGGACAAAGGCTCTCCAGCTTCCACTACATACCAGGAGTGAGCAGGGAATAGGACCTCAATTTTCTGTGGCTTCCTCACCCCCAGGGATTCTTGGGGACAAAATGGCCCACATTTATGCATACAAAGCCTCGCCATTCACAGAGATCCATTGGCTTCTCCCTGCAAGTGTGAGATGAGCCACAGCAAAGGGCACAATGAGATGGGGCCAAGGATCCTAAATGTTCTGCTCAGCCTCAGTGGGGCATCTGCTGTTCCTTTCTTCTGTTCCTCCGATCCCCGCCCTTGAAGGACTACTGTGTCCAACATACACCGCTGTCCCCATGGGCTCTGGCATCAGAGTGGGCTGCCAGGGCTCCAGTGCACCCTGACCTCACCTCCACCAGATGTCATGAACCAGTATGTTCCCAAGTCCATTTCAGCTGGGTTTCAGTCACTGGCAACCGAAAGAATCCTAATAGCGAGGACCTGAGATTTCCCTAGAATGGAACCCTCCCTTCTCCCCGGCCCTTCCCATCTTGGTAAATGGCGCCACCTGTTGGGCAAGTCAGACACCTGCAAAGCCCCTCCTCTTCCCTGGTTCCCACCACCGGGCCGTCACCATGCCAGGGGAACTTGTCCCTTCCTCTCCATCCTACTTCAAGTTTTGTCAACTCTTGCCTCAACAGTTTTCTTCTCCAGTTTCACAGAAACTTCACCTGTACCCCAGAGACTCCTTTACTCACAGTTTCTTCCCCTCCACCTCCTGTTTCTCCCTGAATCTACCCCCTAACAGTGAAGACAGTGGTTTTCCTGAAACACAAATGTCATTCCCTGTCCTGGCTGTCAATAACCCACATCATCTGTAGACTAAATTTCAGATGCTTTCTGACTTGGCATTCAAGGCCCTGCCGGATCTGGGCTCCATGTGTCCTCAGCCTCAGCTGGGGCCCTGGCCCAACCACATGGTGATCTGAGAGTGTGGCAGGCTCTTCTCTCCCCACCTCTGCCTTTGCTTGTGTGGCCCTGTGCTGGGACACCCTCTGTTCTCTATCTGGCTAGCTGGTCACCACTGCGTCCCTACCCTCCCATCCCTCCACTGCCTCCTCCTGCCCCAAGGGTCCTGCTCAGACCCCTGTGCACAGCCTATCTTGTCACATGTGTAGCCCTGTTTACTCCTCTGTCTCTTTGAGCTCTGTGCATCCGGGGTTGGCATCTGTCTCGTTTGTCACTGTGTCCCTGGCTCCCAGCACAGGGCCTGCCACACAGCAGGAGCTCAACATGGAACCAGTAAATCCGTTAATGGAAAACGATCGCTGAGTCTGAGCTCAGGGCTCTGTACTCTCAAGTGACGGAAGTGGAAGCTTTTCCTTCAGCCCCTCCTCCCCGCCAGAGGTGTGATTTGGACCATTGAGGTTCCTCTTTGCAGCAATTCAGCTCAGCAGAACCTCCAGCGACACTTTGAATTCCTGTAAATTACTTCCCTGCTATGACTTGTGAGCCAGGTTGCCAAGCAACGGAAAGGGATTTGGTCCTTATCAAAGGGCCTCATCTGCACATTATGCATTGGAAAGATGTCCGAAAGCAGGTTTGGGGTGGGTGGGATCCCTGGGTGGGATCCCACTCCTTCGCCCCCTGCCCTGCTGTGTGCACCAGCCTTAGCTGGGGCCTAGCCCCTGGTCCTGGAAGGAGCTAGCCATGTTGGGGGCACCCGGGACTTCTCTTTCTGATCTGCCATCCAGCTGGCTCACTCGGGGCCAGGGGAGGAGAGTGTGCTCACTAACTGTGTGATGCGGCGCCGAACCTTGGGACCACATGCAGTGGAATCAGAAAGCTCAGGGCTTGCATCTCATGACTGGCACCTCACCTTGCGCCCTTGGGAAGGGGAAGCTCCTTTTCCTGGCTCCTCTGGTTTTTTCATCTGGCCCCTGTAAATATGGAGACCCATCCGCCAGGGCCAGGAGGGTGAGATGAGGTGACTGGCAAGGAGCCTGTGGTGATGCTTCTTCCTGGTTTGTTCTTAGTCCTTGAGTCTATCCCTGTCCTAGGTTCATGGAAGCCACAGCACTGTCTTGTCAGGACCACTGTGTCCAGCACTGAGTGAGTGAGCCACCAAAGGGAAACGAGAACAGTGGTCACCGCTGTGGTCCTTTGGGAATGTTCTGTCAACCATCTTAAAAGTCACAAACTGCACGGCAGGCAGGTAGATGCTCACTTCCAAATTTCCTTCCAACACTGAGGATTTTTCCAACTGCTGTAACTGGGCACCTGCCCCAGACCAGCAGCCAAGCCAGGCATCCCGTCCTCTTCCTCCTGAGGGCTCCAGGGATCAGCTGTTCCTGTCTCCACTGGCATTGAGGCCCAGCGGTGGGATTTGATTCCAGGTCTGCTTGGTCTGAAAGTCCCTTGCGGCTAAGATGCAGAGGAGGGAAGTGGTGAGTGGGAAGGGCAGTGTGAGGCAAGGTGGGAGGACCAGATCAGTGCCACGGCCCAGGACCCCATTTATAAGTATGTGTTGACTGACTTACTGTCCCCAAAGCAAAGGATGGCCATGCACTATACAGGAGCTGGTCTTACACTTTCACAGTTCCACAAGAGAAAGTTATCACAGAAAGGTTGGCATGTGCTGTGGGGTGATGGCCACTGGGATTCTAGGGTCTCTGAATCACACACAGAGGCAGCCTCCTGCCTCACCCCAGAGGGCAGAGAGCCTGGGGCGGTGTCATTTGACCCAGACTCAGCCCAGTCCTCCGGCACCATCTCGGTTTCTGGCAGCATCTGTCCCCTGCTGCCTGCTCCATTCCCCATTGCCAGGGCCAAGGCCCAGGTAAGACTCCAGACAGGTCCTGCCTCTTCAAAGGCCCCTGCTCGACGTCCGCAGGCAGCAGCCACCGCCAGTCCCTTACCATGCTCGATGCCTCCGTTACAGTGCAAAGCACACATTCCAACCAGCCTCTCCCTGCCGGCCTGTGGGCTTCCTGAGCACAGGAATGGGATCTGGCCCTTCTGTGGCCCAGAGCAGGTGTTTAGTATAATTGTTGAAGGGCGAAATGAGTGCAATCTTTTTTCTGCTTCCTTCACTGCTGAATTATTTATTGTCTCTGCTCCTACCTGCCCTCAAATTTCATTCAATTTCCTTCTTCCGTCTCGCATGGCTTTTTAATACAACATGTGTCCTATTGGGATTAAAAACTAAGAGAAGCCCTGAACAGATAAACTGCCTCATTCTAAGACAGAGCCCTGGAGCTGGAGCCCTGGGTTTTCGGGACAAAGCAGAAGCCAGGCTGAAGTTTCCCGGGACGTTCTAGTCCAGCTCCCGGATGATGTTCCAGCTTCTGCCTCCTTCTCCTGTGATGTCTCTGGGGATAGCTGGCAGCTGACTGTGGTTCCGATCCATTGCTCCCATAATTACTTCCAAATGTCATTTTCTTGAAGCCATATTCTCCTCTACACCGCTGTGACTCCCAGCCGTCCCCGGCATGTGTCCCATTAGCTCCAAACCAGGAGCTGGTGTATTTAAAAGGCACTGCAGCCCAGTCTACAGCCTTAGCGCGCAAACTGCAACAACGCTGCTCTGTACACAGAGGGAAGCGACGCAGGTGTTGTGTTTGTAATCTTTAGAATCTTTGCCATTTTAAAAATATGAAGCCCATTTTATAGAGGAGGAATTAAACTCAGAGAGGCTAAGTGACTTGTTCAAGGTCACACAGCTGGTAAGTGGGAGAGCTGGAATTTGATATGAAGTCTGTCTAGGTAGAGCCCGATTCTGAAGTGCAGTGTTGCCAAACATTCATTGGCCATCTGCTTGCTGCATTCCAGACCCTGCACTAATCAATTTATATGTGCGATCTCATTACACCTCACAGCGACCGTGGAGTGTGAGGAGCAGCGGGCTAGCTTGCCCAGGGTCGCACAGCTAACACATGGCTGAGTGGAGATCTGAATCCAGGCCCTTTTGGATGCAGAGCTTAAGCTCTAACCATTTGCTGTCCTGCCCCTGCAAATAGTACCTGCCTACTGAATGCAGGGACCAAGCTAGGCCCTTAGGAGACAGCCATGAATGACATGCTCCAGGGAGAAGATGACAAGGCAGTCATCAGTTTCAATGTAATGTGAGAAGTGTGGTGTGAGGGTCTGTCCAGGGTGGGTGAGGTAGAGAGGAGGTAGGCGTGGGCACACAGAGGATGGGGTGCTACCTGGTGCTACCAGGTGCTACGTGGCCTGATGGGGTTGGGGGCACCAAAAAAGGCTCCCAAGAGTAGGAGAACATTAAGCTGGATCTTAAAGGACAAGCTGGTTTTGGGTGAGAAAAAAACAAAAAAGGAAGAGAATTCCAGGCACAGGGAACAGCTGTGCTAAAGCCTGGACGCTAAATACAGCATGATGTGTTCAGAGAAATGCTGGTCATTCCGTGTGGCATTGGCCAAAAACTCCAGGTGGTGAGAAACTTAAGGTGAGGCTGGAGCCAAGGCAGGGCAGGGCTGGTCGACTTAAGTACGGGATTAAGAACAGTAGCGTAAGGACCAGTTACCTGAGTTCAGGTCCCAGCTCTACTACTAACTAGCTGTGTGGCCCTGAGCAAGTTAATTGACCTTTCTGGGCTTCAGTTTCTTCATCTGAAGGGGTGACCCTGAGAGAACCTACACCACAGGGTTGTCTTTATATGGCTTGAATGAGCTGGTGCCTGTAACAATGCCTGGCACATCATGTGCTCTCAATAAATGTCATCTTAGGATTGATGAGGACCTTGGGCACCAAGCTAAGAAGCTCCACTTTTCTCCTAAACAGAATAGGCAGTGGAAAGGGAGTGAATCACTTTAAAAGGACGGAAGTGCTGTGTAGAATATATTTTCTTTCAATAAGTGCTTGTTTGACTAAGTCCTCTTTTGTCCTCACTGAAATACCTCCCATAAGTCAACGCTGGAGGAAGGGGGAAGAGGAGAGGATATGCAGGTGAAACTCATCTGCTTGGCTTCCAGGTTGTCTGGTTTCTTCCTCTTCTGCCAGTGTTCTGACTTCTCGCTCTTCCCCACCCCTAGGTCCATTGCACGGGAACTTCTCGCTCTTCCCCACCCCTAGGTCCATCACACTCCCGTGCTCATTCCACAGTCCTGAGCATCATGGAATCTCGGGGTGGGAGGGCACCTCTGAGCTCCACTTGTCTACTTCCTTCTCCTCCACCAGAAAGGCTCTACTTGATTGTCTCCAATGATGGGAGACTCATTCCTTGATACACAGGGTATGTAAGTCTGAAGGGTTGAGTAAGACTAGTTGCCCTGATCTCATTTGAGATGTGGGAAAACTAAATCAGATGCCATCATGACATTGCACGCGATTCCTCGGGGAGTGAGGAGTCTTCTTACCTGTGTCTGGATGAGAGGCCCCAGACCAAAAAGGGATGCACGGTGTGCTGCGGTGACAACTTTTCCCTCCATTGTAATCATAATAGCTAGCACTTATTGAGCGCTACTGTATGCCTAGTAGTTTGTTTTAGCTCATGTTAATTGCTGATTCCATCGTCACCTGTGATTAATGGCAAATTTTCAGAGAAGAAATGTGGTAGAGGAAGGAGGAGTGAGTCAGTTCTATCTGGTGCTCCTTCCAGTCTCTGCCTCTGGTTAAGACACCAGCAGCCCTCAACCCCACGGCAGCCTGTGGGTCTGCACAGGATATTGAGATCTGCAAACTGCCTTACTTATGGGCCGGGGCCTCAGTCTTTGGCTCTCTGCCCTCTCTTCCTCTTCTGCCTCCCCTCCCACCCCACCAAACACACACACACACACACACACACACACACACACACACGCGCACACACACACAGCGGGGCTATGGGAACGAGCACATCAGATGGCCTCAGGGCCTGTTTGCATTCAGTATCCTGCTTCAGCTTTGGCATCTATGATGACAGGAAGCTCCTGCCCCTACATGGCCTCTGCTGACTTCTGTCCACTGGTCCCTTGCAGAGCAGGGGAAATCCCTGTTCTCGAGAGGGCCCTTCTGAAGTGAGAAGATAACTTGTTGACACCTCCCAGGCCTCCCCTCTCTGTGTGAGTTTAAGCTCTCCTCTGCAACCAGCTCCTCTGTGTCTTTGGATAAAAGTTTCCTGAGCCTCTCTAGGACTCGAGTCCACCCATGTCCTGGTTCTTTGCTTTTTCCACTTGCTTTTTTCTGGGGGTTTGCTTCTATACTCACAGGGTAGGTACCTTGTCCGGGGCACACAGAGAATGGGTTGGCCAGAAAATGGTAGTTAAAGAATTTGAACCCAGGCTATCCAACTCCAGGGACCACAGCCAGGTGTCCAGCTCAAGGTGGGCATTCACCAAACATGGACTCAGATGACCCTTTTCAGTGCCTTCTCTCTGACCTGCCACCTCCTTTCCTGGTTCCTGCTGGTCTGGACTCCCACTGGTGATCTATCAGAGAGGGAGGGCTGGCAATTCCTGCCTCCTCCCAGCTTCCCTTGGCTGCCAGAGAAGCAGGTGGCTTCCCCTCATCTCCCATTCAAAGGGTGTCGAGCTGGTGGAAGGCAGATGAATGAGCTCCTCAGCCAGGGAAGATTCTGTTGCTAAAATACACGGTCTGATTAGGAGTGATTGAAGGGCTAGAGACAGCGACTGCAGTTGGCTGTGATTTGTTCCGATCTGAAGTAGTTCTAAACAAGTCACCGGGAGGCAGGAGTGGGGGCCACAGAGTTCAGTAGCACAGGGCTTGGCAGGGATACATTTCCTGTGGATGCTGGGGCCCTTTCCAGCAATTCCGGACAGAGTTTTCAAACAGCTTTTGAAATCGGATTCGGTGCATTTATTTTGTCTTGTTTCCACTTGGCATGAAAGCTTCCCCTTTGTGTCTTTCTCTCTCTCTCTTTTCTTTCTTTCTTTCATATATATATATATATATATATATATATATATATATATATATATATTTATCTCTCTCTCCAGCATCAGAAGTGAGCTGTAAATCAAGTGGAGGTGGCTTGGGAAACCGAAACCAGCCTGGTATGGAATAATGATGTTATCTGTGGCTCTAGATCAGCCATGACACTGCCTCCCGTGTTGTCTGACAAGGAGAATCTGCTTGAGGGAATTCATCCTGTCAGGATTGAAGGCAGTAATTGGGGCCAGTGATTCATGACCCCTTTATGGGCTCATGAATACATTCATCTCCCAGATTTATCTCATTTCTAAAACCCATGGTCGTCAGTTCCAGCCAGAGGTGGTATGTGTGTGCGGGGGTGGGTGGGTTGGCTGGCATGGAGGGAGACGCCTCTTTGCAAGCACAGATAAAGGGAGAGCGCTCAGGAAATAAGGCTCAGTGAAGAGGTTTCACTTAGGTGGTTTGTGGGATGACTGACTCAGCCTGCAACAAGGCCTGATAGCTCATCCTTCCCTAGCACGGGAGAATGAGAGTCAGTCCCTTTATTTGTCACAGCTGCTTTGGTTTGAGTCATAGGATTGCTGCAGCTGCAAGTCACTGTCCTGCTCCTGGCCTTTAAACTGGATTGAACCAGCCACCCACCGTGCGGGCCTAAATGTTCCTTCTAGGATGATGACATTGGACCAAGTCCTAACAGAGGCAGGATAGACCAGTGGTTCAGAGCTCGGATGCTGGAGCCGGATCAGCTGGGTTCAGACCCTGGCCTTCCCTGTTAGCAGCTGCATGAGCTTCAATATGTTACTTAAATTCTGTGCCTTGGTTTCCCAAGGTAAAACTCACCTACAGCATAATTGTGCAGCTGAAGGGAGTTAATACCTATTCAATACTGGTGCACAGCCAGTGCTCACTCAGCGTGAGCTCACACTACTCATGTTCCCTTGCTGTGTCTGCTTCCCAGAAGCTCTGATCCTTGATTTTGACATCTGCTTCCAGTCCCATGGTTGGGGACCCCCTGGACAACCTCCATTTGGCTTCTAGCATCTGTGCTTTCTGTATGCATTTTAGCCCTGATCATAGCTCCAGCTCTGGCCTCCCAGAACCCCACTGATTAAGCAGGTCTCAAACTGGATGGTGTTAGACAGGATGAGAGCTTTGAGATCATTATCCAGCAGTGTCTGTTCACAGATGGCCGAGGCACTGGCCCCCAGTGGTTTGGCCAGTAGCTGGCAGAGCTGGCGCTCCTGGCTTCTAAACTCATGCTCTCTCCATGGCTCCATGCTACGTGGGGTGGTGTTTCCTCTATTGTGCCATTCCTCTTCCCTACTGTGGCTTAAGACAGAGTCCTGATTCATGGATACAGTCCTGCTCGCAGATCTCCAGAACACATCCCTGAGAGACTCAGGTCTCTCAAACAACACTGCAGTCTGGCGTGGGTCTCTAAGGAAGGAGTTTCTCCCTTAGCTCCTGGTCCAAGAGGCAGCTGCCCATGATGACAGCACTTTCATCTGGCAGCTGTCCTGACAGTTGATACTATGGGTGTGATGGGCACAGGGCATCAGTGTTCACAGAGAAATGTGCTGACTTACCAATGGACAGGTGAGCCTGCCTGTATTAAGGTGGGGACTGGGGGAATTCTATTCTTCTAGAATTAGTTGTTTGAATTATTGGCTCTTTCTTGAATACAAGAGAATAAACAAACACTTTGTGTGCTGTTTCTTTCTGCTGCTTTCGAAGCCCCGTTATAAAGGCCCTGGAGCTTCAGAAACAACTTTTTGAGTCCCTGCATCTTAGAGGGAGCCTCGAGTAACCTGGCATTTGCATTGCTGGAAGCTCTGCTGTGCAAGCTAGTTTGAAATGAGTCTGGATGAAGCTCACCACCCGAGACACTGACTCCCACATGCATCTCACATGCACACCTTCATTAAGGTTAGCAGAGCGTCTTGCATGTCAAACATATTGTCTAAAACCATGACACAAACTTGTAAAATGTAAAGAGATGATGGACTGATCCACTGTAAAGAGCTTGGCTCTTTGGAGTTAGAGTCTTGGGTTCAAATCTAACCATTTGCTAGCAGTGTAACCTTGGCAAAATCATCTTAGATCTCTCAGTTTTAGCTTGCCCTCTGTAAAATGGGATAGAATATTTAACCTGCAGAGATGTTAGAAAGATTGAATGAGCTAACACAGGTGATCAATAGGTGCTTGTTTTTTTCTCCTTGCCCCTTCTTCCCACATTCTGAAACCTACGCACTCAAGGCCATCCTAGACCATATTCTGGAGGGTGGTCCTGGAGATGGGCAGGGAATCATCCCAGAGGGTCCTGCAGGGAGCCCTTCCTTCCAGCATCATGGGCTTCTTTATCAGAGCCATTCCAAGCAAAGCGCTCAGCATGGGGATTGGCTGCCCATGCAGGCTTCTCTGCTTCTTCAGCCAGCCACACATGCATGTGAGTTATTTTCATGGACCACTCCCAATCCCACCACTGATGGAACTGGGCACAGCCCCTCAGACGCAGCTCCCTGGTCCAAGGAGCCGTCATCCTAATGGACTCTGCTTCAGAGCAGAAACTCAAATGGGTTTTATCACTGCTTCCCCTTCACTGGTACCGCTGCCCTCCATTTTTAAACCCCACCCCACTCCTCACCCCCAGTCCCCAACCCCAGACAAGCCCCATCACAACCAATGAATACCTGTCATTCAGGACTCTCTGGGGAAGCTAGGACTGGGGAGATGCTTGGACTTTGGTGGCCTTGAAGTGGGCCTTGACTCTTATACCTGCCACAGAGGAAATGGTGTGGGGGACCTGTGTTGACTGAGTTGGATTGGCCCGGTACTCCCTCCCACCTAGCCGCTCATGTGGCATTTAAAACTGCATGGCCAAACTGTTACACTCCTCACGAGAAACCCAACAGGAGCTATGGGTAATGTTTGCCACATGCAGACACCGTGGAAGGCCCTACTTTCCATAACTCATCAGTGGGACTATTGTTATTTCCAATTTACAGATAAAGAAACTGTAGTTAGGCTGGGTGCAGTGGCTCATGCCTGTAATCCCAGCACTTTGGGAGGCAGAGTGGGGTGGATCACCTGAGGTCAGGAGATCAAGAGCAGCCTGGCCAACATGGTGAAAACCCATCTCTACTAAAAATACAAAAACTAGTTGGGTGTGGTGGTGGGCAGCTGTAATCCCAGCTACTCAGGAGGCTGAGGCAGGAGAATTGCTTGAACCTGGGAGGCGGATGTTGCAGTGAGCCGAGACTGTGCCACTGCACTCCAGCCTGGGTGGCAGAGCGAGACTCTGTCTCAAACAATAATAAAAAAAAAGAAACTGTAGTTAGAGTCACTAACATGCCAGCCCCACACTGGGAGTAGTTGTCTTGGAACCCTGGCTTTCATACTATGAAGTGCTGCTCTTGTAACCACATGGCCATACCCCTCTTCTGGTGGGGAAAGAGTCAAATACCATCTCTTTCTACCCAAGGTGAGGACAGACATACCCAAGATGGGACACTTCCTGAGGTGTCCAACACACTGTGGCTGGCTCTGTGCATCCTATTATTGGATTATTCCCAGCAGATGTGATTTATCAGGAAGGAAGAGGTACCAACAAAAATGAGGGAAGATGGGAATAGTCACGGAACTCCTACGGTGCTTCATACCCTACTGGGTATTGTTGAATATTCAAAGGTCCTGGGGTTGCCAATCTCTAGCTGTGTCTCCTAGGGAAAGTCATCCTTTGGAAGACTTGAGTCCCATAACATGGGAGGGGGGACCCTCAATGTCAGATGTCTCTTCCAAGAATTATATCTTGACTCAAGCTCTTGACACAAGATTGAATGAAGAATTATATCTTGTATTCTGTTATACAACAGAGGTCCATAAATGTTCACTGACTTTTCCAAGCTCACCTGAAGCTAGAGCCTACGTTCTTCCCACCACCTCAGGCATCCTCTTCTTTTTCTACAGTAATAGCTGGGAAGGGAAGGCCCCCAAACATGTATCCCCAAACTCCAGCCCCTTCCTGAGGTCCACGCTGCTGTGGCAACCCCTCCGGCTCCCTCCACTCAGGGAGAGAGTGACTGAGAACACAGGGATGAGGCCCCCCAGCCCCGCCCTGCCCAGCCGGGGATGATGTCTCGCTTAATGAGGGATTGTGGGAGGGTGGAAAACACACCCGATTTATCTTTGTTGCCTAAATACCTCTTAAATTCTCCCTTGAATACTTCTAATTCAGCAGAATGTGAACAATTATAGCAAGAAGCTATTCATAGGTGGAAGGGGGCTGATGGAATTATTTATCAAAGTGACATTTTAATTATAGTGAAGAATGAGTTTGTTGTCACTGAGATGGAAGGCGGTGTTACTCGGCCTCCACACACCCCTCCAAAGTAAATTACAAATGCTCCCCTCTCCGTGATATCTCTATTAGGTGCTGGGGATGGAGAAAGCCAATGGTAGGTTCTTTCTGTTAAACATTTCTGGAAGGAGGTGAGGTGACCCCCTGAGAGGGATTCTGCTTCATGCCAGGAGGTGTGGAGAGTCTCCAGAATACATGGGGTTGGCAGGTAGAAGCCAGATGGGGTCAGAAGACTGTCTCTGTTGTCTCTCCCACCCACCTGTGGATCAGGCCACCTGACCACATTATTCTCGCGTACACGCTCTTTTAAATGTAGTATATGTGCATGGCAAATTCCAACTATGTAAAAGCATAGAGAGTCGAAATTAAGTTACAGAAGTAAATGAGCCAATTTTCTTGACCTCTGAGGCAACCAGTATGTCCAGATTCTTCCGAATGAGTCTGGAAATAATCTACACATATAGAAGCATATCCATAGTCTGTGCTGACTTTGATTTTCTTCTTTGATTGTAGCTGGGCTATTTTACATCCCCAACTAGGAGGAATGCAAGCAGAAGGCACAGATTATGTTTCGGGCTTCTTGTGTTTGTCCGGAGCTTATAAGCATGGCAGTGTTAATTTCTACTATTTAGGCAGCACCTGCCACATGCTAGCCACATGCTTAGCACTTTGCAGAGGTCTTTGCTCAAATCTTCTAAACAATCCACTGAGAATTTATTTTCTCTCCCCATTTTGCAGAAGAGGAAGCCCAGGTTTCCAGCAGCTAACTCAAGTGATCAAGTCACCTGGGGACTTTAGGTGTGGCCTTGAGCTTGCATCCACTTATCCAGCATGTAAGAGATTCTGATCCATGGCTGCCACTGTGCCAAAGATGAGAAGTAGTCTCTGATTTCAAACCACACTCAATTTATGTAGTAGATGGGACAGGCAGGAGAGCAGATAAGTAAATCAACATGATGTTATGGTGCAATAATGTAGGTTTCATGAAATGTGCGTTAGGTTTGGAAAGAGAAAAACTGATGTTTCAATACAAGCTGTGTCATTTTCTAGCTGTGTGACCTTGGATAATTAACCTAGTCTTTCTAAGGTTTAGTTGGCTTTACTGTAACACGAACATACTAATATCCACCTCATTGGGGAGTTAGAAGGATTGGGAATACTATTTACAAAAGTATGAGTAGAGTTAACAGACATTTCTCCAAGAAAGATATATAAAAGGTCAGTAAGAACATGAAAAGATGCACCCATCACTAATCATCAGGAAAATCTACAAATCAAAACCTGCAAAGCAAACCACAATGAGAAACAACTTCACACCCATTAGGATGACTATTAATAAAAAAACAAACAGCAGCAACAGAAAATAACAAGTGTTGGTGAGGATATGGAGAAATTGGAACTCTTGTGCACTGCTGGTAGGAATGTAAAATGCTGCAGCTGCTGTGGAAAACAATATGGCAGTTCCTAAAAGAATTAAAAATAGGATTACCATATGATCCAAGAATTCTGCTTCTGGATACATATCCAAAAGAACTGAAAGCAGGGACTAATATTAGATATTTGCACAGCCATGTGTATAGCAGCATTATGCACAATAGCAAAAAAAGGTGGATGCAACCCAAATTTCCATCGACAAGTGAATGGATAAACAAAGTGTGGTATATACTTATAATGAAAAATTATTCAGCTTTACAAAGGAAGGAAATTCTGACACATGCAACAACATGAATAAAGTCTGAGGACATTATGCTAAATGAAATAAGCCAGGGTACAAATACTGTTGATTCCAATTATACGAGGTACCTAGAGTAGTCAAATTTGTAGAGATAGAAAATAGAATGGTAGTTGCTAGGAGCTGGGGGAAGAGGGAATGGGGAGTCGTTTAATGGGTACAGAGTTTTGGTTTTGCAAGATGAAGAACATTCTAGAGACAGATGGTGGTGAAGTTTGTCCAACAACGTGAAGGTACTTGGTGGTACTGAACTGCGCACTCCAAAATGGTTAAGATGGTAAATTTTCTGTTACATATATTTTACCACAATTTTTAAAAAACGAACTGGGAGATCTCGACAAGTGCCAATTCACTCTCCTTTCTTTCCCCTTTCCTCTTCAGCAAGCTAAGTAGAGCTTCCACCGCTGTCCAAGTCCTGAGAATACAGGCTGTGGCCCCTGCCTCCATGTGGCTCAAACTCTACTGGGAGGAAGGACACACGGTCAGGCAGTCATCACTCTTGTGATCTGTGCTGTGCTAGAGGTTAGCCTAGGACTCAGGGAAGCAGGAAGTGAGCCTGGATTGTTCGCATTTGCACATGTACACACCTCTGACTCAGCTTGAACAGATGGAAAATGACAGAGAACATTGTCTGGAGGAGCTGACATCTCTGCACATAGTAGATGCTCCATGGGCATGGTGGTTGGCTTGACAAAGGTGCACAGTGTCCTTGTTCTCTTCTCCTTCCAAGGGAAGTCTGTGTGGTCAGATGCCCAAGTTCTGGCCCAGGGGATAGGAGTGGAGGTGGTGCACCTCACTTCCAGGCCTGCCCCATACAAACCTGAGGCTTCCTCCAGGCTCCCTTTCCCAGCCAGCAGTGTAAGGGCGAGGATGGGGAGCTTCAGGATGGAAGGAGCCTGCATGCATGCAGATGCAGACATGCCCATCCACTCTGAGCTGCACTGGCTGCCATGGCAACGAGAAGTAAACTGTCATGGTTTCAGCCACAGACACTTGGGGCTGTTTGTTACAGCATTTGCACTGCTCTGACTAATACAGTCTGGCAGGGGATCTGATTGTTTGAAATGGAGACAGTCCCAGGAATGGTCAGAGTTATAGTTAATCCTCCCCAGTTAGGTGGTGAGGTAGCTGAGGCTGAAGGTGCAGGCAGCCTAGCGTGAGACTGGAACCTCCCTCACCCCTCCCATCACCCTCTGACCTAGTGCCTGCCCCAACACTGACCATCACCAAGCCATAAAGCAGAGTCCAACTGCAAATCCTCTACCGGTTGGATAGAAACGTGTCAGCCTCAGTCAGCCATCCCCTCCTTGGAGATCTCATTTCCACCTCCAGACTCACTTCTCCACTCTTGCTTTACCTGCCTCCCAGCCATCAGTTTAATCAGCAGCATGGGGCCCCCAGACCTCAAGCTCTCCTCAGAGGAGCTGTGTTGGGCAAATATCAAGGTGGTTGACGAGTGCCCTGGCTGGAAGTATCTTTGGCCCAAACTGGGTATCCAGATACTCTGGAATGACCCCTGTCTCTCTGAGGGTAGGTCCTGGGAAGTGTAAAACTCCCAACTACCTCTTCTTTACCTTCAAGGCCATCCCTGCAGGCTCTGAGTTTCCAAACTTGTGTCCAATAAAATCAACACCAGCACTTACCTATGATCGGCCATGCGCTATGCTCCAGGCCAGGCACTCTGCTCATACTTCCTATACATTATTCCTCCTAACTCCCGCTGGGAGTTCTGAGCCATCCCCATTCCCATTTTGCAGAGGGGGAAAGGAACACTAGGGGAGATGAAGTCACCACCCAAAGCCATGCATTGGCTGAGATGTGGGCCCTCCACTGACTGACTGCAGAGTCTGGTGCTCTGGGCTGGGCTTCAGGACTGGCCTGGAAGGCCAACAGGCTCCTAAGGCCAGCCTCAACCCATACCACACCACACCGCACCGCACCGCACCGCACACCACATCACATCACACCACACCACACCACACCACACCACACCACACCACACCACACCACACCACACCACATCACACCACACCAAACCAAACAGAAACAATTTAAGCACCTTCACATACTCCTTTCATTCGAGTCTGTGCCCTTACAGTGCCTCCTCCAAGGGGGCTTCCCTGACACTCATCTGAAACAAAAGTGCCCCAACCTTCCGCACTCTCCATCCCTCACTTTGCTTTGTTTTCCTGCACAGCATTTATCTCTGACCTTCTCTATTTACTTGTGTGTTTGTGTCGAGGACAGGGATGTTGTTTTATTCCCTGCTGTACTCCTGGCATCTACAACAATACCTGGCACTGAGTAGGTGTTCCATAAGTATATATGTTAATTAATTTAACATAGACTCTGAATACCTAATTAAAACAGAAAATAGCAGATACCACGTATTTGGTTCTTATTGTCAGGAACTATGCTAATGCTAACATGAAAGTATGAGCTCGCTGGCTGGGTGCGGTGCCTCACGCCTGTAATCCCAGCACTTTGGGAGGCCGAGGCGGGTGGATCAAGAGGTCAGGAGATCGAGACCATACTGGCTAACATGGTGAAACCCCGTCTCTACTAAAAATACAAAAAAAGTTAGCCAGGTATGGTGGCAGCACCTGTAGTCCCAGCTACTTGGGAGGCTGAGGCAGGAGAATGGTGTGAACCCAGGAGGTGGAGCTTGCAGTGAGCCGAGATCGCGCCACTGCACTCCAGCCTGGGCTACAGAGCGAGACTCTGTCTCAAAAAAAAAAAAAAAAAAAAGAAGTAAGTATGAGCTCATTTTATCCCACAGCAACCCTGAAGAGGTAGGCACAATTATTACACCCATTTCATCAGAGGGAAAAACTGAGGGTCAGAGAGGGGAAGCGACTTGCCTAAGGCCATCAGCAAGAAACAGAGGAGGGTAAAGAGCCTCAGTCTAAGTCCTAGGCCTGGATGCTGAACCCCTGCACTACATGTCCCTTTTCCCCCCTCACTGACCTTGGCTCTCAATCTTAGATCATTGACAGCCAGACCGAATCACAGGAAACAGCCTACACATGTGAAGCCTTGGGATAAAGCTTCCAGGGTCCCTTGGGAATATCTTATATTTTCTTCCCTGGGGGAGCTGCTACCCAGCAGCCACACTTCAGGAAGCTGAAGGATTTGGGGAGGCGAGGGGTGGGCTCTCTCTTGGTCCTGCTCTGAGCCTGCCTTTCTCCTGATTCCAACCCTTTAAACAATCACGTGGCATCCCCACAGGCAGGAGTGAGTGACACACACAACTACAAGCTGCTGCTCGCTTCTGTTCAAATCTTGCAATACTACAAATTATACATATAATCCAGTAGGGAAATAGGAAGTTCCCTTGAGTGTAAAGCTGAGTGGCTTTATAATGTGTGGGGTGGAGATAAAGAGCACTGGCCCTGATGCGAGGCAGCTGATGATGAGTTTCCATGGATTTCCACTTCCTGACTGTGTGGCCTCAGGTGACTGACTGCACCTCTCTGTGCCTCGGTCCCTCATCTGAGAAATGGAGTCAACAGTGACTGTCAGAACAGAGAAATTGTCCATCCGAGAAAGTGCACTGCATGGGGACTCAGTCTATGATTGCTTTCTTGGGTACCTCCCTGACTTTAAGTTCTAAGGCATCCAGTCTTACTTTTGGAAACTGAAAGATTGCACTCTCCAGCAGATCTGACCTCTGATGATTAAGGATACATTGATGAGCAAAGTAACAGGTCCTTAACCCATGAAAGCCAATTTCCTGTCTTGATCTTGAGGTCAGGCTTGCCTCAGTGCATGCTCTCTCTGAATGAATATCCATGGCCTCTACTGTGCCAAGCACTGAGCTGGCGATGGCAAGGACAACACCTGCCTGTAGTGGGTTCCCCCATGCTAGGTTGAATCATGGTTCCCTAGGGATGCATGTCCTAATCCCCAGAAGCTGTGAATATGTTACCTTACATGGTAAGAGAGATTTTGCAGATGTGATCAACTTAAGGATTTTGAGATGAAGAGATTATCCTGAATTATCCAGGTGAACCTGATGTAATCACAAGGGTCTTTCTCAGAAGGAGGCAGAGGCTCAGGGTCAGAGGAAGGCCATGTGATGACAGAAGCAGAGATTGGAGGGATGTGCTTAGGACATGGAGGAAGGGGCCGTGAGACAAGGAATGTGAGTGGCCTCCAGAAGCTGTAACAGGCAAGGAAACACTTTCCCCTGGAGCCCCCGGAAGGAACACAGCACTACAACACCTTGATTTGAGTCCCATAAGACTCATTTTGGACTTCTGACCTCCAGAACTGCAAGATAATACATTTATATTAGCTTTTTTTTTTTTTTTTTTTTTTTTTGAGACAGAGTCTCGCTCTGTTGCCCAGGCTGGAGTGCAATGGCACAATCTCGGCTCACTGCAACCTCCACCTCATGGTTTGAAGCCATTCTCCCACCTCAGCCTCTTGGAGTAGCTAGGACTATAGGTGCCTGCAGTCACACCCGGCTAATTTTTCTATTTTTGTAGAGACAGGGTTTCACCATGTTGGCCAGGCTAGTCTTGAACTCCTGACCTCAGGTGATCTGCCTACCTTGGCCTCTCAAAGTGCTGGGATTACAGGCATGAGCCACTGCACCCGGCCCATTTTTATTAGTTTTAAGCCACTGAATTTGTGATAATTTGTTACAGCAGCAACAGGAAACTCATACACCCTGCCCGGTCCATCCCACATTGTTCTGTATCCTGTGACTTGGTGTTTTTTGGGGCTGGCACCTTTACTTGCAATTAAAAACTTGTTGCCTATATATCTGTCTTCCCCACTGGGCTGTGAGCTCCATGAGGACAGAGAGAGCTCATCTATTCTGTTCACTGCTGTGTGGTCAGAGCTGAGCACAGTGGCAGGCATAGAGACACTGCTCAATCCACAGTTGTTGACTAAATGAATGGATGTTCCATCCCTGCCCTCCAGAAGCACACACAATGAAGTGTACAACTCTGCTCTCAAGGGGAGTGGTGATCTGTAAGTTGGGGAGATCAGAAATATACTGACAAGAGTAGCAACAGCAATATCCACTGTGAATCGAACACCCACTAGGCCAAGTACTGTGCTAAGCACTTTGTGAGCATGGCTTCATTCACTCCTAACAACAGCCCTGGAGAAGATGAGGGACTGAGACCCAGACTCAGAGAGATGAGGTAACTTTCCCCAGCCACACAGAACAATGTGGCATGGACCCGGCAGGGTGTGTGAGTTTCCTGTTGCTGACAGTAAATTTCAGCACATCTGTATAACTCCAAAGGTAATTCAATTTCTGCTGCAACAAATTGCCCTCTTGTGATTTCTAAGACCCATGAGGGCTTTTACATTCTTGCCTAATCTTCTCCCCCTCCTCTGCATCCCCATCAGCATCTTCATCATCATCGTCACCATCATCTCAATCACAACACCTTAATCCTGCACCTAATATATGCAAGGTACTGGGAAGGTTACAAAGAAGTAAACTTTGAGGCAGATGAATTGCAGAGGCCAGTCATGCATTTGGAGGATACACAGGTGACAGAGAGCAATCGATGATCATAATAGCCATCGTTTATTGAACACCTGCTGTATACCAGGCATGGGGACAAACTCTTTACACTCATAATCACATTGAATTCACATGACCACTGTGGGGTGGGTATTAATTATCCCCATTTTACAGATGGGGGCACTGAGATTCAGGCATGTTGCCCGGCCTGCCCAGCAGTGAGGCAGAAGGTTGGGACTTGGAAGCAGATACATCTAACCCCAAAGGCTGTGCGATCAACCACTACGCTCTTCAGGGCCAAGGCCATGTGCTTGAGAGGTACTAGAGGAGACATGCAGAACCACTGGCTCCTGCAGGGCTTGGAGGGCCAGGGTTGGGGATGCAGAGTGCTCTAAAGCACGGCCAGGGCTGGGAGACAGCCGTGCTGGTGAAAGGAGTGAAGGTGGCCCTGCGACTGGGTTCCATGTGAACATCTGTCATGTGCCACTCAGCGAATGGCCCCGTCTGCCCTGGGAGGAATATTCACTGTGAATGCATTCAGCTCTAATTTCCTCTATTCACGATGCCATTATCAGCCCCAAGTTCTAGACGCTGCTGGGTGCCCTGATTGGTCCGGTAACAACAGAACCATTTCCGGGGCGGGGGGTGAGAGGTGGGAGGCAGGGGGCTGACAGGCTCGCAGGTATTGTAGGCCTGTAATGGGCAGAAACTGCCATGCTGGGAGACTAGTGGGTGGAGCTGAACACCTCTGAGTAATAGGGAGTGGAGCCACGAGGAGTGGGGCTGAGAGGCTGGGGAGAGGCTTCGGGGAAAATACAGTGGAATGTGCCAGAGGAAGTCAACAAGCAACATGGTAAGTTCTGTGGCTCACATTTCTTCCACTGTAGGGTTCAAGTCCCGGCTCATCCCCTAACTCACTGATGACCCTGGACAAAACAGATCTCCTCACTGACCCTCAGATCCCCCCCTCTGAAAAATGAGGGAGTTCTCAGCTTAGGTGTTCTCTAAGGACACTGCTACCTGTGACATTTTATAGCTTAATTGGGCCAGAGCTATATCGTTAAGAGAGCAAGCTTTCAACTCAGATTTTTTTTTCTTTTTTTTCTTTTTGGTTTTGAATATTTTCGACTCTGGCTTTGCGACTTCTTAGCTGTGTGACCCTCAACCAGTTACTTTGCCTTTCTGAACCTCAGTTTTCTTACCTGTGAATTATAGGTACTAGTAGTGTCTACTTCCTAGGGCTGTTAGGGGTTACATGGGATAATGCCTGTAAAGGGTTAACACATTGCTGGACTTGGAGAGCACTAGTAGATGGGGCCACACTGATGACTGTCATGAAGCCACCAGGCCTGCTCTGCTCTGGGCTGTGGATTTCTTCTCTTTGGAGGATGGGAGAATGTTAGCCTCTGGGAGACTGTGGGGAGGAATGTGGAGCAGGAGAAATAAAGCACACGGATTCCTCTATTGCCACTGATTGGAGCTGAAAATAAAACTGAAATTCAGCTAGAAAAAAAGGAGCATATGAGTCACTGGGGAAAAGAGTCCCCTCTGCCAGCCACTAAGTCCCCGGAGTTGTCCCTCCAGGCTTTCTGTCCTTGTCACTGTGACCTGCCTCTGCCGGGGGCTGGGCACCCCTCCACGCCTCGTGCAGACTCAACCACTCTCCAAGCTGGTCTTTCTGTCTCCTTGACTCTACGTGTCCCTGCCAGATTCCTGGTGTTAAATGCAGCTTTTCTTACTTATTCCTCTGAGCCCAAACCTTTCACGACCCTCAGGCTTCCTAGTTTGGCATTGTAAGCTTTTCCAAGTTCTGGTCTCAATCTCCCCTGCCGTTCTTATCTCTTACTGTCCAGCCTGGCCTCCCGACACACCATGAACAGGCCCAGGAGCTGCCTCTCTTGCTTCCTACTCCAATCCCCTTCTCTAAGCCTACATTAAGGAAGCAGTTTCTGCATTCATTTATCTATTGAACAAACAACAATCAGAATTTCTAAGAAGCACGGAGTCTGGGGATCATGGCATGGCTCCCGTGGCTGCTCCCAGGTCCAGTGCCCATGGCAGACATTACTAATAGATCACAGCACTTCTTTTCTCACCAAGTTCAGATGCAGCCTCAGAACTGTTCTCAAGGCAGCGCCTCAGGCAGCCTCTACTCATTAATTTAGTTAGCACAACCCATATTCCATCTTCAGGTAGTTGAGTCAGACAGATGGGGGTTCCAGCCCCATCCAGTGCCTCCATTTACCCCTGCATTACCTCAGTGAGGCCAATGTCCATTCTGAGCATCCATATCCTCAGTGTTAAAATAACGACCTGATGTGATCATTACACATTACATGCTGGTATCAAAGTATCACATGAACCCCATAAATATGTACAACTGTTATGCAGCCACAATAATAACATAAAAAATTAAAAACTGATGATTATCTTTACCTCACTGAGCTACTGGGGGACAGAGATAAAGAAGAAACACTGCCGGAAAATATTTCTGGAGTTTCTCACCGCCCTTTTTCCATCAGCTCAGCAGCATTCATTGCCTCGGGGGTGGGTGATCTAACAGGAAAGCTGAGAAAAGATTTTAAGTTTATTGAGCCTCAAGAGCCTAAACTCTGAAGATCATTTTGTGCCCCAAACAATGGATTTTGAAGAACAAATGAAGAGGCAGGCTATTCTGCCCTTAGGCTAGCTAAAGCATCTCTAAACCAGGGGAAGGAGGGGAGAGGAAGGAGAGAACTTAGATGCTGTGATTTCCAAGACCCATGAGGGCTTTTACATTCTTGCCTAATCTTCTCCCCCTCCTCTTCCTCTCCCTCCCCATCATCATCATCACCACCACGATCTCGATCACAACATCTTACTCCTGCATCTAATATACACAAGGCACTGGGAAGGTTATAAATAAGTAAACTTTGCAGCATTGGCAGATGAGCTGTAGAGGTATATCATGTACTTGGAGGATACAGAGGTAACAGAGAGGAAGCGATAAACTTAGATGCTAGTGGTCATGAGAAGGGTGGGGAGAGAAAGAAAGTCTGGAGACAAGAATGCAAGTGAAAAACAGGCAGGGCGCTGGACCTTCTCTGCACTTAGCACAGTACAGGAAAAGCAGCGATGTCAGGAAGATGGGCTGGGACGGCCTCCCAGCATGCCCTGGTTTTCCCTCCTCCATTAGGAGAGTGAAAGCCCTCCCACCCACAGATTCAGAGAACTTCCATTTTTATCGTGTAGGCAACTTCTCAGGAGTGATGAAGACATGAATTGACTGGCTTTCTAGCTCCGTTGTCAAATACATTTAATCAGTTTATTAAATGGTCTTTAAAAATGCTTTGTGCTTTGATAAATTTGGGTACAGCAGGCTCAGGAGGCAGTTTGCTCCCATGTAATTCAAGAAAATGTACAATCCTTCAACATCCAGTTCTCAGCTGACTGCTCCCACACATTTATTGCCTCTGGCTCTTCCCCAATTTGTAGGACTGTGGGTGTGTACTTTGGGAAACTCCATGAAGAAGGACTGGAAGGTGAAAAGTGTTATACAGATAAGTGATCTGCTTGGAGCTTTTTGGCCTTCCCTCCTGGCCTTGGTCTTCTCAGTCACCTGCAAAGCAGGTCCCTGGATCTCTTCGGGAATAAGAGACTCCAAAAATCTGCCTCAGACCAATAGTCTGAGATTGGTGACCTATGTGCTCTCTAGCAGCACATTTATGGGTGGCCTTTGCTGCTCACCTTTTAAATGCCTGGAAAGGTTCTAACATAGAGAGAAGGGGGTAGATGCAATATTATAAAGCCAATACTTCCTATCATTTATTGAGCAACTGCTAAATGTTAGGCTATGCTGAGTACTTGGTATTTTCTCTATTTCTCATGGCAACCTTGTGAGAGAGTCATTATCTCTCATTTTACAGACCAGCCAAAGGATCTCAGAGAAACACCTGCTCAGGACTACTCAACAAGTATATGGTGGAGCCACCTGCCAACCTGCTACCTTAAACTGTCATTCAAACTATCTACATATCAACTGTCATCTGCTCTATATTGTTGGGGCTTAAGGTCACTGCACATCTTTTGCATTCGTTAGGTGGGTGCTATAGTTTGGATATTTGATCCTCCTCATCTCATCTGTTGAAATTTGATCCTCAGTGTTGGGGGTGGGGCCTCATGGGAGGTGTTTGGGTCACAGGGGTGGATTCTCCATAAATGGTTTGGTGCCATTGTCCAGGTAAGAAGTGAGTTCTCACTCTATTAGTCCTAAGAGAGTTCCCCCAAGAGCTGGTTGTTTAAAAGAGCCTGGCATCTCCCCCTCTCCCTTGCTTCCTTTCTTGCCATGTGATCTCTGCACATCCAGCTCCTCTTCACTTTCTGCCATGAATGGAAGCAGCCTGAGGTCCACACCAGATGCAGACACTGGATCCATGCTTCTTGACAGTCTGTAGAACTGTGAGCCAAATAAACCTCTTCTTTACAAATTACTCAGCCTTGGGTTCTCCTTTGTAGGAACACAAACAGACATAGACAGTGGGTTTAACCATCAAAGATGGATCCTTGAATTATTTTAATAAGTGAGGTACTACAACGTTATCACACATTATAATCTCTTTTGCAATATTAATATCACTTCCAGGCAGCATGTGCAGAAAGTCATTAAGATGGATTAGCTCAAGGCTGCCAAACCCTTGGTACACAGGTTGTCACTTCCCCACCTGTGTCCAAAGCAGACATCATAAATGATTCACTCATGTCCACTGGATCCAGATATGGCCTCAGAATATTTCTGGACAACAGCACTTCAGGAAACCATGACCAATGAATTAAAAGCTGGCACATGAAGTGCATCCTGTTTGTCACTGCTGGATGAGAAGACTGCCAAAGGTCCTTCATTCTTGACACTCATGATCCAGGTGGTGTAGGAAGTGGAACTAATTGTGAGCTCAACTTGTGAGTCCTGGGTCTAGCCTGACTCTGACACTTGTTAGCTCTGTGACCTTGGAAAGTTAGTCCCTGTCTGCAGGCCTCGGTGTCTTCATGTATCTTTTAGCTCTGTAGTTCCATCTGGCTCCAATAACTTGTGATTCATGACAGATCACCTGATGGGGGTTGGACGTGAAGTGATCCTATGGCTTTTGCATCCCAGGCTAAGAAGACAGCATCTGGGAGGAATAATACCTACCTTTAGGTTTATCAAGGAGATGGCTCAGTGTGCTGCTTGAGATGGACTCCTGTGCGTTACAATAGAATCTCTTATACTTGGGGTCAGAAGTGCCTCAGTGGTTATTTGGGTCATCTGTATCTGTACTTGAGATACTCATACCATCCCTAATAAGAAGTTGCCAAGCCTCTGATGGAGAGCTTACTACTTTCCAAGGCAGCCTGACCCCTTTTTGGACACTTCTGAGTATTCAAAAGCTTTTCCTTATATGCTGGCATTAATTCACCTCATTAGGCCTTGTAACTCTTGGACCCATAGAGGGCCTTCTGGCTCTTGATAAATCTTCATGTATATGAAATTGGCTTTTTATGTCTTGCACCTCTTTACCCTGCTCATCTCCTGCCATGAGTCTACCTTTTCTTCATGTTAATACATCCTCCAGTCCTTCCTCTATTCCTTATGTTATATAGTTCTGAGTATCCGTCCCCTGAATATGCCCAGCGTGGTCTGCATTGATAGCCAACCTGAACATGACCATCCGGGTATGGTCTGCTCAGTGCAGCATGAGGCGGGAGGCAGTGAGGGGGTTGAGGGTCTGGCTCCTGAAGTCTACCGACTTGGGGGCCTCAACTCTGCATGACCTTGCACAAAAGACTTCTTGGAACCTCAACTGGTTCACCTGGGAATAAGAGTGATAACAGTGCCTGCCTTCCAGGTTTGTTACAAGGATGAAGTTGGCTAAGACATGTACAGGGTACATAGGAACTGCTCATTTGATGTTAGTTATTACCACCTTGTCTTCCTAGAGATGGTACTTCTGTTAATGTAGTCTAAAGAAACAACTTTCCAGCAGTGTTTCTAAGAAAGCAAAGATCTCTCAGAGCAGTTTTATCCTTTGAAGATAAATGATATCTCCATCCCCTTTACCTCTACCCACTGGACGTGGACCAGTGGGTGGAGGTAGAAGTGATGGAGCAGATTCAGATGCTGAAGCAATCAGCGTCCAGGGGACCAGTAGCCATTTTTCCTTAAAGACTCAGAAAATCAAATTTAGAACAGAGAAGGCTACACCCTAGCCTGACAGAAAGCACCAAGCATATCTGTGAACTTGCAAGAAACTTGTTTTTTTTTTTTCTTTCCTATTTAGGGCTGTTCATCCCAGGGCATTTAAGAGCTGATTTAAGGCAAAGTATGTAAGCCAGTAATGAGCTTTTGGAATGCCACCCCCCACTCAGGCAAGGGATCAGAGAAGATGCATGCAGGGCTGTAGGAGAGAGGCGGAGAATGCTTGCTTTGATTTCTTGTGAGCCCCTCTAAGCCCTGGCCCAGCAGGGCTTCCCGCCTCCAAGCAAGAGCCAAATCCAGCTCTGAGCTGGGGATAAGGAGCCCCTAGATTGGAACGAATCTCTTGGGGCAGTCTGAAGAATTTCTTGCAATGCCAGAGAATCTAGCAGAGATAGGTGTGGACCAGAGTCCTAGGGGAGGTTTGTTACATGGGGAGATGCATTAACTCATGGCTTTCCATGGCTGTGCCAGCAAGATGGTATCACAGTGAAGCAATGCACATGATGCTAAAAATGCCCAAGATCACTGGTAACTGGTGAGATCTAGGGCCAGCTTCTGCTTAATCCTAAAAGTAGAGGGGCAGGGCCATTCTTCTGGCCTGCCTGTGGCTGTTCTTGGTGAATTTTCCATCACTGATTCTCTAAGTGTCGTACATAGATCACCTTCATCATAACTATTTGGGGTGATTTTTTTAAAATGCAGGTTTCTGTGAAATCAGACTATCTGGAGGCAAGGCCCTAAATGCTATATTCTAAACCAGCTCAACAGGTGTTTCCTATGCTCATAAAGGTTTGAAAGCCATTACATCTAGATGTAGGACTAGTTCTTATGTATGTAATACATTCTGAGGCTGCTGTGACTTTAAGAGAAAGTGGATTGTACATAGGAAGGTAGTGAATATGGATGGAAAGAGAAAAATTTGAAGAGAATCATGCCTGGGTTCTAGTCCTGACTCAGCTACCTCTACTATGCCATTGAGGTTTGGATGGTTTGTTACACAGCATTACAGTGACAATTGCTGACTGATACACTTACTCCTGCCATTTTCCAGATAACTCCCTATGCTCCAGTCATGGCTTTCTTTCTGTCCCTCAAGCATATCAAGATTGTTCCCACCTCAGGGCCCTCCCTCTTGCTATTCCTTCTGCCTGGAATCTTACGCTCCCAATCTCTCTTCATGACTGTCTCTTTCCCAATATTCATATGTTATATTCATATGTTAGCCAAAACATCCTCTTTTCAGAGAGATTCTCCCTGATCAGGCTATCTAAGTAGAACCCTCTCTCCAACCCTCTTTATTTCTTCCATAGCATTTATCATGTTTTGAAACATATTTGTTTGTCTATTGTCCATCTCCTTTAACTTTAAGATGACTTATTTGTTATTTCATTGCTTGGTCCTTATCGCCTGGAATGTAGCCTGCACCACTTTTCCCAATGCCACATTCTTAGATAAACGCTGCCAGCTCTGCGGTGATTCTCCACGGATCTCATCCCTGATGATCCCCTCTCTCTTTTGAGAGTCCCTTCCATCTCCTCATGTGCACAGTCTTTCTGATGGCAGTGAAGAAACACAAGGGCCATAGGCCTGTTCTCGAGGTCAGTCAGCCCAGTGAGAAAGATTTGCTCTTTGGATACACTCAGGCAAGGCCAGTTCCCCCACTCCCACCCTCCACTTCTGTCCCTCCAGAGCCAACCATCCTCTTCTATCAGGCACTTTCTCAGACTCTTTGAATCTCACCTCATTCAATGATCTCTGAACCATGGCACTCAGAGATCCCTGTGTGTAGCCTTTCCACTGTTCTCAGTCTCCTCAGCATCTGCTACTGTCTACTAGATTCCTCTAGTTTTCTTTCCCCCCTTCTCACTCTGTTGTCTCCGTGAAGGTGAGAGCCTTTCATCTGCCACGGGGCCTCTGAGGTTTAGAGCAAAGCCTGCCTACCACATAGTGGGCACTCAAGACATGTTTGTTGACTGAGTGAATATTATAACATAGGCTTTGTCCTAGTAATTCCACGTCTAGCAATCTATCCTAAAGTGGTAGTCAGGGTAGTTCAAAGTTGTTCATTGACACATTTTTTTTAGGATAGCAAAAAATTGTAAAAAATTTAAAATCCATCAAGAGGTGATTGATTAAAAAATTCGTCACATGGAATAACATGGACTTTGCAGTCAATATCAATGAAGCTCTTGACTTACAAACATTTAGGTGACTTTCAAGTTTTTTTGCTGTTGTAAGTAACACTTCATTGAACATCTTTGTTCTTATAAATGTGCTCATTTCTATTATGTCCTTAGGATAAGGCCCTAGGATCTGAATTATTGGGTTCATAGTATGAACTCTTTAAAAAGTCCTACTCTTTTCAAATTCACACGCTGTCTCCGAAAATTCATTAACAGAATTACTTAGAGCACCTGAGAAAACACTGTTTCTTTGTTTCTTTAACCTTTTTTAATCAAATGAAAACATTATTGCCCCTGAGTCAGAATTAACAAGTGAGACGGTCCATATTAAAAGATTCAGTTAGAATGAAGACAAAGGCATCATATGAGCTCTGACATTCACACGCAACAGACGCATAAATGGATTTCTCATCCGCTCCAGCTTTTGACTCAATGTATCCAGGCAACAGAAGTCTGGATTTAATAACAGATGTTCGCCACATAGCAATCACCATATAATGCCAGGGTAGACTAAAACAGCATTTTATCAACCAATAAATGTGCTGTTTGCTTTATTTTACCATGTTGTTCTTCAGTTCCCTTCAGAACCGAGAGGACAGATTGAGTCACTCGGCATCTGCTGGGAGCAATATGCTTGGCTTCATTTAAAATGAAAAATCAGGTCTGTGTTTACATTTTTCACCAAAGCATGGGATCTGATGTACTAACACTCCCAACTGGGCTAGCCGGAAGGGCTTTCAGGAAAATCTCAGGGAAACTGGGACCAAAGCAGGAAGTCAGTCACCCTCTTGGGAAAGACATATGGTGACCCTTCACTTCAATCAACCCCACCAGAGGGAGGTCCAGATTTCCCCCACCCATAGAGCAGGGTTGCAAGAGACCCCTGCTGGGTCCCTTCCCACAGCCAGCAGCTCCCGCCTTTGAAAAGACGAATCGACCAGCAATGCTTGAATAATGATCTATGTTCAACCTGTAAATTTACAAATACACAGAAACTATTTTCTCAGCAGAAATACTTCAAAGGGGGCAGCCAAGAAGAATGCCATTTTGAGTCAGTCCAGGTTGACTGAGATGAAATTGAGGAAGTGAGACAGAAGCAAACATTTGTTAGGCATGTACTTTGTGACAGGTACCAGGTTAATTTTTAAAATGTATTATCTTATTTAATGGTCTCATTTGTAATACTCATTTGTCCCCACTTTAGTGGAGGAGACAGAGGCTTGGAGAGTTGAAGTCACTTGTCCGAGTGGCTAATAAATCATGGGGTATGGGGGCAGAGTGGAGGATCAATCCTGTGCTTGCATTGGGTATGTCCAGTTGTATTTGCTAAAGATGCTTGCAACAATATCTTCCATCCCACATGCTCTTTTACAACTCTGGCCAGTTACCTATTAAGAAATGGAGTCTATGTCCCCATCTGTGAAACTGGGTGGGCTTCTGTTACAATATCTACCAATAGGGTGTGATAGAGGTTACACTATGTGACCTCTGAGGCTAGGTCTTAGAAGGCCACATAGCTTATATCTTGCTTCCTGGAATACTTACTCCTGAAGTCTTTAGTTGTCACATTCTGACTGCCCTGAGGTTACCATACACTGTGAGGCCCAAACAAGGAGACTGGGGAGGAGCTTTTGTAGAGATGAGCCATGCTTATGCAGAGTGCCCCTGCTTATAGCTTTCAACTGATAGCCGGTATCCATTTGGCAGCCCTGAGAATAAGCCATCTTGAAAGTAGATCATCCATGTCCCAGTTCAAGTACCCAGCTGACTCCACATGGAGCAGGAAGAAGCTGTCTCATCCAATGCCTGAATAAACTGCAGGCAGTGAGCAGAATAAATGATTTTTATTGTTGTAGAGCATTGCGTTTGGGGTGATTTGTTACACAGCAATAGCTAACTGATACATTGGAGAACTCAGCAGATGATTAAAAGAGGTCCATACAATCTAACTCTTCAGTGCCTGGGTTAAACTTTTCAGTAAAACGAAAAAAAAGTTTTCCACCTAACAGTTGTAATAAGGTGAATTGCTAAGAAGAAAGACCAATTATTTTTAGCAGTCCTCTCCCACTCCCACATTGGAAAGTCAAGCCAGAATTTTGCTTCTAAAGGCCCGTTGAGAACAACTGTGCTCCCTTTGTCCAGGAAAGAGGAAGAAGCAAAGTGGGCTGAGGGGGTACAAAGGAAGCAAGTGGGAGGACTAAGTGAGGGGTGATTTTGAGCCATTCTGCAGAGCACAGCCTAAAGGATGGACAGATCAGCACACACAAAAGCAGTGTAGGCATACAAGCAAGATTAAAAAATGATCACTGCCCCAACCCAAGAACCTGTCTCCAACTTAAGCTTAGAATTCTTATTTAACAAGACCCTTTCCTAGAAAGGGGTAGGAACTTCCCTATGTAACTGAGATTGAATTTTCTGCCAGGTGGCAACTTTGAACAGCTCACACATATTTAAAGATATAATACAATTGGTATTTCTTAAACCCATTTTTCCTGCTTAAACTTAAGTAACATATGCCCTATTAAAGGGGACATTTTCAGTAAGTGTTGACTTTACCATAATGTTACTTAATATGTACAGACATAAAACTTAGGTATAAAATCCTTATGCTTTTTAGCTCTTATTCAGCTATAAAACTGAAACAAATTTCCAAATTAAACACAAATACGACTGCAAAACCAATAAACTTCAAATTAACAACATTAGTTTAATGTGAGGTTGTTTGGTTGAAATGGGATTGCTGCTTCCAGTATGACTGCAGTGTGGGTTCACATTTTTTTTTTCCATTCTATTTCACCCTGCCTCTACTGCCTTGTACTGTGATGGCTTAAGTCTCCCAGGGCTCTTTTTTCCTGGAACTGCTGGAAAGCTGTACAGCAGGTCTTCGAATACTGTTGCTTCATATAACATTGATGAAAAACAAACAAACAAACAACAAACCCTGGCAGAGCCACTGTCTGTGTGGAATCGGCACGTTTCCCCCATGTCTGCACGGGTGTTCTCCAGGGACTCCAGTTTCCTCCCACGTCCCAGAGCTGTGCATGTGAAGTGAACTGGTGTGGTCCCAGTGTGAGTATGTAGGTGTGTGTGAGTGTGCCCTGCCATGGGATGGCGTCCTGGCCAGGGTGGGTTCCTTCCTGGCACCCTGAGCTGCTGGGATGGGCTCCAACCACCTGTGACCCTGAACTGGAATAAGTGGATTGGAAAATGAATCAGTCAATGAATAAAAGTAATTGTAAAATAAAAATTTGTAAAGCAGAAGATAATCGTACAAATGCAAGGCAATAAACCATGTGGTATGGAAGTGCTTGGCGAGCCTGCCATATCTGTAATTGTTTTTGAACTGTGTGGTAGGAGGAGGTGCTCCTGACAACTTTTGCTTTCAAACATTTATTCCTTGATCCAACAGACCACCACTATGACTGCTGGCACTCGCTAATTCACCAAACTTGGGTAAATAATTATCTGACTTGTTTTGCTTAATCTTTCTTAAATGCATGTATAGCTCATATTTATTTTAATGCTTAGTGTTACAAGTGTTTTGGGTCTTTATTTAGAAGTTTGGTGATGTTTTTGTGCCCAGAAATATGCCCAAGGAACTTAACTCATTTCTTTCAATTAGCTTCTGGTCAAATTGGTTTCTTTATATGTCTTTTCACTTAATAAAGTTGCAATATCAAAGAACCTGTAGACAATAATGTGAGGACTTACTGCTTTCTGTAGCTGCAAATGTTCTAAGTGCCTGAGTCCTCCTCTATTTTTATTTTTCTCATTAGCCCTATGGCAATAAAAGTAAAAAACCCAGCTATTTGGTGCATTCTGGGTATCGGGGGTCCCACTTGGGTCCCTCTGCAAGGAGTTTTTCTCTATTTAGCAGGAAAATTTATGCAGAGGTTGCAATCCAAGAACTTGAACAAAACCACAACAGACAGAGTACCCAACTCAGCTGGAAGCACAAACATAAGCCACTAACATCACATTGCATAGGTCAGGAATTGTCCAACTTTCTGTCTTGGCCCATATAGTAAATATTTATGGCTCTATGGGCCATAAGGTCTCTGTTCCAATGACTCAACTCCACTGTCTTTTTTGCAAAGGCAGCTACAGATGAATGAGAACTGCTGTCTCAATACAACTTTATTTATGGACACTGAAATTTAAACTTCATATACTTTTCAAGTGTCATGAAATATTATTTTTCTTTTGATTTTTTTTTTCTCAATGGGTTAAGACCATGAAGCCATTCTTCAGTAGTAGACCTTAGAATAACAGGTTGGAAGCTGATTTAGTTCACAGGCTGTAGTTTGTGGACCCCCAACATAGATGGTTATAAGGTGATTAAAACAGACAACCTAAAATAGTAAATTGATGTTTACATGATTATTATTTGATGAAAAATTTTAAATTTTGTAAAGAGGTTACCTGGAGAATTCATAGACGCTGGAGAATATCTCCCAGGATTTGAGTTAGAGAGGCACTGCCCTGGGACATTCCTGGAGAGCAACCATGCTCAATTGGGCCCCAGGCAAGAGATTCAAGAGTGCTCGAATTTCAGAGGGCAGATTTCCCCAGACCGCCAGAGCATCACCTTTCCCAACTCCCAAGGATAGATAACACACCAGGTGCATAATTAAAGTACCAATATTACCCTAGACTGTCCACAGAAGCCTTGTAGTAACTCGAGTTTCTGCAAAAGAAATTGTTCCTTGCCCAGCCAGCTTGGAAAAGACTGTGTGTGTCTGTGTCAGGGTCTTGCATAGGAGAGCAATGCCAGAGCCGAGGTGGGAGCTCTGGGCTGGGGACTGGCCCCTCTGCTCTGCTGCTTAGCAGCCTTGGGCTTCTCTGCCTCAGTTATTTCAAGTATAAAATGTTACTGCCAAGGCTCCTTCCCAAATATAACAGTGGGTGTTATGAGGCTTAAATGAGATGGTATAGGTAATGTTCCTGGCACCGTATCCGGAATAGAGTAAACATTCCATGGATAGTGGCCATTAATAAAGTCACACTAAATGATTGTTGTTGGATAGTTGTTTGAGCTTCCCTGAGTCCCATCTGTAAAGAGAGCAGTCTCAGGGGTGGTTTGAATCCGATAGCACAGAAACATGTGCAGCAACCTGTGCCATCAGTCATCATCAGCCCCGCCCCAGAGCTTGTGTTTGTTCCAGCAGCAGAGTCCTGAAATGAATATTTCTGTTTCAGTCAATAACATTGTACAACTTGTGGTGAAAACTGAGAGGCGATTAATCATTGAAACTGGAAGCATTTGATCCTATGGCAGAGAGGAAACAGGAACAATGTGCGAGTGATTTCTGCACACCACGTATGCCTTGATCTTTTAAGCGCTGCCTAGTCAGGTTATAAATATTTTTCCTTTGGCGCTGGGGTTTGCTGAAGCTTCAAGAAAGCACTGTGAGCGCAAGAAGGGAGGGTTTTGGGGCCACACAAATCCCAGCCATTCGGTGCATTCCGGGTATTGGAGGTCCCACCGGGGTCCATCTGCAAGGAGCTTTTCTTTATTTAGTGGGAAAATGTGTGCAGAGGTTGCAATCCAAGAACCAAAACCTCTCAGCAGATGTTGCATTTGGCTTGTTTATTTTGTTTTTGTTTGTGCCTGTGCGTGTTCAATTGAGGCAGCTCTTAAAAATTGGGACATTACGCATACAGTCGATTTCCAGCTCCTCTTGAAGTCAGGAAATCTGGCTGCACTGGTTCACATTTCCTTGGGCAATACCAGGCTGAGGTTGAGAAGCAGCAGCCTCTTTAGACAGGCTCGGTGCACCTCCATTCACCCCAGCCCCCATCACTTCCTTTCATTGTTCCTACAAGTAGACTACTTGGGCTGTCATTACTGTGCGTAGGGTGCTATTTGTCTTATAGTAGAGATATAGTTCTCTGTATTCACATCTCTATTAAATGTGAGGAAATGAAAGATAGATCAGGAGGGATGCATTTTTCAAGAAAAATGATGGAAAAGATACTTTCTTGTGATATTGAAGAATATTCTTCGGTATTTTGTAGGCGAAGGGCCAGCTCTGCTCACTTGCATGCTTTGTCTGGCCCACAGAATGACCTATTCCCTGAGCCCCCAGAAATGTCCACATTTAAGCACGGTCCCATTATTGACATAACTCACTCAGCCATTGTCTACTGAGTGCCTGCCATGTACCGGCAACCCTGCTTAGCCCTGGACTGTGGTGAGTCAGATGGACGTGCTCTCTGTCCTCCTCCAGTCTGGCCAGTAAAAGGAATCCCAACAATTCAAACAAGTAACCCCAACCAAGTGCTGGGTGCCGTCATAGCAGAAAAGCCCTGGCCACGGTGGTATAAATTAGGGGAAAAATACCTAGGAGTCAGCAGTCTTTCCAGGAAGAAGTGATGTTTCAACTGAGACCTGGAGGTGGAGACAGAGCAAGTTGCTCCAGTTGGGGAAAAGCCTGCGCACAGGCAAGAAGGCAGGAGAGAAAGGTGCTGGAGGAACTGGAGGAAGCTAAGTCTTGCTGGAGTATACAGCATGGAGGTGAAAGGGCCAGGGAAGAGATGAGTCTAGGGAGGGATATGACAGCTGGGCTGTGATGGTCAAAGGGTTAGTGACCTAACTGGGTTCTAATGTGCATGGATGAATCCCAGTAGCCAGAGGACAGCAAGAGTCAACCAGAGTCCAAAAGACAATGTGGGGGAAGAGGGAGGAAAGTGAGTGAGGACCGGGCAGATGGTGGAGGCTGGAGAAGGACAGCAGGGGACCTGTGGGTAGCACCTCCTTCAACATTTTTGCAGCAGTCCTCAGAATCTGAGCGTGACCAAAACACAGAGAACAAATTGCAGGCTTCCAAGCTGGATAGATCTAGTTGAGCTACTTTTTGATTGGCTTTGGGACACTACTTATCATTTTTTAGCCTCAGTTTCCTCACTTATAAATCAGGATAATGACACATACCTCCAGGAGTTATCTGAGGGTTAAATGAGGCTAAAAGCATCTGGCACTTAGTGGGGGACTTAATAAAGGTAAGCTGATTTTCAGTTGACTTGGTTATGAATTTTAAAACCTGATACCCAGCCTGGGATGACTTAGCTTTATTTCCTCCCAGGAGGCATCTCCTGTTCGGTGTCCCCACCTGGGAGGAGCCCTCCCCAGTCAGTGCCGGCCGTCTGTCGCTGGTGCTCCAATGCTGACCCGCCGCCTGGCACGGGGCCACAGTCATAATTACCACTTCTGAATCGATTCCTTTGAGCCCTTTTGAGCAGGCTGAGGAATGCTGTGATTAAAATGATTTAAAACCTGCCTCTATTTCACAGCTTTTAATATTTGATAAGATTTGGAACAAGGGGTGAGAGCAAGGCAGGAGATCTGGCAGTTTACAATCCCAGCTTCAGCCTTCTCAAGTGCCTATTGGGGGCACTCAAAAAAGGGGGTGGGGGAGAGAGTATGAATTTGAACATGTGGGGAAGTGTAACAGCGTGCATTTTCCAAAGGAGACAGGCATGGACAGATCAGCTTCTCCTTCTCCCAGGTGCTTCATGGCTTTGAATGCCAGTAATGATTAAGATGATTATTATGAAAAGCATGATCAGAAGAAGACTATAGCAGCTATCATTGATCAGGTATCCAAGATATGCCTGTAAGAGATCTATTTTCCCAAGGATCTTTAATTTCCCTAAGGATTTTATAAGGGAGTGTGATTTTTCTTAATTTTATAGAAAATAGAGGCTCAGTGACTTTTCTAATATCACTCAGCCAGTTACTGGGAGAGCTGAAGTCCACGCTGGGCTGGCTCTGCCACGTACGACATCGTAGAGCATCGGAGCAGAAACAGGAGAGTGTTGCAGATGGGCAGGGACCTTAGATGGCTCTCCTATCCCCATCCATGACAATGGTCCTAGGGAAAAACAGCCAGATATCAAATGTCTAGATGCTTTGCTCTTTTCATTACTTTGGTGCATTTTTAGGCTCGCTCCATGCTAAATTGCTTCCTTTTAACCCAATTTTGATGACTCTGCTAGAACGTCACTGAGGGCAACTTCTTTGTCTGGATGGAAATCATAATCCTAGCAAAGCTAACTAGGGTGAAGGCTTACTAAGTGCCAGACACCTTTCAACCTCTTTAAAAAAAAAAAATTAGAGACAGGGCTTCGTTCTGTCTCCCAGGCTGGAGGGCATTGGTGTGATCATAGCTCCCTGCAGCCTTGAACTTCCAGGCTCAAGCAATCCTCCTACCTCAGCCTCCCGAGTAGCTAGGACTACGGTGGCATGCCGCAAAGCCCAGCTTGTTCTACCTCTTTTTCCACCTGGTACCTCACTGACTTTGTCCACCAATCCTATGAGTGAAGTACTATTGTTATCTGTATTTGACACATGAAGAAACTGCAGCTCAGAGGTGTTGGGAAGATTATTCAAATAACTCTGATAGGAACCTGGACTGCCCTCTGGCATGGAAAAGACAGTTCGGGCCTGCCCAGAGTGAGGTCTGAGAGGGTCCCCAAATGTTTGCCAAGTGTCAAAAAGAATTCATGTTTCTGGAAAAGCTGGTCCGGGAAAGCCCCTCTCCTGTTGCACACAGCAGCGGGGGGTGGGGGTGCAGATTTTGGGAGCTCCATCGACCTGGGTCAGAACGGGCTCCTTTGAAGAAGCTTGCAAAGTTGCTCTGTTCTCTAGATTTCAGGAAGGTAGCAAAATATTCCAGGTTACTGCTAAAGAGGTCTGTCTACCTTTCTGAGATCACCCCAGGACCCCTGGAGGCCATGGTTACTGGAAAAGGGTTTCAGGGGGCAGCACTTGGAGCTTCCCACTTTCTGAGGGAAGAGAGACACCAAAGCCCATCCTGGGGATGGTCACTCAGTCATGAAAATTCTTTGTCTGGATGGAAAGCTATCCCGATCCAGCAGAGGAGGCTGGGTGACAATATGTCATCCATTAAAGTCCCTAATAGGAGGTAATGTGGGAGATGAAAACACAAGCCTGGGTAGCCGCAGAGAAAGGGCCAGAACCAGAATTTCAGCTCAATACAGGTATATATTAACTTTCTTTTGTCTTTTCTTTTTTGAGATGGAGTCGCATTCTGTCAACCAGGCGGGAGTGCAGTGGTGTGATCTTGGCTCACTGCAACCTCCACCTCTCAGGTCCAAGTGATTCTCCTGCCTCAGCCTCCCAAGTAGCTGGGATTACAGGTGCCCGCCACCATGCTTGGCTAATTTTTTTTTTTTTTTTTTTTTTTTTAGTAGAAACGGGTTTCACCATGTTCGCCAGGCTAGTCTCAAACTCTGACCTCAGGTGATCCACCCGCCTCGGCCTCCCAAAGTGCTGGGATTACAGGTGTGAGCCACTGCACCCGGCATGAACTTTCTCATAGTCTGAGTGGTCTGTAGAAGGAATCACCTGTCTCAGGAGGCGGTGAGCTCATCAGCACCAGAAGTGTGCAAGCCCAGGACACATAAGTGGGATGTTGTGGAGGGTACTTAAGCATCAGGAGGAAGTTTATGGACTTTAAGATGCCTTTCAGCCCCTAGGAGCTTAGTAAACAAAGAACAGAAATTAATCTCTATTCCTCCATGTAATCTTAGTGTTCAGCACAGTGTCTGGGACATACTACATGCCCAGGAAATGTTTGCTGGATGCATGAAGGATTCTGCTGCAGCAGATATGCACCAGAGCACTCAGAAATACTAATGAGGGAATTATGTTCCAGCAATAAGAATGGCAACCACAACAACACATTTGCAAAATCCTCTACAGTTTAGGTGATCCACACAGATGTAACCTCTGTTATCGATCCCATTTTTATAGGTGAGGAAACTGAGCTTCAGAGAGAGGCAGTGACCTATCAAAGGCCACATCTGTAGAAGGTTGCTGATCAGGGATTTAGAACTCCATTGACCTGGCTCCGTAGCCCGTGCTCCACACACCCGAGCCATCCTGACCTTGGGTGCAAATCTCATCCTTTGCCAAGGATGTAGCCTGGGCCCAGGGCAGCTCTTTAATGAGCCTCTGCTTTTGTGCCTGCCTGCAGTGGGACGTGTTGCTGTGCCCAGTTGAAGGTGACCTGCTCCTGACTGTGGGGGCCAAGAGTGGCATTTCCCATCATCCATTAACAGATGGCCTCTGGTAGTAAAGCACGCAGGCCCCTTGTTTTGTTTAAACTGCTTTCCAGAACATCATCACTTTGACCTCCATCCACATCCACCATGGTGTTCTCCATCCAACTTCTGATCAGAAAGGCTCCTCACCAATGGCCCTTCCCCCTGGCGCTAGCCTCAACTGTCCTTCCCCATTGCTTCTTGATCTTTGCTGCTTCTGTGATGATTGTTAGAGCCCAGCCCGTCTGAGCTCTGAAGCTTTTTTCCACCTCTGGACTTCTCTTTGCCTGATCTCCTCTATGATCCTCATCTCCTGACTGACTACTTAACTTCCTTTTGTCCTTTGGTTCATAACTCCTTTTCTGACCTCTTTTCCTCCTAGCTTCCCATCTGATGTTTGGTCTGACTTCTGACCTCCTCACCTCCTGTATCCACCTTCTCACTCATCCTTAGATCAGGGTTTCTCCCCAGCGACACTATGGCATTTTGGACTGGATAACTGTAGTTGGTGGGGAGGTCCCCAGGCCTTGTAGGATGCTTAGCAGCACCCCTGGTCTCCCTGCTCACCAGAGATTAGCAGTGAGTAGATACTTAACCTGGTTGTGCTCATTAAACATGTCACCAAATATTGCCTAACATTCTTAGGGGGAAAACCACTGTATGCCAAGAACCACTGCCTCTGACCTAAGATGGCCTTCCCCTGCACTTCAGGCCCTGACTGTATCCCACTGTCAGGGACAACTGGGATTTATGCATTTCTGTTTCTAGCTTTTCTAGGTAACAGCTCTGCCCAGTCCCTAAGCTACAGACCCCTGCCCTTCTGAAGCCTAAATCACACTCTTTCTCTGAATATCCAGGTGCTGGCCACAGACTTTCTGTTCGTGGTACTCCATGCCATATCTTCCTTCTTCCTAATTCCTCGTGCTTGTTTTCCTCCTTTTCCTGGTTTATGATTTGCATTTTAATAACCAGTTCAATTTCTCAGGTGCTTTGGGTGGGTCATTAATTTCATGGTGCTCCACCGTCATTAACAGTTTTGCCCCTGACAACCAGGGACCTGTTTAATCTCCATCCTCCCCCTCCTTGGCTTTTCTTTTTGCTTTGATCCATGCCTTCCTCACTGGCCCACTCTCTAAGACAGAAACCAATGCTGTTTACATCTATCAATGTAGACTACGAGGTCTCCTGAATCATTGCAGACCTGTTTCCTGAGGGACATGTGGTGGCATGGTGTGTGGGGGAAAGCATGGGCATTGAAAATGGATAGATCCTGCCTTGGTCCCTCCAGTCCTTGTATGACCTTGGACAAGTCACTGAATTTCTCTGAGGCTCAGTTTAATGCAGTGTTTCCATTTTCCTTTAAAAGCTTAAATGAAAATACATAATAATACGGATAGTTGGCCGGGCGCGGTGGCTAACGCCTGTAATCCCAGCACTTTGGGAGGCTGAGGCGGGTGGATCACCTGAGATCAGGAGCTCAAGACCAGCCTAGCCAACACAATGAAACCCTGTCTCTACAAAACAAACACACAAACAAACAACCAAACAGACAAAAAACCAAAAATTAGTCATGCATGATGGCAGGTGCCTGTAATCCCAGCTACTCGGGAGGCTGAGGCGGGAGAATCGCTTGAACCCGGGAGGCTGAGGCGGGAGAATCGCTTGAACCCGGGAGGCAGAGGTTGCAGTGAGCTGAGATTGAACCATTGCACTCCAGCCTAGGAGACAGAGTGAGACTCCATCTAAAATAATAATAATAATACAGATAGTTCAGAAATTAAAAGACAACAAGTTTCCCCCATAATTGTCCTCTTCCACTCTTCATCCATATACAGATATTTTTGCATTGTTGCTAATAATATCCTGCATTTGTCCATTTTTGTCATTTCCCTACATATTAGGCATCTTAACACTATGCTGTGTCATATGAAGATGAGGTGCTTGGATTTAAATACCTTATCTAATTGCTTCTGAAAATATTCCTGGCAAACAGACATTGTTTCCTTCCATTTCGCAGATGAATAACTGAGGTCAAGAAGTCCCACATGGAGAAAGTGGCAGGATTAAAATCCTAGTTTTAAAAATCCTAGTTTTTCCTACTTAAAACACATGCCTTGAACCAAATAGCATATTGCTTCTTATATAAAATTAATGGACTTGAATGAGATAATGTGTATAAAGTGTCTAACAGTGCCTGGCACATAGTAGGTACTTAACAAATGTTAGGTATTTTTCCTTATGTATTTTTTTGGGTAATAAATAGAAACTGTGAGTGTTTAGAGAAGAACAGAGTGTCTTTGAAAGATCTGCCCTTTCCCTGGCCACACTCTCTACTCAGTGTAAGTTCCTTTAGGCTGAAATAAAATCTGTCCCTGAGCTTCCTGCAGTACCTTGGCCAGTGCTTATATAAATAGATACTGATTTGATTATTGGTTAAAGCAACACGGGAGGTGCAAGTCACATCCATGGTGACTCCATGGGGAGAGGTGAGACTGGCATGCTGCTGGCCCATGGCTACTCTCAGACAAGGGCATTTGCATAACTGGAACTAGCTGTCCCCATCTCTAATAGAGATCTGAACGTCACTAATTGGCAGGCAGAGGCTGTGTTCTCTCTGTGGGAATCAGAAGGGAGCAGAACGTGTCCTGAATGTTAATTTTCTCATCAGCCTGCTCTTGGTGGTGGGGAAAGAGAAGGGGAGATAAAGGAAGGTTGAAAGGCACAACTTGTTCACACACAGAGCTCTGGTCTCGCAGCCATTTCATTAAAATGTACGGAAGTAAAATTAAAAGGGCACAGGACTTGGGGCCAGGTAACCTAGGTTGAGTTCCTGAATCTCTTTCTTACAAGCTAAGTCAGAAACAAATCTCTCAGTCTCACTGAGCCTCAGTTTCTGTATATGGCAAATGAAAAAAAAAGTGTAACTGGTAAAAACAATTGTTGAATGAATGGATGAAACCTGATAGATTTTTCAAAGGGATGTGACATCAGCTATATAATTTGTCTGTTTGTTCTGCAAGAGTGTAAACAGAAAAAAAGTTTCATAAAATAAAAAAAAATTGACAAACCACATGCAGGCTTCTGGGTGAAGGATGGACAAGAATCTCCCACCTCCCATGGCAAGAACAATACCACGTCCCAGCACTGTGGTGCACACACCTGGCTGGGAAGTTATTTGAGGTGTTTTCTTAAAATATAGATCACGGGCCACATCCCTGGAGAAAGTGTGGTTCAGTAGATCAGGAAGGTGGGGAAAAGCTAGGAATCTGAGCTGTTTTTCCTGTGCCCCCGCAATTCACCCTGGAGGCAATGCCACGGTCAGTGCCTAACAGCTCGGTCTCCTGCTACCTCTTGCTTTTGATGATTGGAAAAACCAAAAGACGTGTCATAGGAAAGATGCTGTGCTGTGCAAATAAGTGTTGTAGTCAGTTTGCCTTCCAGGATCCTTAGAGATGTTTCAAGGACATCTGAGCAGAGGCGGGAGAAGATGAGAATAGTGTGAAGCTATAATTTGTGAACACTCCCAGAACACGAGTACAGTTTTTAATATATTATTAGCATCTGCTGCTGTGCTGATACACAATGTACCTTAAAAACATAATTATAGAAATTAAAAATGATAACATAAGAATGTATCAATAGAAGGCCCAGTGATTTCTTTCTGCATCTCTGAGATTCAGCAGATTGTTATTGCATAGCTGGTTCGTAATGTGTTTACAGTGCACTGTGACGTGGTTATGGAGGAAAGAGGACGTAGGGTGGTTGGGGACTCTGTGTGTTTATAAAAGCAGAAGGAAGGGGTGTGTTGGGATAGGAATCTTCCTGAATATGCCCCAAATGGTAGAAACTTAAAACGCCTGATGCAGTGGCTCACGCTTGTAATCCCAGCACTTTGGGAGGCTCAGGCGGGCTGATCACAAGGTCAGGAGTTGGAAACCAGCCTGACCAACATGGAGAAACCCTGTCTCTACTAAAAATACAAAATTAGCCAGGTGTGGGGGCACATGCCTGTAATCCAAGCTACTTGGGAGGCTGAGGCAGGAGAATCGTTTGAACCTGGGAGGCAGAGGTTGTAGTGAGCCAAGATTGTGCCATTGCACTCCAGCCTGGGCAACAAGAGTGAAACTGTCTCAAACAAACAAACAAACAAAAAAAAAAACAAAACACCTTAAAACTAGCACATACCTCCCATTGCAATTGTAAACTGTGCTTATGACTTTGCATTCTTACACAAAGGTAAGATGTAGCTGAGAGCAATACAAAGGAAATCTCTTACATCATTTATGCCAAACACCCAGTGCAGATCCCCCACCTTAGAAATCTCAGGCTACAGAGTGAGGTATGGGGACAGGATGGGAGAGGAAGCCCTGTGTGTGAGCAGGTGATGTCAGTGTTATAAAACTGGCATGAGGATTGTGGGCCCGAGTCCAGCAGTTCCATCAATAGCAGCCACTGGGATGTAATTCCAATAAACTGAGCAACTGATTGATCCAAAGTCGGAATAATCACTAGCCTCCTTCCCTTTACCACTGGGCCTGCAGGGCTGGGCAGGGTAAACTCTACTCCAACCAAGGTGAGGAGCAGCAGCGCCTGCCAAATCAGTAAGTGAAATAGTCATCTGCACTCTGGAGGAGTGGGGGTGAGTAAATGATAGTTGGTGGATGGCAGGTGGGAAGGCTTTGGGTTTCTTAGGCTCTCCTAGCAGGTCTTCTGCAGTGTCCAAGACTGAAAGGGCAGCGTACGAGGGGAACTAGATCTGTGTGTGGGTGGAGGTGAGGAGGAGAAATGCCTCTTGCTACCAAAGTTGCAGTCTACAAACTCAGTAGCTCAGGCCCTGGACTCCATTTCCAGAGTGCAGGAGAAGATGAACACCTGTTCTACTGCCTTGGGGCTCGAGACTGCAGACAGCTACAGGAGCATGGGTCCCATGTGATATTCCAGGGCCTGAACCTTATTCTGGGCAGGTGTCCTGCTTGCTGTGTTTCAGTTCTCCAGCTGCAGCTTAGAGCCCTGGGCTCTGGAAGTCAGATTTCTCTGTACTCCAATTCCAGGAAACTTGAAATGCAAATGTGCCCCTTGTTGGAAGGGCTTTTATGAGAAAATGGAGCATGTCGTGGGCACAGCAGCTCAGGGACTGAGAGACGGCGTGCAGGGGATGAGGAAATGAGGCACCCATTGGATGCCAGGCTTTGGGAAAGGCTTTTGCAAAATAAATGCATTTGCGGGGACCCACTGAGCTTTGGGAACTGGACAAGGGAGGAGAGGCCAGTGAAGACAGCATTCATTTACTCATCCAATAAATGTTTGTCGAGTGCCTGCTACACATCAAGCACTTTCCCCAACTCTGGGAACACAGCAGTGGACAAGACAGATGAGGCCCTTGCCCTCACAGAGCTCACGTGCTGGTTGCAGAACCCCATGCAGTCATGTGGTCTCTGAGCTCAGATTTCACAAGGAAGCTGCTGTGCCCATTGCCACCAACCCCTGTGCACTCCTAGGCTCCCTCCTGGCTCCACACTTGTGCTGGGCCCTCTGTCCAGTATTCCCTCTGCCTCTCTGTCTTGCAAATGCACATTTATTCTTTGGGTCTCAGCTCTATTTGACTTCCTCCAAGAAGCTTTCTTGTCATCCAGGGTGGGCCGGCTGCCTCTTTTCTTTGCTTCCATCTAAACATTTGCCACATATCTATTTTTCTGTCTGTCTTTAAAAATGTAACGCAGATGATCCCTGACTTACGACGGTCTGACTTCAGATTTTTTGACTTTATGATGGGTTTATTGAGACATAACCTCATTGTATGTTAAGGAGCATCTGGACTTAGAATGGTTCAATTTACAATTTATTGACTTTATGATGGATTAACTGGGGGTACTAAATGCGTTTTTGATTTCTGTATTTTTGATTTACAATGGGTTTCTCAGGAGGTAGCCCCATGGTAATTTGAAGAGCATCTGTACACTCTGTGGGGGCAGGTCTCAGTCCCAATCATTGTTGTAGCCTCAGTTCCTAGGATAATGCCCACCACGCAGTGGGAACTCAACGAATATATACTGTATTGAACTGAATAGACTACCTTGTGTACCTACTGTGTGCCAGGCACCGTGTGTGCATAGGCGTCCTGTGTGATGAAGAGATGGGAACCTGGTCTCAAGAAGCCCTTGGTCTAATGGAGGGTGATCAACCACAGAGGCAGAAACATAGCGCCTAAGGGCCAAGGCACAAACAAGCTCTAGATTCTGCCCTGTAGGTACTGAGGGAAGAGAGGAGGAAGCCAACGCTACCTCTAAACTTGTCTCCCACATGCTCCTTCACCATTTGCCCAGCCCCCTTCCACGTGCCTTTGGTGGTGGCCTGGCACCATCCTCCTCCTTTCTCTGTTCCAAGAGTCCTCCCCCTCCGGAGTGCTCTTAAAGCCACTTTAGCCTCTTTGGACCCTGCACACTCTTCAGTCACGGTTGCTGTGTGGCCACTGTCTTTTGTGAGCTGGTGGTCCCAGCAGGGCTGGCAAGGCAGGGAGGAGGGCGGTCTCATCTGAGGATGCAGGGGCCAGCCAAGCAGAGCGGGGACTTTCTAATTGACATTTAAATGTCAGTGCGCCACATTAAATGTTATGGGTGTTTCATCTCAGCCCTCGAAGGAGCATAAACACATCTCCAGCTCCTTTATCACTGCCCACATTAATTACAGATGCCCTTTGGTAAGTGGAAACAAACCCACAGCACAGCCACGCACCAGCCAGGAGGCTGGGCTCCTGCCCGTTGGATGGCACGGATGCCCTCCTTGTCCACAATGCCTTGCCTGGCCTCTGGGCCCCAGAGGGGACTCCTTCTTGTGAGAAGAATAGGCAGTTAGAGAGAGATTAGAGAGAAGCCTGTAGTGAGGGAGAATCTGGGGAGGAAGGAGTGGGAGAGGAGAAGGAAATGGAGGGGAAGAAAAAACCCCACAGAGAGAAGAGCATCTGGGGCGGGGGGAACCAGGGTGGAGGTGAGAGACAGTATAGGACAGAAGCAGAAAGACATGACAAAGAAAGGCAGAGGAGACAGAAAGAGACACAAACATACATAGAGGGGACAGAGGGAGATGAACAGAGAGGAAGAGAGACAGAGGCTGAGAAGCGCCAACCTGTAAACTCAAATGTTTCTTTCTAGATAGGTCTGGAAACTTGAATCTCTGGAATATGCAAAATGCCCCCTTCACCACCAAGAAAGGACCATCCTGGTCCCTGATCCCCGGGGGCACAACACTGCTGTGTGACAGGGGCATGACAGCTCCCATGAAGGAGTCCAGAACCGAGACCTGTGGAGAGAACATGAGATGCCCAAGGTCACGAGGTGAGAGGCTCAAGGTCACAGAGTCCATCATAAGACTCAGATCTTATATTTTCTGGGGCTTTGCCAGGGCTGCCTGTCAAGACATTCTGGCTGTGTTCCTCCAGCAGATCTGAAACCTGACCCAATGCATGTATGCTCTCAGCCAAGAGCCAGCCCAGGTAACAGGTGCTGGGCATGTACGTCTCGCTGGCTCAAGTCATAAGAAAACCAACAAGAATGCTCTCGTGTGCTTTCTGCTGGAAGCCCAGAGGCTGAGAGGAGGAGCTGGAAGACAGGTGGTAGGCTGGTTTAATGAGCTCTGTCCTGCCCCACACTGCCCAGAAAACTGGCTCTTCCTGAGAGGTCCCCAGGTGCCACTCAGTGGTAGCTCCTGAGAAGGTTTAGGAAGCATCTACATTGCACAGCATAATACTGAACATCATCTATGAATCCCCTAGCCCCAAACTTAAGAAGCAGGATAATTACCAAGTAGTTGAATTTCCCCTGGGAGACACAGCCTTATGTATGTGGATGAGGAATAAGCAGGAGGAAATTTGGGAGAGTGAGAAATGTGGTCAAGGTGTTGAAATGGTGACCAAGACGCTGTCTAAGGTTCAGGCTGAGGAGCCTGCAGCTTTGAGTTCTTGCTTGGTTGTGGGCATCTGCCTACCTTGAGGCAGCTTTATTCAGACCCCTGACACATCAGGTTAACAGCATCACCATTGCCAGGCAGTTAACATTTACCAATGCCCTCTCAGAGCCTGGCCAAGAATGCAGAGGATGTAGAGGTGAAATGTCCAGAGGGTGTTTTTCAAGGAACCCAGCCTAGAGGGGAGAACTGAGAGTAAACAGATCCCACAGCACACAATACCCCAAACAATAGAAGAGGGGTACGTATGAAGGACCCAAACATAAGACTCAGCCTGGAGCAGTTGAAGTTTAACAGAGGAGGGGATTTTTGTGCTGGACTTTGAAGGATGAATAGGAGTGTGCTTAGAGGACAAAGGGAGGGTGGGCCCATCCCAAGTAGTAGATAGAAAAGGCATGAAGTTACAAAGTTTGAAGAACTGGGCATGTTTGCAAACAGTTCGTATGCTAGATACTGGGGAGGAAGCCAAAAATGAATAATACATGTTTCTGCTTTGTAGGCGATTTGACATAAATGGAAGTAACTAATTATGGGTTTATTGTGATAACTTACATAAGAATGATATACACAATGCCTTGGGACTAGAAAAGTAGAATTTTTGAAAAAATGCATTTATCTTTACCTCTATCAAGTTTTCTAGAGGAGTTTAGGTGGTAAGACAGAGGAATTAATTCAGTCTAGAGTGAAGGTGGATGCTGCCTTGAGGAGTGATGTTGAAACTGGGATTGGGAAGAGGATTTTCAACAGTAGTTCATACAGCTGCCAGATACAGATACTGTGTAGCCTAGAGTAGAACTGACTAAGAAATACTTGAGATGCCTGCCTCGGTTGGAAGAGAACAGAGAGAACATTATCTTTTTTTGATCCTCTTATTTCACAGGTGAAGAAACTGAGGCCCTGGGAGGTGATAGGGACTTGTTTGAAGCCACTCAGTTTACTAGGGGCTAAGAAGATATAGTCCCATATGTCAATTGGCAATTTCTGGGTTTTAAACAACTCTGGGGTTTATAAGCACTTTGTTTTATTGTATTAGATTTCTGTGTCACGGCTGATGCTCTTAAGGATTTCTGTTTGTGCTTTTCCAGTTCATTAAAACATAATAATAGACCGGGGGACCATTAAAGTTTAAATTCCCTGAATCAGCACTTGGCTGCCTCTTTTTGGGAAATGTACAGGTGGGTTGAACGGCAGCACCCAGGTCACTCCTGGCTGGTCCCAGGGGCTGCACAGCTGCTGGGATGCAGCTTCCAGAGAGCCCAGTAGGGTCACTGTGAGAGCGCTTCCATGATCTTAGATGGAGTCAGTGTCCACTCCCATTCCACCTCGATCTTTATCTACAAGGGAGCTTGGTGTCCCACCTGTTCAATGATGCGGCTGGAAGAAATTGTTTCCTTAGGTCACAACCAGTTTAAACCTTCTTTAAAAAATTAATTTTTTATTCTCTTAAATTATTTACTTTTGGAGACTGGGTCTCACTATGTTGCTCAGGCTGGTCTTGAACTTTTGGGCTCAAGCCATCCACTCACCTCGGCCTTCTATGTAGCTAGGATTACAGGCACTTGATGTAATTACGGGCTCAGTTTAAGCCTTCTGACCTTAGATGGCAAAAGCAGTTTAAATGATGAGATTCCTTGATCGTGGGTGGCACTTTACATTAAAGTTCATTGTCACATTACCTGGGGAGGGGAATGTGATGCTGCCATTTTATAGAAACTCAGGGAAGGAAGGGAGCTTGGCTAGGCCAGGGAAGGGCAGAACTGAGACTTGTCACCCAAATCCCGTCAAGTCCTCTCTCCTAAACCAGAATGCCAATAATTTCCTAGTAGACCACAGCCAGCCTCAGGGCTGAATATGGAAATAAGTGCCACCATAATAAAAGTAACAATTATTTAAGGCCCAGCAATGCGCCAGATGCTGTTCCAAGCACTCTACCTGTCTCCTGTCATTTAATCTTCAGAACAACCTTATGCTAGAAAACTCAAAGTAAGCCCACATTTCTCACTGTGGCTTCAAAGCTCTCTATGATTTGACCTCTAGCTACTTCTCAACCTCATTCCTACCCATCTTCTCCCTGTCCCTCCACTCCAGACACTCGGGCACTCTTCCTATTTCTCAAGCTTGTTCTCTCCTCAGGGCCTTTGTACAAACTGCTTCCTCTGCCTAGAAATGCTCTTCCCTGATGGTCATGTGGCTCAAATAGGATGTTGTCCACGAGGCCTTCCCTGCTCTCCACTGGCACTATCTGACCATCCTCTAACTGTTTGTCTTGGAGAGGATGGGACCCACACGATTCATTTCTGGGTGGTTGACCCCAAGCACAGAGCTTGGGACACAGCAGGAGGCTCAGCAAATGCTTACAGCAGGAGGCACATGAAGAATGCAGGGGGAGGCAGGAGAGAAGGAGGGAAGGGGAAGAAGGCATGAGGTACTGGAACCACTTCTCCAGGCCACACCTCTTTGAGATGACTTCGCAATGGACCCATCTTCAGGAGAGAAAGTTGTCTCAGTTTATCCATATTTATTCCAGAAAATAGCCACCATGCCTGGATACTGGCTAACATGTCTGAGCACTCACCATGTGCCAAGTCCTTTAAATGCATGAATTTGTTTCATCCTTTTGACAACTCCATAAGATGCATGCCTGTATTAGCCCTGTATTGCAGCTGAGAAGAGAGGCCCAGGGGTGTTGGGTCACTTTGCCAAGGCCACACAGTTAGTAAGTGGCAGAGCTGGGACTGGAGCATGGGAGAAGGCTTAGCTTCAGAGTCTGTGCACTTAATCTTCCACTCCACTGCTGAGGGAGGCTAAGGGACCTGTTCAAGGTCACACAGCCAGCATATGGAAATGGTGGGATATAAACTCAGGCCTGTCTGACTCCTAAGGCAGAACGCCCACACTGTCCTACCCAGGAAAGTTTTAACAGGCCACATCCACAATTGGAATCCAGGCTACAGACCAGCAAGAATTCCCTGATGTGGCAGCTAGAGCTGACTGCAGAATGAGGGTCTAGAAATACTCTGGTGCATTGAAGGTGGGGCCTCCCAAGTGCTCCTGTCTTTCCTAATCACAGCTAAGGTTCTGGAACAAACACCCAGGCCTCATTCACAAAATGAGCTATCTGCAGATGGGGCTGAATGGAGACCATCGGAAGAGACACTTTAGATTGTCAGAGCTGTGCAGCTGGCTCTAGCCTGCTTCCGGGCCCAGCTGCCACATCCCACCTCCTTCTTTCTTCCTCTCCCCATCCCTGTCCTTGTTCCTCTGCCCCTCTTCCCTGTTGACATCGGCTCCCACCCCCCACCTCCTGGAGAGGAGAATCCATGCAGAGAGAGCTGGGGTCCCTGACCAGAAAGGGAAGGGAAATGCAGACAACACCTAAAGGTGCTTACAAGGGCCTTCTGGGCCAAAGGGCACACAGTGCAGGACTCCAGGAATCTCCTGAGCCTGGCATCTCAGATGCATTCTTCCTTGCTATCACCCTCAAATCATTTCTTGCAGCTCCTCCAAGAAGAACTTGAGTTTGGGAACCCCTGGAACACAACCAGTAAGGAGGGTGGTTTTCTAGCACAGCGATTTTGACAAACTGTCAAGACCAACTGGCCTCACCCCTTGTTTGCTGTTTGACATGGGGGATGTGGTTTAATGAACCACAGCTTGCTCATCCATCAAATAGGGATAATAACACCTACTTCATAGGATCTTGAGAATGAAATGTACGGACGTGGTTCCTGTGCATAATCCCGTGCCTCGTACATATTTTGTGTTCACTAAACGGTTGAGTTGTTGTGATTGTCATTGTTGCAGTGGGCCAAAGGTTTTCCTAGCAGGCTGGTCTATTCTGGCCCACAGTGGGGCAGGAGGCTGGTTCAGAGGGTACCTGGAAGCCAGGCTGGGCTTGGGTGGTGTTTCCTTTGCATTCGCTTTCCTTGGCAATTTCCTCTCATTACCTTGTGTCCCTGTAGCCCTAGGTTTTCACGCCCCAAATTATAAGACAGTCTCAATAACCAGATACGTCACCATTCCCGAGGCTGCCTCGGTTTTCCCAGGGCTTTAAAATATGCCATCTCAGTTCATTTCATGAAGACTCTGTGGGACAGACAGGGACATCCCTGTTTGACAGATGAGGGTAACCTCCTTAAAGAAGTTTTGGGCAGCACAGCAAGGGAGAAAGCACTTGCTCCTGACATGGCCAGAACTTTCCAGCACCCACAAATTGTTTGGGGCAGAGCATGAGGGCATGTGTGCTCTCCCTGAGCCACAATGCTGTAAAGTAGGAAGGGAAGAAACCGTGGGGCCAGCTAGCTCTTGGTCGGAATTCTGAGGCCACTGCAACTGACTCTGCAGCTTCCTCACTTACAGCCTCAGTTTCCCTATTGGTAATATGGAATGATAACACTGACCTGGCAGTGCTATTGAGAAGATTAAATTCAATACCAAATGGGCACATGGTAGGTGCTCCATTCATGCTGGCTCCTGGAGGGGTAACTTCTGTCTTTTTGGAGGGCATGGTGCCCACCTCATTCCTTCTGCCCCCAAAGATCCTCCTTGGAAGCTATTTCCCATGTGCATGCAGCAAGCGCTCTGAAATCACCTCCACGATGCTGTCAAAAAGTAGGCTGAGCGCCCGCCTGCGATCTCCTGAGTAATGGCTGAGCTCAGTCTCGGTCTCGCTGGGGAACTGAGACAGGCAGTTGTTTAGTGGTGGAGCAACCAGGAGCCTGAGTACTCTTGTTCTGAGAAGATGGGGCTGGGAACGAACGTGATTCTGCTCCGCCTGCCAGCAATGAGGGATAATTACAGTGCTTGTCAAAATAAGATATGGAGATAGAGCCCATTCCTCGCCAGCCAGCTTCTCAAATCCCCTGGGACTTCCTGGTCTAATTAAATACCTGGTGCAAATGCTGGTGTCAGCGACATGTCTGGATTAAAAGCCCACCCTAAATGGAGCCAGGATGAGTGTATCCCCCCTTTCTTCCTAACAGGCTCTGGGTGGTGCAGAGCAAAGGGGTGGTGACGAGAAGGGGAGAAGAGGAGAGAGGGAAGGAGAGCATGACACATACAGGAAGAGAACCGATAAACAGAGTCAAAGGAGGCTCTGGCAGACGGATTACATGGAGCATAAAAAGAATTTCCCAACTGGGAAGCATGCCTGCAAAGACATTTGCTATCTTAAGAAAAATAAATCTCACATCCTCGAGTCTGGCCATGGCTGGTGAATCTCCACTTGGGGAAGGGCGGCTCAGCCCCAAATCTGGCTTCTAAGACTCTTCAGGTGCCTGAGATTCCGTCTGTCATCAAGCCATCTTCCCCCACTCTTCTGGCCTCAAGAGCTGCTCCCTCGCTTGCCATCCTGGCCCAATTTTATACACAGTCCCATCCTTTAATCCTCCTACAGAATGGCTGAGCCTGGCTGCAATGTTAGACAAGACTTAACTAAAATCCTGGAGTGACAACCAGAAAATAAACATCGAGCAAGTCTCGAATCCGGATAAGCTGGCATGCAAAATGTACCTTCCTCTCGGAGGCTCCAGGGAGCTTCTCATTCTTCTTAGTCTTCACCAACCCAGTCCCCATTCTGGGCCACCTGCTACTGATCCCAGACCTGGCATCTCAAACTAGTGCCCCCTGGGCTGGATTTCACCCTTAGATAATATTTTCTTTGGGATACACACGATTTTTAAAAAATTAAAAAAAAAAACTTTGCATGGCATCTGTCCATCCAGGTTCTTATGAAAAATCAGAAGAGCTGGCCATACAGGGCCACATTTCCACAGGCATGACCAACGGGAGCTGCTTTCCTTAGACAGGACATGTAAGCATGGACATTGTCACACCAGTCTAGGCCCTAGAGTGTGAGGGCAAGAGCCATGACATTGCCTTTCTGCCTTGTCCACCTGTATGTGCTAGATATTGAGTTGGATGTAAACATCTCACGGACTTTCTCATGTGAAGGATGAACCCGGGTCCACACACATCTATCCATCCGTTCACTCAACAATGTTACTGAGGACTTCCTCTGTACCAGGCACTGTGCTAAGCCTGGAGACAGAAGGTTAAACAAGATAGGCATCTGAGGTTCACCTCTTCACCCCAGGTTTCCTGTTTGAGGCCCTCTCCTTCTTACTTGTAAGGAATTGCAGCTAGGAATGAAAGGCCAGCCCTTCCTCTGAGGTGAGTCTTACCGTCGCAGACCCCAGGATGACAATTGTGCCACAGAACAGCTCACCCACACCTCTGGGCGTACAAGAGATGCTCCAGCCCGCTGAGGAGAGCTCTTTCCACTGTGCCAGCTCATGAACAACCGAGAGCAGGTGGTATCATGTACAGCCTAGAAGAACATGGATTCTGGGTCAGTCTGCCTAGATGTAAATGATGGCCAGTGCTACCTTGGAGAAGTTACTTTGCCTTTCTGGGCCTCAGTTTTCCTCATCCATGAAATGGGAATAATGATAGTTCTGACCTTCTGAAGTGGCTATGAAAATTAATATTGGTCAAGTGATTGAAAAGTAGTAAGGGTGTTATTTAAGGATATGATGAATAAATAAACAAGAACCAGGAATACACAGGTTTCGACACAGGGGTACAGGTCACATGATCTCCAGGCATCCTTCCCTGTTCAGGATTTTATGATTCGACAGAGGTGTCCCTCATGGGGCAGTTGTGAGGATTATCCAGAAAATGCCTGTGGTGTCTGGCCCAGAGTCTAGGTCACGGGAGGAGGTGCTGCTGGGGTTACGATTTTCCCCTCCTCTCTCCCCCAGGCACGGGCCGCAGCTTGCTGCTGAAGCCTGAGGCCTCTGCATAGCCTTGGGAGGAATTCCCTGCATATCAAGCAGCTGGGAGCTGAGGGTGATGTCATTCTTTGGGAGCCCTCCAAGGCTGGCTGCTGGGGTCCTGCGGGAGAGGAGGGCTGAGTCTCAGGGAGTCTAAGCTCTGGGCCCCACTCATCGTCAGCGTCAGCTGGCCTGGACAGCTCCTGACTGCCTTTCTGGGCCACGCTATCTCCTCCTACAGTTCCTGCCCTGCAGCACGGCTGAACTTGGGAAGCATCAATCGGAGCCTGTCAGTCCTGCGTAAGCCCTTCTAGTGGCCTCCAGTTGCACTCAGGATAGAATCCACTTCCTTCGCTGGCCCCAAAGGCCCTGTGCGGTCTAGCCCTTGCCTTTCCTACCACCCTCCCTTTCATTTCCTGCATTTCCTGTGGTCCAACCACAACCACCCTCACTCCCCTTCTCCCTGACTGGTCTGGAGCAGCCTTCCATCTTCCCCCTACCTGTTATGGAAGCCCGAACACAAACGCCACCTCCTTAGACAGTCTTCAAGGATTTCTGAATTTAAAGCAGCCCCTCACTCCTCCACACTCCCCTCCTCGTGGCCTCCTGCTTTCTTTCCTTTGGATCCCTTCTCGTTTCTCCAAATGATCTTACTGATCTGTTTACTTGGTCATTGTCTGACCCATGCCCACTGTCAGAGCAGCGGATCATGAATTCCATGAAAACGCAAACTGGTTCTGCTGTTTGGGTCAGCTCTTTATTCCCCAGCTCCCAGCCCTGTGCCTGGCCACAGACTTGCAACAAACATGTGTGGCCTCAATGTGTGAATAAATGAGTTCATTTATTTCAGACGCCAAGAGATGTGGCCTGGTCCTCCCAGGGCCCAGTGCTGTGTTGAGAGACCTGTGACAAATGGCTGTAATTTTTATAACTTCATGAAGACTGGGTAAAGGCAGCATCCTCGATCTACGCAGTAGGGGACTGGTCCTCCCTCCAGCCCATCGTGAACATCGGCATGAACACACACACACACACATTCTCTCTCACACTCACACACACATACGCACACAACACACGCTCACACACTCAAACACATACACACACTCAGACACACATGCACACTCACATTCATACGTGTACTCATACATACACACACTCACACACTCGTACACATTCATATACACACACACACTCAAACACACAGTCTCACACATGCACTAACACGTACACTCAAACATCACATACTCACATTCACACACATACTTGAACATACACACACTCACATTCATACACCTACACATACACACACACGCATATACACACTCAAACACATGCACTCATATACACAGTCACACGCCACACATACACACTCTCATCCACACTCTCACAACCACTCACAGTCACTCAAGCACACACACACATGCACACACACACACACACAGCTACCTTGGCAAGAACAAATGCTACTGTGTGGTGAAGGAAAGAGAATGACATTTGCTTTCAGACTCATCTGGATTCCAAACCTGGGGAAGCCCTGGCCCAGGACTGTCAAGAAAGGTGTGGGCAACACAGAACCTGGGAGAAGGGGGCTCTGGTCTGCATAGCTGTCACTCCATGGGGGTGCATTTACCCTGCACGTTTGCAACAGTTGCCCATGTGCCTTCAGTGTTCCACTCTGGGAGGGGGCTGGCAATGAACCGTAGGTCAGATGTGGTATGTTCCCTCACCACAGACTCAGATAATAACGTAATCTTAGAAGTGGTGAGGGTTATACAGATAAATGGAGAAAGCATTGCAGGAACCTAGGCAAAGGAACATTGCAGTGCATTCCAGGGTGAGATCAGCCAAAGCCCCAGAGAGGCTCTCACCATTGAGCTGGACCCTGAAGGATGAGTACATGTCTTGCTAAAAGACAAGAAGGAGAAAACACAAGTAGAGAAGAACACAAAAAAGGCATAAAAGTGTAAAAGTGCACGGAGTGAGTGAGTGCGCCTGTACCCAGACTTAAACTTTAGGAAGCTTACATTGGCACAGTGTGGAGACAGATTGGAAGAACACACACTGAAAGAAGGTAAATGAGATGAGGGGGCTGTTGAGAAAGGTTAAGCCCTGTTCCAAAGAAATTAAAGGATGAGCTTAAGAGTTAGTTACTTATGAAGTAGACTCACAGTTCTTGGTGGCCAATTGGCCATAGCATTGAGTGAAGGGAAGGAGTTGCAGATTAAACTCTATCATCATTGCCATCACCAATATCACCATCACCACCATTATCATCAACCTTGTCATCACCATTATTGTCATCATCATCACCATCATCATCATCATCAGTACTGTCATTATCATCATCACTGTTACCATCATTGTCATCACCATCATCATCACCAGTATTGTCATTGTCATCATCACTGTTACCATCATTGTCATCACCATCATCATCACCATCATTGTCATCACCATCATCATCATCATTGCCATCATCATCACCATCATCATCACCATCATTGTCATCACCATCATCATTATCACCATCATCATCATTGCCATCATCATCACCATCATCATCACCATCATTGTCATCACCATCATCATCACCATCATCATCATTGCCATCATCATCACCATCATAATCATCATCGTCATTCCTGTTAACATTCACTGGATTATGAATCAGGCACTTTTAGAGGGATTGTTTTGGGAGGAATTCTCAGATCAATAAGAGATTCTGCAAGCCTTAAAAACCACCCAGTTTCTTATCTAACAGTCTTTCCTAAACTTCCTTTCCTAGATAAACTTTTTTCTGTTCCAGAACCAAGTGTGTTTCTGCTTGGTCTTCTTTATGGTCCTCTTGAGGGGTACAGTTATGTCAATAAATTTTGCATCTCCCAGGCTGGATACAACAGCCAACTGCCCAGTCAACTTCCCAGCTCTGGGGCCTGTTCCACGGCTGTGATCCAACAATTTGAGGGGCAGCTGGATTCTAGGCACTTGCTACTTCTTTCTTAATGCCTCCACGACAGTCCAATGCTCCTACAAGCTCCATGAGACAGAACTATATCTTTTTTATTCACCGATGTATACTCAAAGTGGTAAGCACATAGTGGACTTTCAGCAAATATTTGTTGAATAAATCTTACTTTCTCTATAATCCACATTTAAATGTTCATTGACAGCATACAAATATCTGTGACAGTAGTGAATTCTACCCAAAAAATGAATTATTACTCCTCCAAGTTCCTTCTATTTCTGTGGTCACACATAATTTGAAAACACCGAGTCAAATAAAATTAAATAGGCTTCTTTATTGCAGGATTTCTTAGAGCCTTTAATGTCTAATATACTTCGTGAGTTTCCAAGAGAAGTTTCAAGCATATAATATTTCTTAAGCATATTTCAACATAAAGGACTTTTCATGGTCTAGTGTTTCAAGGAACATACTTTCAGAAACACTGTTAATGGGTTAAATCAAGTGTTCAATGGTTTCATCAACAGTAAACCTGCTATCATCATCCCAGATTTCCTTAATTATACTATTAATCTGGTTAAGAGACAGATGATAATTTTATCAATTAGTTGCATAAATGCCAGTTCCTTAAAACAGAGGAGGGGGGTTGAGGGATGGTGAATTACCTGTTGGGTACAATGTACACTATATGGATGATGGGTACACTAAAAGCCATGGCTTCATCACTGTGCAATACTTCCATATAACGAAACTGCACTTGCACCCTCAGAATCCATATTTTAAAAAAACGAAGGAGGTTTTCTCAGCCAAGAGCATTATCATGGCCTAGGACTGGAACTAACTTCTCTTTGCTTTAAAAAGAACTTAGGAATTTAATCCTTGAAACTCTGGATGAAAGTTTAGGTTAACCAAGGCTCATGTATAGCATACGCTTTTTCAGCCCAGGTGAGATTTTTTTTCATTAGAGTAAATATAGCTTCTTATGAGAGGATCCCAGGCTCCAGTGGACATGGAGTGAAGGCAGAAGAGCTTACTTTTGGGTGTTCAGAAGCCAAGCAGAGACCCCCATCCCTCACAGTGACCGTGAGGTCCCTAGTGTACTACTTGGCTTCTCCAGCCCCAGCCCCCATGCTACAGGTACCAGCATCAGGGTTCTCCCATCTAAAGAGGTTCAGGATGGCTTTAGCTGAGGGCAAACATGAATTCAGTGACTCCGAAAGCAGGGTGCTAGTGAATAGGTCCACTGCCTTTAAATAATTAGTTATACAAGAATTAATTATACACTGATGAGTCTCCTGGCCTCTGATGTTAACCACAAAATATGCTTAGAAACCCAGTAGGTAAAACCCAGGCCCTACCAAGTGGGAAGAGGTCCCAACATAAAACTTGAACCTCAAAGAGCTAGACCTTTAATACAAAGGTGAATGAGAAGTGAACTAACACAGAAAACCTGTCTGTCCTGACTTTGGTACTAGGAAGGTGGATGGGGAAGGAAGGAGCCTCATTTTCTTCAAGAATTTGTAACCATATGTGAGCTCTCACATGGGTTTGTGGTCTGAAAAACCTCAAATGAAAATTTTAATTGAAAATGAACTTGGGTTGTTACCTCTCTTGAGTTATTAAAAGGTGCAAACACAGTACTTTCCGGAGAAGTGAAATTTTAATTCATTCCTCTAATAATTATCAAGGATAAAGTTCTAAAGAATATTCACTGTCAACAATTGTAAAACACACAAGAAAACAAGGTACTGTGAGATAAGGCTTGCAGGAAAAAGAGATAGCAGAATCTGATTATTAAAGCTTCCGATATTAGAATTTTTATTAGCACAGAAAATGAGATGGCAAAATTTATATGCTTAATGAAATAAAAGAGGTTTGAACATTTCAGCAAGTAATAAGACACTATAAAAATGTCTTAGCAGATTTGAAAAATAACCATATAGAGCATCTAGAAATGAAAAATACATTAGTTCAAAATTTTAAGTGAGAAATGCAAATCAAAACCACAATGAGATACCATCTCACACCAGTTAGAATGGCTACTATTAAAAAGTCAAAAAATAACAGATGCTGGCGAGGTTGTGCAGAAAAAGGAGCGATGTTATACTGTTGGTGGGAGTGTAAATTAGTTCAAACATTGTGGAAGACAGCGTGGAGATTTCTCAAAAACCTAGAGACAGAAATACTATTCGACCCAGAAATCCCACTACTGGGTATATACCTAAAAGAATGGAAATTATTCTATTATAAAGACAGCTGCACGCGTATGTTCATTGTAGCACTATTCACAATAGCAGAGATATGGAATCAACCTAAATGTCCATCAGCAATAGACAGGATAAAGAAAATGAGGTATATATACACCATGAAATGCTATGCAGCCATTAAAAAGGGGATTATGTCCTTTGCAGGAACATGGATGGAGCTGGAGGCCATTATCCTTAGCAAACTAACACAGGAGCAGAAAACTGAATACCACATGTTCTCACTTATAAGTGTGAGCTAAATGATGAGAACACAAGGACACATAGATGGGAACAATGCATACTGGGGCCCACCAGAGGGTGGGAGGAGGGAGAGGATCAGGAAAAATAACTAATGGATACTAAGCTTAATATGTGGATGATGAAATAATCTGTTCAACAAACCCCCATGACACATATTTACCTATGCAACAAACCTGCACATCCTGCACATGTACCCCTAAACTTAAAATAAAAGTTAAAAAAAGGAAATTTTAAGTCACAATGGACAGATATAGATGGAGCAAAGAACTAAGGAGACAATTAGTAAACTCTTAGATAGTTATAAATAAAACAAGCTAGAGAGACAAAGATGGAAATAATGGAAGACGATGATAAGATGTGGAAGAACAATTCCAGAAGATGAAAGTAACATCACAACCTGTGACGGAGAAATATTAAAAGTAGTTAGAGAGAAAAGTTAGACCATCTACAAATAAATAGCAATTAGGCTAACATCTGTCTTCTCAACAATAACAATGAAAGCCAGAGGCAGAGGAATGATATTTTCCATGTGTCAAGAGGAAACAATTGACCAACTGTAAATGAATACTTAGTGAAATTACATTTCAAGAATGAGAGCAAACAAATTTTTTATGTTTGAATAAATAAAACAGGTCCTCACAGAGGAAATTCTAAAAGATGTGGCTTAGTCAGAAGGAAAATTAGCACAGATAGAAAGTCAGAGATTCAAAAAGGAATACAAAGCAAATATGTGATTAACTCTAAATTAATATTTATGTGCGAGTGACTCTAAATATTGCTGTATATATTAATAATAATAATGTCTAATTTGTTGACTTAAAAATAACAAGATAAGGTATTGCTTCCAGGTAAGATGTAGTAGATTGTGGCAGGCTGACTCCCCTACTGCAACAACTATTAAGAAAAAAAAAGAAAAGCCGCAAAAATAGAAAATTTGAAGACATCAGAAAGCTGTGGAAATGAGGACAAAGTGGGTCCTCTGTAGGCTGATAACTCCTGACAGTTTTCTTCCCTGTGGGCAACTGCTGATTCTGGACGTGGGTTGAGGACTGGCATTGGCCCAAGCAGAGGTTGTCTACTGGAGAAAGCAGAAACCAAGCAGCACTTTTGGCAGTTGTGCAGGGCTGGCATGATGGATTGGAAACAAGAGAAGCCTGAAATATAAGAAGCCAAGTGACTGTTGGCTTTAACGCATAGGACACTGCTAAGTGCTCTATGCAGCTCAGGTGGCTGGGAAATGAGGATGGAAGGTTGGAATGAAATTTCTGCTAAACTCACGGGACTTAGGAGACAACATTCCATGAGAGAGAGAAAGGGCCTGACATAAATCCCTGTTTTTCCCCTCAAGATATTTGCCAGATTTTGAAGATAGCCAGAAAAGCTCAAAACTTCTAAAGAGCAGGACTGAATCTCTTCAGGCTTTTAGGGCTGAGGAGACAGAGACTAGCTAGGCTCCCAGCCAAAGCCATGAAGACCACACAAGGAAATGGGAAAAGCCAGAGGTGGTCGATTCAGTCTTTCTCAAACTGCAATCCTCTTAAATTTCTGACTAGACTGAGGTCATCAGCCTTCACCCTGACTCTCCAACAGAGGAAAGGGGGAAGCTGCTCTGGTGGAATGTATCAGCTGAAACCTCCACAGTTCTTTTACATACAATGTCCAGCTTATGGTCAAAATTATGAGGCATGTGAAAAAGCAAGAAGAGAAAAGAAAAGAAGCAAAGCAAAGAGAAAAAGAAAGCTAACAATAAAAACAGATCCATAGATGACCCAGCTATTGTATTCATCAGACAGGACTTTGACTATGGTTATTCTGTTAAAGAGAATAGAGAAAAAGATGGGCAAAATGAACAAAAACATATAGCCTTCTCAAATCTAGTATCTGTTAATAGTTACTTGGAATCAATAAAATAGTACAAACTTACTATATGGGTTTACAGCAGACTGGACATAGCAGACTATAGGGTCAGTGACTTAAAGACAGAACAATAGGTAAAATTCCAATTAAAACCAGAGAGAAAAGAGAAAGGAACATTAAAAGACAACAGTATGAGTAACACATGGGGCATTATCAAAGGTCTAACATACACATAATTGGAGTCCCAGAAGGCAAGAAGAGAAACTGGGCAGAAGCAAAATTTGGAAAGACAATGATCAAGAGTTTCCGAAAATTGATGAGAGAAACCAACTCATTGATTCAAGAAGCCCACCAAGCCCTCCAAAAAGTTAAACACAAAGAAAATCATAACTACACATATCATAGTCAAAATGCCGAAAACAAAGGTAAAGAGAAGTTCTCAAAAGCAGTAACAAAGAAAAAAGACATTACCTTCAAGGAAGCACCAATAAGGTGGATTTTTCAACAAACACTGATGGACTCTAGAAAAATCTTTAAAATGCTAAAGTAAGAGGAAAAGAACACTGCCACTCTTGTGTTATATACACAGCAAAAAATCCTGCAAAAATGAAACAAAATAAAGACATTTTCAGACACACAAATGCTGAAAATCAGCAAAAATTTAGTGCCATCACACTGACACTAAAGGACATACCAAATAAGAATCTTCAGGCTGAAGGAAAATTATTCAATCCAGAAACACAAAATTGCAAGAAGGAATGAAAAACACTACAAAGGAGAGATATTTGGGTTAGTATAAAAGAATATTGGCTGTTTAAAATGACAATAATGTCTTATCAGATTTATAACTATGCAGAAGTAAAATGTTTAACAACAGCACAAAAAGAAAGAAGTGGGTACAGGAGTTTAACTGTTGTAAAGTTCTTGCATTGTTCAGGAAGAAGTAAAAGTCTTAACTTAAAAATACACTATAATAAACTAAATATATATATTAAAACTTCTAGGGTAACCACTGCACAAAATTCAGGAATGTGAAACAAGAAGCCAATATAAGGAAAAAAATACAATAATAAAACTATTTACTTAATTTTTGAAAAGACAGGAATGAAGAAATAAAGGAAGAAAGAAGAGATAGTACAAATAGAAAAACAAATAGGAAGGTGCTAAAAATAAACCCAACAGTGTCTGTAAGTATAGTAAATATAAATGACTAAAAGTAACAAGATAGAACTAAAATGATGAACAGTAGCCTATGCATCAGGAAGGAGGTAACCAGAGTCCAAACACTGAAAAGCTATTATTGTTCAGGAGTTAAATGAAGTATCAATGAGATCTAGACATTTAGTGGGTACATGTTAACATGTAATAGTACATGTTAAAATATCAAGGGTAACCATTAAATGAATCAACTTAGTAAGCTTTCTATTCTGAACTACTTTAGAAATTCTTGTCAGTTATTTTATTATTATTATTATTATTTTTAGTAGAAATTGGGTTTCCGCCATGATGGTTAGGCTGGTCTAGAACTCCTGACCTCAGGTGATTCGCTGGCCTCGGCCTCCCAAAGTGCTGGTATTACAGGTGTGAGCCACCACGCCCGGTCTCTTGTCGGTTATCTTGAATTTGACAACTAAGTGTCATTATTCAATTCTCTGAGGTTACAAGGTTTGATAGAGAAGTAAAAATCTTCATAACACAAAAATACTTACGAATGAGCCGGTCACTTAAACGTTTTATGCACGCTTAAGTTTTACCTCCCATTAACGCTGGTTTCTAGCCTTACTCATTTAACCTAGATCTATTGGTTTCCTTCGGCTTGTTGGTTGTTGTAAATGTCTGATGATGTAATGGAAATTCAAAGGAAATTGATGAAGAGGAAAAGTGCAAATCTTTAAACAGATTCAGGATTTCATAAAAATAGCAAAAGTATTGTTGGATAACTTTTCCATTCACATTTAACTACAGGCAAATGAGAAACTGGCAGAGTTAAACTAGTTAGCAACCGAAGAAGAGAAAAGTGACAAAGTTGTCAGGTGCTTCAAAGGAGAAAAATGTTATCTTCTAACGATTGGAAGAGGCCTATGGGAAAATGGATAAAGCTTGGAAATATTTGCCCCAAATGACCCTCTTTATTTATTGTGCTGTGAAAGTCAAACAAAATCAAAACTGTTAGACTGTGCTAAGATAGGATTTTGTCTAAAAAATGTGCCATGCCTCCCCCAAAGTCAACACTTGGTAATTCCTATTTTTAATGGAAAAAATTAACTCATTTGACACTAAAACCTACATTTTGTTACTAGACAATAAAAAAGACTTATTTTTGTGCTTTCAATTTTATTTTTTCAAGATTTGGCCCTACTCCAACCTTTTTCCTTCACTATCACAGTAAATAGTCAACATTTGTTTTAAGAAGTTTCTCTTTAAGTGGTATTTGTACTGGTACCAATTATTCTTAGAAAAATGAGGACTGTCCGTGTCTACTTTCTTTTACCTGATAAACATCTTTCTGTGTAGTATTTACATAGGCGTGAACGCTCATGTCCCCCAGTATTCATATGTTGAAACTTAATACTCATTGCAGTGGTGTTGAGAGGTGGAGCATCTGCGGGGTGATTAGGTCACGAAGGCAGGGCCCTCATGAATGGGATCAGTACCCTTACAAAAGAGGCCTAACAGAGCTTCTTTGTCCCTTCTTCTATGTGAGGACATAGCTAGAAGGCACCATCTATGAAGAACTGGCCCTCACCAGACATTGAATTTGCTTGTGCACTGACCTTGGACTTTGCAATACATTTCTGTTATTTATAAATTATAGTAAATTACAGTAGTCCCCCCAATCAGCAGTTTCACTTCCCGTAGTTTCAGTTACCCATGGCCACTTGCAGTTTGAAAATAAGTAAGTACAATACAGTAAGATATTTTGAGCGAGTGAACGAGAGAGATGCCACATTCACATAACTTTTATTATACTATATTGTGGTAATTGTTCTATTTTATTATTAGTTATTGTTGTTAATCTCCTACCATGCCTAATTTATAAATTAGCCTTTATCATAGGTATATAAGTATAGGAAAAACATAGTACATATAGGGTTTGGCACTATCTGTGATTTCAGGTGCCAACGGGGGGTCTTGGAATATATCCCCTGTGGATAAGGGGAGACTACTTTACCCAATCTAAGGTATTCTATTATAGCAACCTGAATGGACTAAGATAGTATGTGTGTCCTATTTTCTTTTCCATGCAGGGTTGAGTCTCGACACTTTCTGTTTCTGACAATTACTGTGAGCCAGGCACTTTGCTAAGTGTATATCTCATGTAATCTTTGTAGCAACTCTATGGGACATTTTAGATTTAAAAGCTGAGGTCTAGAGAGTTCAAGTGATGAACCTGCCCAGTGCCACATGGGGAGTTTATGACTCAATCCATATCTTCACCTGAGGTGTGTCTGACTTCCAAACCAAGCTGTTAATTTTGATGCTACACTTTCCAATCCATCTTTCTCTCTCCAGGGGGTCACGACGCGGCCTGCCACATAGTAGGTGCTTAGTAAATGTTGGCAGATCTGAATTGTTGCTTAAGTCAGGTCCTCAGTTCAGTGTGACATGGCTGAATAAATATTATTACTGTTGTTCAGTTTGACTTTTGGGCGTATGGCTAGGAGCCCGGGTGCAATAAATCTGTAGATGGAGATACCTCTTTAGAATGGGATCTGGCAGTGAGCATTTTCCCCATCTTGCTCTGTAGATGATATTACTACGATGGGAGAACTGGAAGAGAACCAGTAGTAGATCTCAAGCTTCTAAAATGTGCCAGGCATTATCTGGCATGTTTTCAATTTGTTATCTGGATCTCCTAAGAACTCTGCTAGGTAGGTGTTATCGCATTTTTGTAGATGTGCAAATGGACCTCAGAGAGGTGCAAATGGACCTCAGAGAGGTGCAGAGGCTTGCCAAGCTTCAGCCTGTACATGGCAGAACCTGGGTTCAGGCTGTCTGACTGCAAACCTCTTTCCCTCTTCACAACATTACTTTATCATTATGGCTTGGAGCATCCAAACTAGGTCAGAAGGTGGGTGGGTGGGTCATGGGTGGGAGTTTGCTTTGTGGTTCTGCCACTGCTCTGAGAAGAAGATGACAAAGTACTCAGTCACCTGGGTGGCTGGAGTATGCAGCCTCAGGAAAAGAGCTTGCTGGTGACAAGTGTTGAATAGCCCAGCCCACATTTCTGGGGCAAGGCTGGGAGCATCATTCATTCAGCTGAGAAAGATAAATCCCTGTCAGTGGGATTAATGGAGCTGGTAGCACTCACTGTTTGGGACCAGCTAAAAGCTGATTATGAGTTCAGACAGACACTTCACAGTCAGAAGGACTGAGAAATGATTGGGGCAGACTCCAGGGGGTGACGGTGAGAAATGACCAGTCCAAAAGGAATGCTTCAGGCCTGGCACAAAGGACAGACAGATGGCTATGGGTCATATGGAACACTGGGTCACTTGCAATGAAGAATCAGAGGCAGCTGTATGGAAGGGACCTCAGAGGTCATCCTTTTCCCACCCCTACCATTGGCCCATTTTATAGATGGGAAACCAAGGCTCAGAGAGTGGAAGGGCCTTGTCCAAAGTCACACAGCCAAGATTATCAAGCTCATACTTCATAGCTGGAGAAACTGAAGTTTGGAAACTGTGAGATCTGAACTTGCCTAAGATCACATATGAGATTGTCTATCTCTATACCCCCATTCTATAGATGAGATCGCTGAGGCAGAGAGAGGGCTCAGAGAGGGCACATTTCATATCCAGTGCAGAAATGGCACACTGGGCAGCCTTAGATCTGTTAGCCTCCACCTACCTTTCGGTGTGGCCACTAAGACCTTCTCTACCAGGGGAAGTGGGAAGTGTCTGAGGTTCTTATTCTACCGGCCGCACACTATCCTATGGCCTACTGGTGTTTTGGGGACCTCACCTTCTGCAGTTGAAGGCAAGTTGGTTTGGAAGAAAAAGCCACTGTAAGGCAACCATTATGGCAGGAGTGGGACCATGGTAAGCCCACTGGAGTTTCTGATATTTCAGATGCCTCAGACATGGGCCACAGTGCATCCTGCATTACTGAGGATGGGCTGCCCAATCTTCTCAGTCATTACTCATAGCATTGTGGTCAGGGAAGGGCAGGTCTTCATCACATGGTGGGCTTGTGAATTTCCACCTGTTACCTGAGAAGCACCATGCTCTCCAGTGTAATTGTGGATAAATTATTGTCCCCAAGATCCACATAGCAGGGCTGGGCAACAGCTGTTGGTGCAATAACTCATCACGAGGCTCATTGTCTGACAACCTCAGGGCTGTAAGTATGCTGGGCTCTAGCAGCCTGCTTACTGTGCCTCAACATACCTTTTGAGACTTTTGCAGGGTGGAGTGAGGAGTGGCACTGGGGGCAGGCACTCTATCCAAGAAGCCTAGCAGCTGCTGTCTCTACAGGACGTAGGCTTTGAGGGAGCCATGCCCCCAGGAAAGCTCCTGAGTCTGTTTCCTTGCCCTGAAATCTTGTTTGTCTCACATTTGAGTTTTGTGAGATGATTTCCCTGGAATCTAGAAGGAAAGCAGCTTATACTGGGAGCCTTACTTTACATCAGAAGAACCCAGACCCAGGCAGTGAAAGTGCACTGGTCAGATCCACACAGCAGGCAAGTGGAGCCGCTGAGACCCGCACGCAGGTTGAAAGATCGTTCCTTTATTATTATTATTTAAAAAATCTTTTCTCATTTCAGTGTGGGCATGCAGGCACTGGAAAGGATACATTTTTATTTACCCTGAGTTCTTAATATTTGCGACCTTGAGAACACAGAGAGCTGGGCTTAGAAGACACATTTAAACTTCTAGCAATTTTTGGGCCATAACCAAAGAACCTATTCCCCCCAATTCAGCCCCTCACTTCCCCCAGGTACTTCTTGACATTTGTCCTTAACAACTTGTTGAGCACCTATCCTGTACCAGGCCTGAGTTCTAGGTGCTAGAGACAATGGTGAACAGGCAGGCCAGGTCCCTGCTCTTCGGGGGCTTGAAGTCTAGCGAGGACAATGGATAACAGACCAGCAGCACGTTCACAAGATACTTTAGGTTGGGATGAGCGCTATGGGGAAAATAAAACAGGGTGATGAGATGCAAGACCCTTGATGTGGACAGGGGCTTCTTCAGGCAGAACGGCCAGGAAGGCCTTTCTGAGGAGCAGGCACATTTGCTGAGATCCGGATGCCCAAAAATTGCAACCCACGGGCAGGTCTGGGGGTTGAAAGCAGGAAAAAGCTTGGTGTTGCAAAAGTGCAAGGAAGCCACAGCCAGTGGTGAAAGATGGGAGGTCAGCAGGGTCAGAGCAGGTGCGGCCTTGAAGTCTGTGGTTGGGAGTGTGGATTTCACTCCAAGGACCAGAGGAAATGTCCCAGTTTCATGCTGGGGAATGAAAACAAGTGTTTCCCTTCAGGCTTATTAAAACCTGAAGTAAAACCAGGAAGTGACAACCCGACATATGAATTAATAGTGACTTGTAGGAGGCAAATTTGCTGGCAATGAGGCAATCCTGAAATGTCTGCAATAGTGTAGACTAGAGATGAGTTTGGCTTGGGCTAGTGAGAAAACAGGAGGTGATGAGATGTGGACGAAATGAGACAGATTCTGGAGGCCATGATCATAGGACCTGCAGATTGCATATGGATGGTCTTTAAAGCCAAGAGAATGAATGACACCCCCAGAAGGAGGAATAGAAAGCCAGCCCAGAGCCCTGGGGCTAGCAGCAGTTCAGGGAGTGTCAGTGGAGGAAAATCTCATAAAGAAGGCTAGCTGAGAAGGAGTGGCCAGAAATGGACTCATTGAATAATATTGGTTCAATTAATGAATGACTGCAGGCACACAGGCCTTTGGCACTTAGAGGAACATATGACAAATGATTTCTCTAAGTGCCAAAGACCTGTGTGCCTTTGGTGAACCACAGGATTCCTCTTTGCTGGAGCATTGAGCATCCTGTGGTCATCTCTTCAAGATGGACAGTCCATAAACTGAGAGTTTTGGGGGCAGCATCTGGGTCTCATTATGCATCCCCAGGCCAAGGACACAGCTGGTGCAAGGGAGGAGTCTGGAATAAGGACTGAGAATGGGTAAGAATGGAGGTGGGGAAGAAGGAGGAGGAACAACTGTGTGTGTGGACAGACAGACCCTCTTGTGACCCTCATTCCAACAGGGTCCAAAATCAAGGCCACAAGCCTGGTGTGATGAGAAGAACAGGAGCTGGCAAGACTGTGGGGAAGAAACTGGTCATAGGGAGGCTTCCTACTCACCACCCCATTGGAAAGGGGGTTGGGAATAACAGTCGTAATAGAATATTTACCATCCATTGTGTTTCTGCTTTGTCAGGCCATGTGGGGCTGACAAAATCACCCCTGTTTAATTATTAGCCCAGCTTTCCGATGGCATGTGCCTCAGAGCAGTTGTGAGGAGGACACTTCTACTTGAGAACATGCCTTGGAAGTTCAAGCACGTGTACTCAGTAGCCTCCTGCCTATACTGGAGAGGGCATGAGGATAGTCATTAAGGGCTCTAGGCTTAGCTCTGGCTGTGAAACCTTCTCAGAGCCTCAGTTTTCTCATCTTTAAAATGGGAAAGGCTGTAGTAGCTTCCTCCCAGGGCTCTCTGAAGAACTGAGATTTCACATGTAGAGGGATTAGCACTGAGCTGAACTCATCAGTGTTCATTACTCCTGCTTTAAGTGCCTGAAGGGAAATTGTGCCAGGTCTGTGGCCAGACGGGACAGTTGCTTCATTCAGGGTCTCAGCTGGACACAATGGCACCCTCAGATTGGGGAATTGGAAGGCCGTGTAACAAAAGGACTGTGTACAGTGGTGTAGGGAGAGAGTGGGAAAGCACACGAAGAGGGCAGTGCCCTGGGACAGAAGCAGTGGGTGCCCTCAGCACCCCAATTTGATGAATGAGGAAAACCATCAACAAAAGGCCGAGCAAAGAAAGCTATGGAAGAGAGCCATGCCCTATAACCCTCAGGGAGGGAGCCTGGGAGTTGACACCTCGTGTCACTCTCCTCCTGCCCGCAGTCTCCGCCTGTGTCATGAACAGCTGAAGTCGGAAGGCAGGGGCCTCATTCACAGAGTCCTCCCAGGTCAGCCTCCCCAGCCAACAGTGGAGAGGGGGTCCTGAGGACAAACAGAACATCCAGGGCAAGGGTTTGTACAAGGAACAAAGGGGGTGAGGAGGCATTTACTCCTGCCTGTATGACAGGTGGAGAAACTGAGGCTCAGTGGTGACATCACTTGCCTAGAATCACAGACCTTGGCTGCCTGACTCCCAAGTCCATGCCCTTAACTGTTGCTCCACATGGCTCCACTCATTCATACCCTGAGTTGAATGCTATTTTCCTCATTTTACAGTTAAAACAACATGTGCTTAGATGGGTAAGGTGACTTGTCCGAGGTCACACAATTGTCAAAGTTGGGATTGTAGGAACCAGGCCAGGGGACTCCACTGCCAGCTGCTTCTACTACTCAGCACAATCCTTTCTCAGCAGGAGAAGAGAAGGTTCTAGAAGCCACATTTAGATGGGAGCTGCTACCTCTCTGAGCCACCAACCTGAAGTGAGGTGGCCTGTGGCACAAGGACGGACCTGAGGGGGTGTCCCGGGAGAGTTGGTCGTGCTGGCAGAGGAACGAACCCTCGTTTCACTTTGCAAAGCCACATTCTGGTGAGATTGTGGAGCATAATCTCTCCTTCAGTAATAATTTTTCTGAGCAGAGCTACCCATGTTTGACTCTCCACTCCTTAATCCAGCAAGTCTAATGCCCAGGAGATGCATGCTTCCATCCTGCCTCCCTCCTTTCCTGCCCTCCCCCACTTTCAGCCGCTCTCCAGGCTTCTGAGTGGGTTTTCTTTGACTCTGTCCTCTGCTCTAGACAGAGAATACATAAGGCTGTTTGCCAAGGTCATTTTTAACTCCGGTGCACTGCAGGTGTGGGAGTGAGAGAGCGTTAAATCACAGAGAGGCAGCCCAGGGTAGCTCCGCTTTCCTTAATGTCTCTGCAGGTGTGTGGGGGCAGAGTGGGAGGACTGTAGCCTCTTCCCTCCCCTCACTCCACCTTGGCCCACTGAGACCTGGGCTGGTAACAGGAATATGTTTGCCTTCCTTTGTTTCCTCTTTGGGGAGGGTGGAGCTAGAAAGAAAGAGTTGGAGAAGGAGAGAGGGATTTTAATGATGGGAGAGAACAGGTTCTGGCCACAGCCTGGGCAGAAAATGGTCAGCTGTTGGGGGAAGGTGGGACAAGGTTCTGCCCGTTTTCCAAAGTGGATGTGGTCTTCTCCTCTAATAATAAGCCCATTCTACTGCTGGGAAAACTGAGGCCCAGGGAAAGCAAGGTCATGCACAAGGCTGCACAGGCAGTAGTAACTGGTGGAAGGATTGACAGCAAACCTACATCTCCTGCCACAGGCTAATGCAAGGAGCGCCTAGTTTAAGGCCCAGGAGCCCTTGGTTTCAATCAGGGCTCTGCTCTAACTTGCTGTGTGACCCCGGTCAAGGCACTGCTGCTCTCTGGGTTTCGTCATCTCCATTGATGGCTTTGTTTTTATTAAATGCTTACCATGTGTGAGGCACTGGGGATACTATGGGGAACAAACAAAATCCTGCCTTTACGGAGTTGATATTCTGGCGGAGAAAGGGTTATGAGCTAAACTCAAGACAACCATGTAGGTATTATCAATCCCATTTCACAGATGGCAAGACTGAGCTGCATCTCCACACTGGTGGGGCTGGAGGAGGCAGTTCCTCAGGCCCCTTTCCACTTGATGTTCTGGCTGAGACAGGCGGAGGGCAGTTCACACCGAGCTGCAGATCTTGGAGATTTGAAATCTTATTTATCTGGTCTGGAGATGAGCAATCAGAACTTTTTCCCTCAAAAGTAGATTTAACTTCTTAATTATGTTTGAGTTAGATTTACAATGATATTAATTCTCACTCCCTGAATAATCAAAGCAGGTGTTTGCTTAGGGAAAGACCTCTACAAGTGTGAGAAGCAAAGGGGGCTGGGATTTGAGAATTTCTGCAGGTTTTCAGAGGGTGATGATTCCTGAAGGGGAACAACTGGGGGTGGGGTGCTGGATTTACAAAGAGTTTGGGGCCAAGCAGGAGGGAGCCTCTGAGGGTGGTCCCCTCTCATCTTTTGTCTAGTCCCACATCAGCAGAAGTGGGAGCTCACTGCACACCTAGATATTGTTGTTGTTGTTGGAGAAGCAAATAAATGTACACTCCCCAGTTCCCTGTCTCCTGGCTTCTGCTATCCTGCAGAAGCTGCTGGCCTTTGCTTGTGGCCTCAGGCTCAGGGTATTGACATTAAAGAAGGCTCAAGTCTTCCCTCCTTTTTCCTTCACCCAAGGGCACCCCGCTTGGTTCCACTGTCATTAAGTCAGATGTCAAGGAGAACGTCCTTCCAGTGTGTCAGCTAGGGGAGTGGAGGACACGGCCTCCCTCCTAACGTCTCTGGGGACAGTGGATAATCTGACCTGTCAGTGGGGGTGAGGCACACTTGGAGATAGAGCCAGGCAGGCACTGCTGCCCCTGACCTCTCCTAGGTTGCGGAGACGGCGCTGGGACCCAGCCCCTGCTGTGCCCACTGGCTGAGTCAGCTACAATAGGGTCTGCAGCCATGGGGAGGATTTAGCAGCTAATGAGAAATGAAAACTGGGAGAAAAACAAATGAAGCAGCTACTGCCTGTGGAGGAAACATGTTCATCAGACTCTGGGAAACCGAGGCAACCAGCACAGCCCGCTGCACACAGGAGGCAAGTCTCCCGGGCCTCAACTCTAGGCCAGGCAGTCAGTCTTGTCTGTAGCCTCTGTTAAAAAAAAAAAAAAATCTATGCCGGGCATGGTATGGTAGCTCATGCTGGTAATCCCAGCACTTTGAGAGGCTCTGGTGGGAGGATCACTTGAGCCCAGGAGTTCAAGACCAGCCTGGGGAACATAATGAGACCCCCATTTCTACAAAAAATAAAAAAAAATTAGCTGGGCATGGTGGTGCCTGCCTGTGGTCCCAGCTACTTGGGAGGTTGAGGTGGGGGGAATCACTTGAGCCCAGGAAATCAAGGTTGCAGTGAGCTGTGGTCACATCACTGCACTCCATCCTGGGCAACAGGTGCTTCTGTAGCTCTGCCACCTCCTTCTCCTTCTTCTCCTTCTCCTCCTTCTCCTCCTCCTCCTCCTCCTCCTCCTCCTTCTCCCTCTCCCTCTCTTCCTTCTTTTTTTAAGGGTCTCACTCTGTTGCCCACGTTGGAGTACAGTGGTGCAATCACTGCTTACCACAGCCTCCACCTACCCTGCTCAGGTGATCCTTTCACCTCATTCTCCTGAGTAGCTGGCTCTGACACCTTACGTTCCTATGGGGACAAACCACAGACCAATGTAAACAGTAAGTTGAAACTAGAAGCTGCACCAATCAGGAGCCACCAATGAACCTCTAATTAGGAACTTTCCATTCCAACCCATTAAAATGGTTTTCTTTGTCTTGCTTCTGCAACCTCTTTATAAAAGTATCCTGTTTGGCCCCTCCTAGAGGAGTGCTAGTTGCTTGCTGTCTGTGCTATACCGTTTGTGAATCGCTGAATGTTCAAATAAACTTTTAAAAGTTTAAATGTGCATATGTTTTTCCTTTATCACCTCTATGGGGACAGACTGGCTGCAAAGTGAGTCTGGGCACCTTCTGGTGCCAAACTGAATGAATGCATGAGAAACTACACAGGAATACATTTGAGGTTCTGGCCCAGTCAACCGCCCTCCCACTCCCGCTGCCCACTGGAACCATCTAGTTACCGTTTATCAGAGATGTTGTGCTCATTTTGTGGATCAGGAGATGGGCATTTGGAGACGGAATGTGACTCCCTGAGAATTGCAATCTAATAGGAGAAATCTGATATTGGTTCACACAAGTCTTGAGATTCAAAGTGTGAGCATCTTCAGACCAGAGCTCTCACCTAAGCCACCTCATTTAGTGTTCACAGCAGCCTTCTGCTAACAGGTTTATTAGATCCCTTTTGAAGAGGTGGAAAATGAGGCTTAGCGGTGTTGAGTGACTGATCCAGTGACACACAGTAAGTAAATGACAGAGCATAGTTCCACGTGCTGGACCCTCCCAAGTTCCAGGCACTGTGCCACCTGCCCTCCTGTGAGGTGGTACAGCCCAGTGGTTAAGGCTCTTCAGCCTGGGGGCACCGTGGATCCTGGCATCATGGCCTCAAGCAAGTTACTCAGCTCTCTATATTAGTTTCCAGAGCTGAAGGATCAGGATAAAAACAGTACCCGCAGCGTAGGATTGCAGGATAGCGCAACAACAATGCCGCGAATCAGAAATGCCTGTTAAACTTGGCTGGCATTAACCCTCCCTCCACTATGCCCAGGCGGGGAATATAGAGGTGAGGGAGGTGCTGGGGTGCCCCTCTGTGAGCTCTCTGTCTGAGTGTTCTCCTTGCTTATTATCCACCCCTCAACACACACACACACACTCAGTGACCCTTTCCCTGAGTCAGACTGCAGGCAGGGTGTTCCACGCTGACTGCCTCCAGAAAGCAGGGAACAAAGAAGATGCTGCTTGTCTCCTGAGTTTCTAAACAGACTTTTACAACTGCAGACAAAGACCTGCAGTTGTGAGAGAAAAGGTTTTCAATTTCCTGAGCTTGCAGAATTCCAAAAGCTTAGAGCTTTGAAGGACTCCTGGAAAGCACAACAGATCCGGAAGGCTACATGCTTGGTCAGAGAGACCTCCACCTCATTATTCCCTCCTCTGGCCTTTGCATAAAACTTCCTTGGACTGGGAGAGGAGGAAGAGGAGAAGGAGGAAGAGGAGGAGAGGATCAGAAAGAAAGGAAGACTGGGAGTTTGTTGCTTGTCACTGGAGAAGGGACTGTGAGGGACTGTGACCCTCCCCTCCAGCTGAGTGTCCAGGGCAGGGGGAGGCAGACACTCCCTCTGGTGGCATGGGGGGCAGGTCTAAGAGCAGAGGCAGCCACACAGCATCGTGACCTGTGATCCATGGCACCACAATGGCTACAAGATATGTACAGGCCAATGGATCTGAGGCAGGGCCAGTTGACCCCATCCTAGAAAGACCAATATCTCCTCATGTCCAAGAGTGTTCCAGAAGTGTTAGAGAGAGAGAGAAAGAGAGAGCACATGCATGCGTGGTCTCAAAAAGTGTTGAGGTTCAGATGAAGAGAATACAAGAATACTCCTGGAGTCAGCATGGGCCTGTGATCTGAGATGAGGGGAGTCGAGGACATGTCAATGGATGTCAACACAGAAAGAAGACTGAGGACCAAGGAACAAAAGCACCAGCAGAAACTGCCTGGCCTGGAAATGCAACCCCAGAGAGTAGGGAGGGGAACCTAAGTTGACCAAGATTCCATTTCTACCCCTTGGCAAGAATGGGGACTTGAAGTTGAAATTAAAGTCAGTTATAGAACAACAAAGAAAGCAACCTTTCTTGTATAGCCAAGTGTGTGGACTGAGTTTGCTGTAGGCTTTGAGCAAATGAAAAGTTTGAAAATGAAGTACTAATCTCTAGGATTTAGGTCAGCTTAAATCCTGGAACAAAGGAAATTTGAGGAAGGCTTTCTAGAGCCTTCCACATGGATCTCAGAGGTCATGGAGGAGTTGGCCGGATGGATAAGAGGGTATTCCAGGCTGGAGAGCTGCCTACGCAAAGGTGTGGCAGTGAGAGAAGAAGTTGAAAGAGGCTGAGGCCAGGTCACTATGACAAATGGTGTGAGTTAGATCGGGAAGATGGGGGCAGGACTTGGATGTTTGTAGCTGGATTCTAGAGGATTCTAGAGGACAGGACAACTGCTTCAGGGGCCTACTTTCCTTTGCTGGGAAGGGTGGGGCTTAGGACAGGGGGTGGGGCATGAGGTGGGGAGGCTGGGACTCCTGCAGTGGCTCCCCCATTGTCAGCACTCCCTGGGCTGAGTTACAGGTACAAATAGCAAACCACACTCCTATCATGCTGTACTGTAGGGGAAAGGAACAGATCCTGTTTCTTCAACAAAGCGAATTATCAAAGTGTCCTCATTAGGAGCAGGCTTGGCATAACAAGAGTGCTAATTATGAGATTTGAAGCTCCAGGTACCTTAGGACTTAGGATGTTACCAATGATGGGAATAATTGTTAGTGGTGGGCTTGCCCGGGGATGATTTGGTCTCATTATCTCATGCAATTGAAGTAGGCACTTCTGTCTTGTGTGATGTTTTGCTGGAGGCTTAAGCGTCCCTGGAACCTCACCACCTCATTGGTGGTCCTCAGACTACCAGCATCAGCAAAACTTAAGTGGAGAAGGGTATTGGAAATGCAGGATCCCAGGTCCCAGCCCCAAACTCCTGAATCAGAATTTGCATGCTAACAACATCCTTAGGTGATCTGTGTGCACAAGAGTTTCAAAGTACTGCTGTAGAAGGCAGAGGTTTCCAAAGGCCCATCATCATAATAATTCCCCTCGTTGATCCCCTAGTATACCTGTTTGCTGCCACATCCTCAACTGATTCTCTTTATAGTCCAGAGCTCATGCTGCCTTCCCACATGGTCATACCTAAACCCACAAGCTTCAGGGGGTTTCAGTCAGGATTCTTGGTTGTAAACTACAGAATCTATTCTAGTTGGTTTATGCAGAGAAGGAATTTATTAGAAGATATTTGGCAGTGCAGAGAATCTCGAAGAGGGTCAAGGTATTAGGCTTGGAGGCCACCCCAGCTAGAACAATGTTTGAGCCCTACCATGGAGGCCTCTGCAGGAAAGACCCCACTATCTCCACTGCTCAACACAGGCGCGATGGTCCACACTAGGAAGGAGACACCAGAATTTCCCCACCTCTGCCTCCACAGAGCTGTCTGCCTCTGCTGCCACCCCTGCCAGAAATGAATTCACGCTTCATCCACATCCTCAGGTGGACCCTTCTAAATCAAGCCTCAGGCAGGTCCCTCTGCTATCTGAGCCCTGGATGCAAGCGTGGCTGGAACTCTGAGTTTGAATACCCACCTTGGGGAAAAAGGATTCATAATGTCATGAATTCTCCAAACTTAGAAAAAGCATCCAGTAGATCTTGGGAAGCCATAAACTGAATTTTGAGCCCCAAGGTTGGCAAGATTGCCAAGGGGCTGACCTTGTGGGCAGGTCCCTGGGTATGAGAGGCAGATAGGGTGTTGAGGGGGCCAGAGGGCCCCATCCTTGCAGTCCGGATACATTATATGCAAGACTTTGGGAAAGCCATTTCACCTCCTTGACTCCCAGTTTCTTTATCTACAAAATGGGAAGAGTAATATCAGCATCATAGTATTACTGGGAGGACTAAAAGGAGCAGTTACGCAAAGCCTCTATTATAGTACCTGACATGTTGACTATTATTAATATAATACTCATTAGCTATCAGATCATTACCAACAATAATAATCCTGTCTTTGAGTCTCAGCAACCTTCCATGTTTTGATTTTATCTGTGTTGCCATCTAAACAATCAATAAACATGTTATGAGCCATGAGCACCTACTCTGTGCCAGGCAGTGTACTAGGTGCCAGAGTGGTAAACAATAAATTTAGTCTCTGCCCTCCAAGGGTTAGGACAAACAAATACACCAGCTGTAGTCAGCAGTGGCATGGTGACCTTGGTCTTGTAGAAAAGGGTCTTGCTCAGATTTAATCCTGGGGAAAACTATCAGGAGGAGGAGCATTCAAGGAAGAGTTTAATAAGTGAGCAGGAAGTAAAAAGAAGGGCATTTAAAGTCTAGAGTCCAACAAGAAGAAAGGCCTGGAAGGGTGAAGTGGGGAGACATTCTCGGGGAAGACCATATTGCTTGATGGCTAAGAGTCTGCCCTGTGAAGTTAGACTGTTTAATATAGGTCCAAACTCCAACTCTGCCATTTATAAGCTCTAACTCTGGGCAACACTGTTACTCCACCCAGTAAGTTTGTGGTTGGCTATCTGTAAAATGGGAATAAAGATAACAGAACCAATCTCAGAGGTTCAGAAGAAGGTCCATGTACAATGAGCACAGTCCTAACAGGAAGCAGGCGCCCTGCAAAGGCAAGCTCGAACTCCTCATAATCCTTCAGGCTGGAGTTTGGGGCAAGTGGTGCCTCAGTGTGATGTTAGGCTTTACAGAAACCTGTGTACTTGAAGAAGGCAGTAACATATTTTGTTTCTGCTGGCCCAACATCCATTCTCCTGGTAAGAGCTCCTTGGTTTCCCACACCTCCCCACAAATACAGTCCATTCGGTTGTTAAGGCAGAACACTCCTCCGTCCCCAGAACCAGCACCTCACAGCATAACACAGAACCCTATCTAGGCCAATGGGAGCCAGCCCTGGGACTTTTCCTGGAACTATTGAGAAGCTCTTTCCCACAGAGGTTGCTGAGCTGGTGGGCTGTAAATATGGGGCTGCTGGTGACTACTCTTGGAACCCCAAGGTTAGAGCATTTCCTGAGAATGAAGCCAAGACAGAAGAGAGCAGAGCTGAGACAGAGAAATCAACAGGTTCTTGTCGACATTTTCTTTGAGCACCTGTATTCAGCTCTGCCTGAAGTTAATCTTACCCTGGCCATTTTATTACATGAACCAATAAACCCCCCTTTTCTTCCTTTAAACAGGAAGAGTTGGTTTTCTGTTGTTTGAAACTGAAAAGGTTCTGACTAACAAAGATGGGATGCTCACTTATGCTTTATCTGACAAAGAGACTATGGGGCAATCTTTGGGGTTAGGTATGGTCTCCCATGCAATAACACTGCCCAGGACTATTGAACAGTTGAATGCAGTGGAGTGGACTTCTGTCCTCAAACTCAGACCATTACCCCATCTGGAAGCACATTCTGCACATGCATACAGAGACAGCGCCAGCACAACCCCTTAAAGAATTCTTCCTTCCCAAATGAAAAATGGTCTAAAGTCCATTTAGAACCTTAGATTTCTGACTTGGTATCTTTAACCCTGTGGCACTTTGAGGTCCCAGAATAGGCCACAGATTTCCTGTCTATGAACAGAGAGACGGGGGTGGGGAGTAAAGGGCACTATTAAGTCTGACATCCCACAAAACCCTTCTCTCCATATATGCCTGGCACAAGCCCCTTCAAGATTACGCCCTTGGACATTTGTTTCCAAGTATCTTCTTGATCCCTCAGGAGGATGAACTAAGTTTTTTGAGCTGTGCTATGCCCCAGGCACTGGACACAACCATTTTGTTTATTCCTCATGCCAGCCATGCAGGAGAGCCCATTCTATAGATAAGGAAGGTCACCCAGCTTGCAAATTACACAGCAGAACTGAAGTCTGGCCTGCAGTGCTTTGCAGTCACCCGATGGTGTTAGGAGGAAGATTACCAGGGTCTAAGAGGCTTTAGAAGTAGTTATCCAGCTGCCCAGAGACCACCCGCTTGCAGCTCCCTCCTTGAACAAAGGGGCTGCAGACTGGGGAAGGGAATGGGAGAGGCGAGAGGGAAGTGGGTGGGGAGCAGGGCCCAGTGAGCCAGAGCCTCCAGTTCCAGAGCAGCCTGGGTGGGATTGGCTGCTGAGAGGCAGGTCTCCTCCAGGGCAGGCCCCAGGCAAAACTCATTTGAGCTCCTACTGCAGTCAATCCTTGAGGCTCCTGGGAGGGTTCCTAAGGCTCTCCCAAATCCTCCAGCTCACAAACACCACTGCAGCATGCCATGTCCCACATAAAATGCAGTAAAGGATAATCGAAAAATAACATGACCCCTTCAGAATTGTCGTGTGTCTGTAAATGCAGGACAACAACCGCTTATGAAACTATTAATTTAAGTGCGTCCCCCCAAATGAATGTTACTTGATATGAGATTGTATCATGATGCATTTTGTTTTGTTTTGAAAATACTTTTGCTGTAACTGAAAACCCAAGGACAAATAGAGGAAAATATATTGTTTTGAGACATGCATGCTGGGGTGAGCCTGTGAGCGTGTAACTGTGTGTGCTAACGTCCAGCTCAGTGACTCTCCCACATCAGAACTCCAAGGAGCACCATTCAAGTTTGTACCTAAGCAAAATCACTAGTGACAGCCTGCCATGGGTCTTCTGATTATTCGTGACTAGCTTAAAAGGCCAATGTCAAACTCAACTGCCTGGTTCTGCTGCAGCTGTGAGTGGCTGATGGGTGCACTTGGCTCACACACCAGGTCCTCACAATAGATTGCCGTTCGCAGGCCCTGAAGAGCTAACTGAGGCTTTGAGAGGGAAAGTGACCTTTTTAATGTTCCATAGAAGGCACAGGTCTGGAGAATTCTCACCCAGGTCTTCCTGATGCCCAAGCCCAGGTATTTTCTACTTTTCTACTGGGCCAGTACCCTGTCTCAGTTTAATTCAGCTCTGCAAACATTTATTTGCTTAGTTGACTCAAGTCTCTTTTGTAATAAGGCAGAATGTTAGCAAATAAACAAATACATAGTTTAATTTAACTTCTGCCATGTGTCAGACCCTGGAAGCTCTATAAGGCTTGGACTCTGATATTAGAGCTTCATGGCTTGGAGCTCCATGCTGGGGCTGCTTAGGAGCAAGGGAGTTTTGGAGCATGGAGAAAGGTCACCCAAGCCAGCCTTGTGATGAGGGAGGGACAAGGGAAGCATCCCAGAGAAGGTGATGCCTGTACCAGGTCCCAAAGGACAGGAAGAAGCAACTAATCAGGCCGGGTGCGGTGGCTCACACCTGTAATCCCAGAACTTTGGGAGGCAGAAGTGGGCAGATCACCTGAGGTCAGGAATTCAAGACCAGCCTGGCCAACATGGTGAAAGCCCATGTCTACTAAAAATACAAAAATTAGCCGGGTGTGGTGGCAGGCACCTGTAATCCCAGCTACTTGGGAGGCTGAGGCAGGAGAATCACTGGAACCTGGTAGGTGGAGGTTGCCCTGAGCTGAGATCGCGCCACTGCATTCCAGCCTGGGCAACAGAGCGCGATTCTGTCTCAAAAAAAAAAAAAAAAAAAAAGCTAATCAGATAAAAGGTATGGGTGAGAGGTTGGGCAAAGGTGTCCCATCAGTGGGGACAGGCTGAGCAAAGGCAGGGGGATAAGAAGCAGCTGATGACACCTCAGTCTTCTCCTCCCAGATGTCACTACCTGAGTTGTATTGGTGACTCCCCAAGTCCAGCAAATCTCCAAAGCCCAGAAGGATAGGTCTTCAATTAAAGATGGATGTAATCTGGGTGCAGTGCATATTTGACATGTATGGGAATGAATGAGTCCCTCTAATGGCAGTTCCAATATGGCCTGGAAAGAGCAGAAAAGCCCAGACTGGAACCCGACAGGCCTGAGTTCGAATCCACCCCAGGCACATGCCTTCCCTTCCTGTAGCCTCCCTTTCTTCATCTACAGAAATGGGCTACTGCGTAGAGTTGATATTGACAACATAGCTGGCATTATTGAGTGTGTAGTAGGAGCCAGGCACTGTTCTAAGCACTGCTGACTGCTTTCTCACTTCACAGTCACAGCATGTAGGTTGAACTTTACAAATGAGGGTATTGGGGTGCCCAGGAGGGTGACATGAGCATGGCCAGGTCACACAAGTGCAAGGTGGAGGAGCCAGGTCTCAATCCCAGCCACAGGCGAAAGTGCCTGATGACCCTGAGCACACAGTGGGGTCCAGCGATGTGAGGCTCAGTGACTGAGCTGGAGCTGGCACATGGTGAATATTGGAAGGGAGGTTGTAAGATGGCAGACATGTCGCCCCAGGACAGCAGCCTGGTTGGTGCTGGCATCCTCAGCAGCCCATTTCCCTGGTGACTCTGACACAGAAGCCCTGCACAGGGGTGTGGTTTCTGGGCCCAGGATGCAGGGTGGGAGGCGCAGCTAACATGACCCGAACTAACACCCTCACCCTTGGCTAATAGAGATGTCAGAGACAGAGTCTGGAATTACTTCCTTCAACCAGGTGGACAGTGCAGCATCACATGGCTCTGCCCACCCTTACTCCCACTCCAGGAGAAGATTCCAGAACACTCCTGCCTGTCCTCAGTTGCCTGGGAAGGGGCTTGTCACCATGTTTGGCTGGCACTGCAACACTGCAGTCTGAGTCAGAGAATCACACGGCGGTAAAGGTCACAGGCTCCCAAATTAACTAGAGGAAAAACTGCCAATTGGCAAAGATGTATGTAGGGTTCTCACAGAGGTCTTCCTTCCTCTGCATTCTAGGGAGGGAAGGCAAAGGGATTATGCACAAAGATGGGTGCCCTACCTGCATGATAGTGCTTGGTTCTTGCCATTTTTAAATGTTGATTGAGCCTTTGCTAAATCTCAGGCACTACCTAAATGCTTTAATGCAGATTCTATCGCTTATCCACACAACTCTATGGGGCAGGTATCATTATGATCTTCCATTTACAGAAGAGAAAACTGAGGCTCAGGAAGGTTAAGTCACCAAGGGCTACTAAGTGCGGGAGTAGGGGTGAGGACCCAGGCAGCCTGCAGAGCGCATGCTCTTAGCCCCTCTGCTAGAGGCCTGCAGAGACAAGGTCTCACCTACGGACACAGCTATTTCCAAAGCCCAGGACAGCTGGCTCCCAGGCGTGGGTTCTTTCCACGTATCCTGGTCTCAGAGCAGGCACCCAGTAAATGGGGTGCATCAGGCTGAGCCCAGGGCCTAAATCTTAGGCAAAGTTTCCCCGGCCTTGTGCAGAAGTCCCCTCCTAACGCTGCCACCGTCAAATGTCCTCTCATCGGTTTACCCTGGAAAGCTGAGCTGAGTTGCACACTTTTCTTCTCCTGCTCCAACCCACTTCTCAGAGTCAGGGGTTTGGTGGGGAGGAATCCCTCTCACCACTAGTCAGCCCTCAAAGAACTCAGGGAACTTGACCACCCAGAGGGAGCTGTCTGCTCCATGCCAGGGCAGCCGGGCCTCAGAACCAAGAACACTGGGCTGGGTCCTGGGGTGGCCATGGGTAAGGTCCCTCCTCTCTCAGGACCTGTTTCTCCCTCTGTAAAATGAAGGCATGAACTAGTTTAAACTGAATTCCCGCCCCGCCCCATACCACCCCTCCACCACCCACACTTGGATTTCACATTTTGTGTTTCCATCTTGGGACAGGCAGCAGGCACTTGATAAGATGGCCACTGTGCACTGGTCATGCTCTGAGTCTTTTACATGAATATGTCATTGAATCCTCCCAACAACCCCATGGATGGGTTCTGTTATTACTATTATTTCTACATTATAGATGGGAAGAAAGAATAACAGAGGGGCCAAGTGACTTGTCCTGGGTCACACAGCTAGCAAGTGACAGAGCTAAGATTGAAACCCACACAGTGTAGCTCCAGAGTCCAGAACATTCACCCTTGCATTCCTCCCTTCCACACATGTATGCTCAGGCTTGGCAAAGCCACATTGGACAACTGGGAGAAGTGCATGTGGCATCTGATAGGGTTGGGTGTCACAAGCAGGGCAGGGGATGCAGTGCTGGAGCGTTGGCAGCTTGGGAAGGGTCTTCAGGACAGTCAGAAGGGGCCAAGTTGGTGCTGAGAGTGAAGGAAACCATGGAAGGACTCCAACCTTGGGAATGTGTAGACAGATTTACTGGAAGACATTGGATCTGGAGGCAGTGGGAGGCTGGTCCCCAGGGGATGAGGGTGGGGAGGCCAGGGAGGAGGCCACCACAAGAAAGCCAGGGCAGACCATGGAGCCCAGACCTGGGCTGTGCCGGAGGACTGGGGGGTGGTGCTGGGAGAACAGGCAGGAGCCAAGACACATCTGCTGTAGAACTGACATGACCTGGCTTCGGATGGTGCACAGGGAGTGGGAAAGGACTAGCAGGTTAGGACTCCTGGGTTCCTAGTGGAGGTCTGGGAGGTTAGGTATGTCTGGCTGGGAAGAGAATATGGACTGAGAGGCAGACTGGGGTAGGAGGAGAATGGCTCAGGCTGGAGTGCAATGGGCTGGAGGAGACACGTGAGGGAGATGCCCAGCATGCATTTGCAGATGCCTGGCTGGAAAGACACTTGGTGTCATCCGCATATATGTGCTAATGGGCAGGGGTGGATTGTCCCAGGGAGGTGACACGTGCAGGGAGTAAAGAAGAGGGATTAGGTCAGAACTCTGGGGACCCCCTCCTGTAAGGGAGTGGGTGGAGGAGAGAACTCATCAACTCCCCGCCTCCCTTAGCTTTACGTTTGCCATGTCCTGGCCCAGCCAGGTAGGAGTCTTAGGAGGAGGAATGATTACCCTCTTCTTTCAAAGTCGACTCTGAGAATCAGCCACTGGCTGCAGTTCCGGAACCCTGCCTTTCTACTCTGGCACCAGCCCAGGATTCTCCAGCAGGCTCTGAATCGTGTAATTATCCATGCAATAATTATGCCTGGCAGAAAGCATCGGCTTTCCTGGCGGAGGGCTTCCCAGAGCATCGCCTAGCAGTTCAGCCACCCTCAGCCTGCTCTGAGGACAGCTCTCTGCAGCACGCAAGATCAGGAGTGCAGTCCCTGGCCGAGGGAACTGAACTCTACCTTGGGCACCTGTCAGACTGTCTCTTCCGGTGGCAGGGTGGGGCAGGGGGAGCTGCCCACACCACTTGGTTGGGCTTCCTGAATGTACAGCCCATCTCGACCTGTTCCCACCAGCATGCTTCCACCATCTCCCACAGCCCTATTTATGACCTAGAGAGAAAAAAATCTATCAACTCGGAGCAGTAGCTAATCAGTTTACTTGGTTGCCTGGGGTCTCCTGATGTAATTATAATTCCTACTAAGGCACTGGCGAGTGTCAGACTCATTTCAACAACTGCTGCAGACACGATCATCAAAGCGCCAAGATTCCTTTGTTCCAAGTCCTGTTCAGAAGTGGCTCAGGAGGTCCTCTTTAGAGGGAAAACTCTAAGCATTGGAATTTTTTTCTGCTTCCTCTCCTTCCTGCTGTACTCTTCCTTACAGAGATCAGGGAGAATCTGCCAGAATGTCCCAGTGCAGCTGGAAACAGACCCAGACCCGTGGGGTGTGGATGTGGCTCCCAAATGCCATTGGGCTGGCCAGAGAAGCCTCATGCTGAGACAGGAATGGTGCCCTGGGGAGGCTGCTGGCTGTGTCCCAAAGACCTCACAAGGTGGCATTTACCTTGGCGAATTCCCCAGCCTCTGGCAGTGAGCCTTGGGGGCTTGGAAGCCTGATTTTGCTGGCACACCCAGCAAAAGGGACTCATCTGTCAGGCGAATACTCCCATTAGCTCAGATCATGTGACCAACATATAAACCACAATGAGAAATGCAACTGCCATGCAGAACAAGAATGCTGAAGTTGTCATGCCTGGCATTGTCTCTCCCTGAGGCAGAGCTGCCTGGGGAGCACATTACAATAATGTTTCTTGGTGAACCCAGACTCATCGGGATGCTGGTGGAACCACTCAAATGTTTAATGGCAACAGGCTCTGACCATCTGCTGCAGGCTGTCCTCGGGAGGGAAGCAGCTGACATCAGGATTACACAGGCCTTGTCCATGATCAGGGCAGGGCTTCCCTGGATAGGCTTGGTGCGGACCCTGCCAGCTGACCTCTGGTCCTTGAGCTGCCCTGTTCCATGCCCAAGATGACCACATAGTACCTGGGCTCAGACTCCTTGGCCAGCTGGGACTCCACCCAGCTGATCTGGTGCCCAGCCCTGAATTGCTGCCGGTGGCAGGCCTGGCTGTGATCTCCATACTATATCATGTGCTTCTCCAAGACTAGAGTTGTTCCTGGGCCAGAGACCACATTTTCTGCTCCCCTTTCACCTAGATGTAGAGGATGCCTTAGGGTTGGGGGAGCAACAAGATGGAAGGAGGCTAGGTCCCTGAGTGACTACATGGAAGAAGGCTACTGGCCCATCAAGAAGTTATATGAATGATAAAAACAATTCTATGTTTCAGCCTACTGCAATATTGGGGTTTATTTGTTATAGCAGCTAGGGTTACCCTAAAGTATAATTGCTCTAGCCTAGGCCTACCTCCTTGAGATTATGGTTGTCAGCCAAAGGAGTGTTAAATCTTTGGAAAGACTTCAAATTTATATTCAAACACCATCTCTTGTGTCACTCCTAAAGGTGGCCGATGGTGCATGCTGTGTGTGGATTTTGCTCTCCTGACTTCTAACTTTGATTCCCCTTGTCCTTCCCAGACGTAAGCTGATGTTACTTGGAGATCCCCAGCCACAGACATGACATTGCAAATGGGATTCTGAAAGTTCAATGATTTCTACAAATCAGCACACAAAAGACTGAAATGGTCTTTCACTCTGGAAGAGGAGTTTAAACACACATATACACAAACATAGAAACATACACTCACAAAAGCAGGTGGGAGACAGAGCAGAGAGACAGCCTGCACTGAGCAGATGGAGCAGTGAACATGGACTTGGTGAGAACTAGAATGCAAATAAACTTCATCTATCTTCCATGTCAACTATGTTCAACTGGTAGTGACTGCTTGAAGCATTGTGTTAAGAAAGATTCTGAGGTCACATTCTAGCTCAGAATAAAAAAGTCTCATAATGAGGGATCTGTGTCTGCCATGGCTGATGGATATGGGAGGGATAGCACATGCCAGGCAGTGTCATGCTTGTGCTAAGGACTAGGATTGTGGTTGCAGAGGAACCTGTATTTATCAAGTCTGTTGCCTGAGACCCATGGGCTCACACTGTAACAACCCAAACGTTAATTCTCAAACGGGTGTCTATTATGGAGCAGGCATTTCACATATACCTTCTCAATTAAGCCCCACAGCAACCCAAGAAGGGAGGCATTAGCTCTGTTTTGCAGACGAAGGATCTGAGGCTCATAGAGAGTAGATGACTTATCCAAGGCCACACGCCCGAGAAAGGCAGAACCAGGTTCTGAACAGCACTGCCCGGCTTCTGAGTCTGTGCACTTCACCATTATGTGGAGCCTTCCCTGAAGGAAGTGGTGTCTGGGTTGAGAAGGGGCAATGCATGTCAGCCCCAGAGTCCGGCTGCTGAAATTGACATAGCAGAGCAATGGTGGGCGAGAGTGAGGAGGGTTTATCTCCAGGGACGCTCAGGCGGAGGTAAAGCAAACACCAAAATGTTTTTGAGTTGGATCTTCCTACAGCCTTTCTCTGTCTCTCAAGTTGGTTTATAATGCATTCCCCTAAAGTTTTGGATGACAGCCAAGAAAAGGAGGAAGAGAAGGAAGGAGATGGAAGATTCTTGTGTTGTCAGTTCCAATGATGTGCGAGGCCCCAGGGAGGGACTGTGGAGCTGGCAGTCAGAACTGGGATTCAGTCTACCATTGCTTCAAGTTGGCTGCGCAACTGAAGGAAACAGCTTTCCTGGGGCTTAATTTCCCCAAGGGTCAGATTGAGCTAATACTAGGTAGTAGGTGTAGAATCTCTGAGACCTAAGGGCACAGACGGGCCTGGGTTCTGATGCTGTCCCTGCACTTAGCAGCTATGTGACCTTGGGCTGGTCATCACTTCTTTTCTCTGAGCTTCAGTTTTCTTGTCTCTAAAACTGAGACAATAACAGCATCTGCTTCATAGGACTGTGTGACAATTAAGTGAGATAATTTAAGGGCAGTGCCCAGCACAGTGTCTGATGTATACAAAGAGGTATACATGCTTCATCCCTCTACACACATGCACACACCAAACACCCTTTAAGGAACTCCTCCTGTTTGACACGTAGAGTCGCAGGGTGGTACTAGAAGCTTGGGGACTGCCTGCCTCAGATTGCATAGAGTGCTTTATAACCTTAAAGAAATTCAGCCCAGATTCTGTTCATTTCTTCATGCTTTCGCTCACCCCCTGTCTTTGCTTGAATTCTTTCTACCTGATTTCTCTTCTACATCTTTCAACAATAAGAACAATCACAACAATACAAATGACAACAGCCAATTAATTCTCCCTCTGCGGAGGGCTTGCTATGGGCAGGCAGCCGCTGTCTGCACTCTACATGTTTACATTTTCTTCCATACTCTTATTACCCATCTCTCTCCCTTCCTTCCTCCCTTTCTTGACTTTGTTCCAAGATTTGGGAGAATAATAAATCAACTCCATAGACAGATAAAGGCTGCAGGCAGCTCTAATCCAAAAACCACTTTGGTCTTTCCATTACCTCCTGTCCTGTGCTGCCTCGGAGACAAATTCCCTCCCTCGCTCCATTTACACTTTATTTTCCATCCTCTTCCCAAAGAGCCAATGTGGTCAATATTACTAACCTTACTGGACACAAGAAGACAGTAAGGCTCAGCAGAAATACTTCCCTAGGGCCACACCACCAGGGAAAAACAAGTCTGGGATTTAAATCCAAGGGTGTTTGGTCCCCAAATCGTATTCCTTATTCAGCAGAACAGCATTTGAACCCAAATGCCTGCAGGCCATCTATCTATCTCAACAACCCCGCTGGCACCACATGACTCATTCAGAGGACACTCTCAGGCCAGAGTGCCAGAATCAGGGGATTCAAGGTGAATCCAAGCCACACATGTTCCACCAAAGAGACACACAAAGTCTCTAGTCTATCATTATTGACCCATATATCAGCTCAATGTCTCCACTAGTAATGGAAATAATAAATGATACCAATATTAATAGCTGCTGCCATTAGCGGAGCCCTCACTATATGCCACACCCCTAAAAACCATGAGAACCTTATAATGCTGGTGCGAGATTATTCCTTTTCCACACACAAAGAACAGAGGCTCTACAGGTGCCTCTGACTTGCCTAGAGCAGAGGGTGGGTGGGCTGTGGAGGCACTGGCACCTGAAATCACTTCTGTAATCCCTCCTGCCATTGGGGAGGACTTGCTGCCAAGAAGAACATCTCCAGAGCCAGGATGTGCCTCTCATTCCTGCCGCACAGCAAGGTCACTGAGGAGGGAGGCTTGGACTCTCCAGAAGCAGCCGGTGGGAGAGGCCATTTTCCCCACTGTTCCCTGTGATCAGTTAGCACAGAATCCCAGTAGAACAGACCCTACCTCTGAGGGCAAAGTGGTGGGTACAAGGGCCAGGCCAAGCTGACATCCGGGGGCTTCCAGGGGCAGTGTAGGTGCCAAGAAATCTTCCCAACCTGCCAGGTTATCGAATTGCTCATGCTGGCAATAGTGTTAATGCAGGTATATTCTGATGTGCCTGATAACCCCCGCGTTATCTTCAAAGATGAAACATTTAACTCTGATGAGTTCATCCAAGAGAACAGCCTGTGTCTTTCTGCAAGTTCATCCCTTCATTTCACAAATATTTATTGAAGACTTGACGATGTACCAGCCATGGCACTGTGCCACGTGCTGGAATGCAAATGTCAAGAAAGCAGCTTACATTAAAATGATTCTGAAAGTACCAACCAGGAATAAGAGAAGAAATCTGAAGGCATGGGCTGATTTGTCTTATTCTTTCCTACTTTTGACAAATACACCTGGGGGAATTCAAGTTCTGGGGGTTGGAAATCCTTCTGTGCAGCCTAGTCAAAGAAGATAGTTTGGACAAAGGGAATGATTGCCTTAAATTCACCAGTGCTGTTGACACCACTACCACTATCATCCTTCCAACAACACTACTACTTACATCACTATATAATCACCACTGTCACCACCATCAGCCCTACTGCTATCATCACCACTGCCACCATCACCACCTTTCATCACAACTATCACTACCACCACACCACCACCATCACTATCATTATGACCACACCACCATCATTACTATTATCATCACCACCATCACTATCGTCACCACCACCTCCATAACCACCACCATCACTATCACTTCACCATCATCACTACCACCACCACCGTCACTACCATCATTACCATTATCACCATCACCGCCTCCATAACCACTACCATCACTATCACTTCACCATCATCACTACCACCACCACCATCACTACCATCATTACCATTATCACCATCACCACCTCCATAACCACCACCATCACTATCACTTCACCATCATCACTACCACCACCACCATCACTACCATCATTACCATTATCACCATCACCACCTCCATAATCACCACCATCACTACTACCATCACCATCACCATCATCACCACCGTCACTATCATCACCACCACCACCATACCACCATCGCTGTCATACTACCATATCACCATCATTACTATTATCATCATCATCACCATCACTACCACCATCACCATTGTCACCACCACCACCACCCTTATAATCAACATCACCTATACTATAATAATCACCATTACCACTAATATTGTAATCCTCCATCATCATCATCATTATTGCCATGAAGCCCCTACTGTCATTACTGTCACCAACACCTCTGCCATCATCAACAATATTATCCCTTGATATGGTTTGCCTCTATGTCCTCACCCAAATCCCATGTTGAACTGTAGTTAATAATGTTGGGGGAGGGACAAGGTGGGAGGTGACCAGATCATGGGGGCAGTTTCCCCCAAGCTGTTCTTGTGATAGTGAGGGAGTTCTCATGAAATCTGGTTGTTTAAAAGTATGTAGCACACCCCCCTTTGCTCTCTCTCTGTCCTACCACTATGTGAAAATATGCCTGCTTCCCCTTTAGCCTTCTGCCACAGTTGTAAGTTTCCTGAGGCCTCCCCAGCCATGCCTCCTGGAAAGCCTGTAGAACTGTGAGTCAGTTAAGCCTCTTTTCTTCATAAATTACCCAGTCTCAGGTAGTTCTTTACAGCAGTGTGAAAACAGACTCACACATCCATAATATAATAATTACCACCACGAATAACACCATCCCCATCACCACCATCACACCACCATCACAAACATCATCACCACCACTATCAAAATCATTATTATTGCTATGACCATTATTGTCATCTAATACTGATCCCCACCACGTATGCACTGCCTTATAGCTTACTAAACACATTCATATTATCTCACTAATCCTCATGACAATCCAATGAATTGATACCATGATTGTTATTGTTTAACAGATGAAGAAGCTGATATGCAGAAAGGGGCTAAACAATTTCTTCAAACCACACAGCTCCTAAACGGTAAGCTAGGACTGGCCTTCAGTTCTATTTCACCCAACACACCATATCTTTTTCTCTTCATCAGCTCTAAGCTGTTATGGAATGGCCTCCAATGTGCTATGTTTTCACACCAAGCCACAATCTTTGATGTTCGTATCTTGTGAATATGCTGTTGGCGGGTGGGGGAGATCCTCAAAGTCATGCCCAAGTTTCTCTGCCGCATGAATTCTAATTAAGGAATCCCAAGTCTTTGTGCATCTCTGTGAAATATCAGTTCAAGTCACCAAGTACCAGTCTTTTGCCCAGTACTGTCCTGGGATGCTCGAAGATGCTGAGAAGGGAAGAAAGAAAGGTCCAGGTCTCTGAGGAAAGGTCACTCTTGCTGGAGAGTCAAGCGTGTTTACAGGGAATGATGATAGAACAGTTCAAGGTAATCAAAGGCTAAATCATGGGGACAAATAGTAAGTTCCCTGGGAGAGGAGAAGGAGGAATCAAATGTAAGCTGCAGTGATCACGGGGAGACACTTAGGGGGACAAGGGTGGTGCTGAGAGGGCACAGTCTCGATCCCTACTTGCTTGGTGCTTTCCTCATCCTTGCTGTCTACTACCTCCTAGGACCTTGTCCCATTCTCCTGAACATGGACAGCCTGACTCTGCTCCTTGCCTCCCACTTCTGATGGCATCCTCTTTCTGTTAACATCCTCCAAGTCACAAGCATACAAAACATCACTGTCAGTTTTCATTTCTTTCCCCTTCTTGTTGCCTGCCTCTGTGACTTTGCTTATCCTGTTCCTTCTGCCTAGAACTTCACTAACCTACATTCTTGCCTGGGCCAACCCCTAGCTCTTTTGTTGAGCTCTAATGCCGCCTCTTTCGGCCATCTTCTCTAATTCTCCAGCCCCTGCCCCTCAGATAGAGGTGCTTTCTCCATCCTCTGAATCCCCACAGTGTTACATAATCTATAATGTCCTCTAAATGCTCAGGTCCAGCCTAGTCCAGTGATTCAGCATGCAGGCACTGGAGGCAAACCATCTGGGTTCGAATCCTGGCTTTTCCACTTATGAGAAGTGAGACATTGGACATTTGCTTATGCCCTCTAGTCTTCAGTGTCCTCATCTGGAAAGGGTCTAGTAATAGTGCTCACTTCCTGGGGATACTGTAAGGCTTACATAAAACCAAGTTGCTAAAGTGTCTAGCACATAGCATGCTATAGGTTTGCTGTTAATATAATGATTATGACCAGAGAGAAGTTCCTTGGGGACAAAGACTGTGTCCAACATAACTCTAATTTTCCAGCAGCTTCTTCTTCAGGGGAAGGCAGATGGGAACCAGACTTGCCTCCAGCAGAGGCTACATGATATGGACCAACGTATAGAGTGGTCACTTAGCAAGGGAAAAACCAGGGAGGAGGGAATGGTAGTACCAGGTGAGAACAGATGCAATAGGCAATCGGGAATGACAGAGGGTCCCTGAGAAGATCAGGACAAGATTCAATGCTCATTGTAGTCCCAGGTTTTCCTCCCTCCTCTTATAATGCACCCTGAGGACATATCAAATCATAAGGCGCTTCTAGGAAATGAGTGAGGCCTGCATTTGGAGTGTCAACATCAAGGGCTTTGGAAGTGGCCAAAGCTGGTGTGAACACTGTTCTTCCACCAGGCATCGGGGCACTTGGGCAAGTCACTTCTTCCCAAGCCTCAGTTTCCTCATCTATAAAATAGGGGGATCAGTGCCTGTCTCTCATAGTGTGAGATTTCATCTGTTACATGGGAATAATCACACTACCTACCACATAGGGTTGTTGTGAGGATTAAATTAGCTTAATGTACCGAAAGCGCTTAGAGTGGTACTTGGCACAGATTGCTATATAAATGTCACAAGGACGATTTAAATGTTATGTTTGTTACTGTTGTTATTTTGTCAACACCTTGCACAGTCCTTGGCATGCAGCAGGTGCCCGATACAGATCGGTTTCTTTCCTTTTCCTGTCTGGTTCCAACTCCAATGCTGAAATACCTCACAGGCACACTCAAGAGATGCTTAAAGCACTAGCAAAGTAGAGGCATCAAAAATTGTGTTTTGAAAGCACATTTTATTTCAGAAAAGTCACTAAAGTAGTCAACATGGGAAAAATCCAAATTTGGCAGACTTCCTTAAACTTATTTTACTGTTTCTCCTTTGAAATGCCTGTGTAGCCCTTGGTGGGGTGAGGCAGGGCGGGGCAGTGGTGGGAGGACCTGATTATTTTAGTGTCAGGGCCTACAGGGCTTAGAGTCCTAATCAGCCCAGGGCTGGATGTATGCAAAGAGGGAAGAAGACAAGGGGAGCCCCTTGCTGCCCTGATTTCGATGGGTGGGGAAGCCTCCTGAAGACACCCCTGCTGAGTGCACAATTTGGACATCTGGGAGAGTCATACATGGGCGAATCCCAGAGATGGAGAGAAAGTGCAGCCTCAGCCACACGGATGCAAATGTGCCAGCTTCCCCCAGGCAGCTGGGAGCTTCATGGTCTCCACCAGAACATCCCTCACTCTGGGTCCAGGGTTGGCATGGGTGAGGAGCTGATGGGGCCAAGAGGAGGCTGTCATTTTCAGTTCCTGGGAGTTGGGAAACTAGCTGTAACTGCTCAGCCTCTTCCTGGGGCTCAGAGGCTTGCTTGTCCTGGATATGCCCTCCAGCTGCAGGCAGGAGCCCAGGTGGTGGAGTGCCTCGCAATCAGATCCACTTCAAGTCCTTGCTTACTAATCACTAGCCAATCAAGAACCTCCCTGCATCTACGTTTCCTACTCTGCAAAGTGAGAATAATAATGAAACCATTACAGGACTCCTACAAAAATAAAAAGATTACTTTTTTGGGGGATCCCCACCAACAGAGAGGTCCTACTAGACCCCCTGGAAAAGGCATTTGACTTTCATTCCCCAGGCCCTACCTGTGTCTGTTTAGACTCCTACTTTAGTCACATTTTCTGGCTTCAAATCCCACACAAAGGCTCTGTATGTAAACCAGGCTGCCATCCTGCTCTGGGATTCTGAACATTATCAGTGAAATCCATTATGCAGGCAAGTCTCTAGTTGCAGTCCACATGGCTCTGTCCTGCACCCTGTTCTGGCCCATGTTCTTAGAAGCAACTTAGATAAAGACCTAGAATGCCTCCTTATCATTTCTTCAGGTAGCAGAAAACTTGGAGGTACAGCTAAGATGATGGCTGGTGGAGTCAAGATTCAGGATCTCTGTTGGCTGGAATAACATTTAAAATGAGTAAACTAAAACTTAATGGGCGTACATCATCCTGCACTTCTTTGTTGTTAAAAAGAAAGAGAGAGAAAGAAAAACAGACAAGCTTGATTGCAGAAATGCAAATCTGGAAATCTGACTTCTTAACAATTTATATGAGATGACCAGGGCTGGGGTTCGGATGTCAGGCCTAACACTTGAGCTGTGTGATTGTGGGCAAACCACTCACCTTCTCTGGATTCTATTTTCTTATTTGTAAAATGAGGCTTAAATCAGAAGTCTTAGCAAAAGCCTCTTCTGGCTTGATATATAATTTTGTGTAATACAATACACATAGTTCCATAATCTGTACTTTAGGCCAGTATTCCTCAGACTCCAGTGGGCATATAAACCATCTGGTGATCTTGTTAAAATGCAGGTTCTGACTGGGTAGGTCTCACTGAGTTGAGGTTTTTTTTTTTTTTCCAAGATGGAGTCTCGCTCTGTCGCCCAGGCTGGAGTGCAGTGGCGCGATCTCGGCTCACTGCAAGCTCCACCTCCTGGGTTCACGCCATTCTCCTGCCTCAACCTCCCGAGTAGCTGGGACTACACGCGCCCGCCACCACGCCTGGCTAATTTTTTTGTATTTTTAGTAGAGACGGGGTTTCACCGTGTTAGCCGGGATGGTCTCTATCTCCTGACCTCATGATCCGCCAGCCTCGGCCTCCCAAAGTGCTGGGATTACAGGCGTGAGCCACCGCGCCTGGCCGGGACTCTGTATTTCTAACAAGCTCCCAACTGATGCTGAGGCTGTTGGTTGGAGGAGCACACTTTAAGTGGAGTAGACCCAGATAGTAACAATTTACCTTTAGCGCATTCTGAGTGCTGACCGCTGCATCTTACATGCATGACTGCATTTAATCCTCATAACAACCTGGGAGGGAATTATCAACAATACTTTCATTTTCTAGATTATGTAGAGATGAAAGTTCACAGAAGCGAGGTAACCTGCTCAATGTCACACAGCTAATGAGTTGCAGAGCCAGGATTTGAATTCTAGGTCTGCCTAACCAGGAGTGTATGCTCATAACAACCGTATAACATACGCAGGTGATTTGGGCCAACATGTGGCTAAGGAGAGAAAGGAGATGAGCAGTAAGGTACTTGCAAATGTACTAGCAAGTTCTTGTGTTTTTTTCTTAGCAGTGATAACCACTTGTAAACCGACTGATCTCCTTGCCCACCTGGACCGTGTGAAAACTCTGATCCTGGTCCCTGGTTCTGAACGTTTGCAATTCTAACATACTTGGAAGATATTTAAACACTCTATCTTCACTGACAGGCAATGATGGCTATAACAAAGAGAGAAAATTTTAGTTCACATAAATGATTAGAGCAGAGGAGAGATGTTTAATCCTATTAATGAATTTGCTAATTGGCCTTCTGCCCCCAATCATTTCATATTCAGGCTTCCACAGTGTCAGATGAAATGGAAACAGATCTAGGGGGAGGCGGGGTTGGGATGGGGCTAAAAGCATTTTGCTCAGGGCCTGCACGTAGCTCAGTTGTTCCGTGTGGCTAATGAGGTGCTTCAGTCTATCCTTGAATGCCTTCTCCCCAACATCCATGCACCCGTTTTGACTGTTTTTCTACTCAGGTCCCTAAGGTTCCAGAGGCAAAGCCAGGAGGAGAGGAGGTTAGTATGGCAGTTAGAAGCTCAGGGTCTGGGATCAACCAGAACCAGGCTCTGCGATTCCCAAGCTCTATGACCCTTAGTAAGGCACTTCCCTTTTTAGAGCCTCAGGTTCCTCAACTGCAAAATGAGAACTGTAATAGCATCTTGTCCTCCAGGGTTGGGGTTAATAAAATAACACAGGAAAGAGCCGAGCAAGGTGCCTGGCACTGGGTGGAGGCCAGAGTCATTTGAGCTAGTATTATTATCCTTCCTGGCGGGTGACCTGCATTTTCATACCTCACTGTTGGGAATTGCTTTTACCATCTAAAGTTGACAGCTTCCCTTAGGAATCACCAGAGAAACTGCTTAGAATGCCAGTGACCATGGATATGGTGGCTCGGGATCTCAGAGGGCTGGAATCAGAGGCCACAGCTCAAAGGGATGGGGAGATTACCAAGGGTAACACCGTCATCATCCAAGTGGAGCAAGGCAGAAGGAAGGGGCCTGTCCTGAGATGGGACAAAAGGCAGCAGCAAAGCCAGCACTGCCAACTCACCTGGTGTGCAGCACCATGTTCAATTCCTTCTTGGCCCTCACGTGGCCCTATAGGGAGACACTGTCATTGTCCCCATTTTTTAATTTTTATTTTTTTTGAGACGGAGTCTCGCTCTGTCATCCAGGCTGGAGTGCAATGGTGCAGTCTTGGCTCACTGCAACCTCCGTCTCCTCGGTTCAAGCGATTCTCCTGCCTCAGCCTCCTGAGTGACTGGGATTACAGGAGCATGCCACCATGCCCGGCTAATTTTTGTATTTTTAGTAGAGATGGGGTTTCACCATATTGGCCAGGCTGGTCTTGAACTCCTGACCTCGTGATCTGTCCACCTTGACCTTCCAAACTGCTGGGATTACAGATGTGAGCCACCATACCTGGCCCACTGTCCCCATTTTATAGAAGAGGAAACTGAGGCCTGGAAAGGCTCAGCTATGAACCAATGAAAGGGAGTTCAATCCCAAGACTCTTATTTTAACGCGGTGCTCATAGCCATAATGCAATCCTACTTCTAGCTTCCTGATTTGAGTGGAATGTGGTTCCTACTTCCCCCCACCGCACCAATGAGGCTTTTAGTCTGGCCTTGAATAACAAGATTTAATCCAAAGTACTACTCCCATGGCTGGGGTACGGGAAGCTAGCAATATCCCAACTGACTACCACTACTTCCAGAAGGTGACCTATTTAAAATACTACCCGGAGGAAGGGGAAGCATTTAAAGAGATGTTTCTCTGAAGGCCCTAGGACTCTTAGGCTCTCTCTCTCTTTTCTAAAAACTGTTCCTTCCCTGCCTGATGAATGGGAACATCAGCTCCACGGCCATTATGCAGAATTTTGCAGAGCTTCTCCCCAGGAGCAGACCTGGATTCCTCATCTGCACCGCCGCATTCTCACACCGCTCAGAGCCATCAAGAACGCACACTCTGGCCCATCCATCCTTACCTCCATGCCGCCAGCATCCATCAAGCCTGGATGCAGTGTCAGGCCTGACAGAGGCCCTGGGATAAGACTCAGTGCCTGAAAGCTAGTCAGAGAGATAAATGTGTAAACCCATAATGACAACCTCATAGTGTGTTCAGAATTGTAGTTAAGGGAAGCAGCAGCAGCTATGGGGAAAGAGAGAAGGCAGAGATGTGCTCTGCCTACAGAAGCCAGGAAAGGCTTCCCAGAGCGGTGGCATTGAATGAGGCCTTGAAAGATAAGTAGGAGTTGGCCAGGTGAATGAGGAGATGGAGGAAGAGGGAGGATGAGGAAGCCAGAGTGGATCTTAGGCAGGGAAGCAATGCTGAAGGACAATTGTGGGACTGGCTAAGTGAACAAATAAATGAGTGGATAAATATACAGATTCTGATCTCACCCAGGCAAGGGTGAACGAACCTGAAATATAAGGGAAGACAAGGGGAATCACTGTGAGTCAGTCCCTGCTTTTGTTTCAGCAAAAGAGTGAAAACTTAGAGACATCTCCTCACCTTCTCCAAAGACACTATACACCTACCAGTATCCAAAAAATTACCAGGACTCTTCTTGACTGAATTTATATTTTTCAACTTTGGGGAGATGACTATCAATGCTCTTTGTGAAAAGATAGGCTGTTAATTATAGCTGTTCTGGCACTTCATCATTCATTCATTTATGGACATATTCATTCATTCATGTGGTCATTTATTCGATCATTCTTTCTGTCATTCAGTTGATAATTCATTTGTTGCTTCATTCATTCACTCCTTTACTGCTTCCCCCATTCATTCAATCATTCATCTTTTCACTTATTTGTTAAAGCATATGCTCACTTATTCACTTACAGATTTACAAAGCATTCATGGAGCAAGGCCCTTCCAGGCAGACAAAGAGGTCTAAGCCTTGGCCCTTTTCCAGAGACCAAGTCAAAACAATCCCACTGATTTTAGGCAGTAAGTCCTTCTCCTCTGTCTTCCATTCTTTTCCATCTCTCTCTTTCTGTTTATCTTGAGCTCCATTGAGCTTCTTCTGGGATTGAGGGACCAGAACTGTGCCTGGTGCTGGGTGTGGGTTCCTCATACCTTTGTGATTATGAGGGAGTGGGAGTAGAATCACTGTTCTCAGCACTTTCCTGCTAAATGGTAAACAGATTCGGTACATTTCATGGACAAAGTCAATTCAAAGCCAGCAGACCGAACAACAGAATTCATTCCTGGCAGAGGGCTGGTAACTGAAATTCCGGTGGGAAGCTAACTTTTCCTGCAGGGTCTGCAATTCTAGCAAATAATGGAGAGTGGCCAACCATTCCATTATTTATAGTTTACTCTAGGAAAATTTTTATTAAGTACCTACTATGTGCACAGAACCAAGCAGAGAGTTGTGAAGGATGAGTTAGACGAGCTCCTACCCCCAAGAACCCTGACCTCTGGTGGTGGGGAAAGGGGGTTAACACCTCCGTTGATTGTCTAATTCCAAGCGCGATTGTGAGTCATAAGAAAATGTACACCTTAAAAGAATATGGGAATTCAGATGGGAGAAATCACTTCTCTCTGGGGCTTGGAGAAGGCTTCCTGAATATGGAAATTGCTGAGTGAGGTCTTGGAATGTCGGTGGAATTTTAACTATTAGACAAGGCAGCAAGGGGTGGGGTGGGAGAGCATTATAGAATTAAAGGGACAGGCAAAGATGCAAAGATGGGTAAAGACCAAAGCACAAACATTTCTATACATCAGGATTCTCCTTTTGCAGATAAAGAAACTAGCATTTACAAGGTGAAATGACTTGCCAAAGGCCTGCCCCTTGGGCTCAGGACTATGTGACAACACGGCTACTGCTTCTCTATGCCTGTCTGTCTCTTGTCACTCTCCCATATCTTTAGGTTGAAAATGCTGCCCTGACCAATAAACCCTAAACCCAGTCTCATCAGGTACACTCTGCTTCCATAAGTTCCCTGAGGTGCTCATTGATCTAGGAGCAAATATGGGACTATCGGGAACATTCCCATGTTTGGCCCTATATTAACCAGTACCCTATTAACTCACCGTGTGGCCTTAGAAAAAGCATCTGATAGCCATGGGGTTGAGTCATAGCTCACCTATGCTATGACTATTCTGGAGATCCGAAGCTCAGCCCTTTCAGAAAGTTCTGCATGCTTGCACTCGGTCATGGAGGATTTCTAACCCAGCCACCCCTGTAGTGTGGGATTATTTGCTTCTAGGCAATTCTCTGTTGAGATGGCCTTGGTCTAGTGATGTTGTCCCTAAATTCTCCTGCCCCGCTGACAAGCCCAGCAGCTGCACCTGTATGGTCCTCCTCTGGTTCTCCTCAATGCCCTAGCCTGTCTCACTTACCCATTCAAGGCCAGGAGCAGTGTCCTTGGTGTGTCATGCACATGCAAAACTGCTAGAGTCAGAAATTCTATCTGGGACTGGGATGCAGAGGCTGAATCCCAAAAGCAGGGCTCTCCTACTTTTAATTAAAGACACACAAAGATCCCAAACAGAGAGAAGGACAGGAAATGAACCTGAATATTTTTATTCAGTGGCATGGCTCTTAAATTACTTTAGATTTCTGTTGCCTTTAGAGAGCGCTCCCTGAACACCCAGGTTGGGCTGGATATCTTCTTGCAGCACTAATCATGCAGAGTTTTTGCCCTATTTAAAAACTATGTATGTTTCTAAATTGTATTATCAAGGCATTCAGGATTTTAATTGAGCAGGCTTTGATGTTTTCAGGACAAGCCACAGAGTAGAGGTCAGTGAGGGTTGAAGCAAGGGACGAGCATCTGTGTGCTGGGGTTTTTGGTCCTAGTTATCTGGATAGGGCTGGATAAGGTTTCCAGAAATGAGCTGTTAAGGCTCTCAGATGTACTGCCTACTTCGAAAATGGCCTTACTCTGGACATTTGGAAGCCCCAAACAATAGAGCCATAAATTGAATAGTACCTCAAATTTGCTGACCACTTATGTAGCAGAGACTGTGCTAAATGCTTGACTTGCATGATCCTTGAAATCCACACAACACAACAGCTATTTTAAGATGGTAACTACTACTATCTCTGTTTTATAGTTGAGGAAAACAAGGCTTAGTCATACAGCTAGTAAGTGGCAGAGCCTGAATTTGAACCCAGCAGGGAGACTGATTCCTGAGTTGAAAAATCCCAACTGCTCTCTTCCGGTTGCTTCTAATTAGATCTGAGCCTCACGTCTCTGAGATCATAGCAGCAGCTCTGGTGAGAGCATCAACCATAAAAATATTAGAATTTGAGAACCAAATGGAACCTGAGGAAATGCCTAATGTAAGTTTCTCCCTTTACAAAGAAGAAACCGAGGCCCCAGTGGGGAAAAGTGACCTGGCCAGGATAGGCTCCCTGACCACTAGCCTCCTCAGCCAGGGCTTCCTCCAGGTTTCCAAGCTGCCTCCCATAGAAGGGTCTTCTGCTGATTAGCATTCCACTATGCAAGGCAGTGAGATGACTGTGCTTCGGGGGCAAATACCTGGGGGAACATATGCAGCTGGACCCCTGGACAACTCACGCCAGTGGGCTTTGTGCAGGAAGGGCTGAGTGCCCAGTGCTTCGATAGCTTGTCTTGGGAGTCCACCCATTGGCCCCGAACCTGCTATGAGCCTCAAACGAACATTGTTGTGAGGGTTAAATGAGAGTTGTTGATAAAACACCGAGCATTATGGCAAGCACACAGTAGGGACACACTGAATGCCAGTACCCCCTCTTCTGTTTCTTAGAATCCGAGGAGACAGAAGCAAAGACCTTTGTACTCTGGGAATCCTGCAGGAATTCATCCAGGGTGAATTCCTGGATGTTTGGGGCAGGAGAAGGAAATGGTAGACAGCAATGTCTGAGCTCTTACTCTTTTCCCAGCCCTATGCACGGAGCTCCCTATTCATCATTCATTTGATTCTCACATCCTTACAACAACTTCCTCTGGGTCCCTGGTGGCTGCAGCCAACACAGTATATGAGGCAGAGTCTTCCCTTCCTCTACTTCCTACATACCCTTCCCTCCGGGAAGTAGCATACGAATTTCATGGATGAAAAACTGAGGCTTAGGGAGGTGCGGGGGACTTTCCTAAGGTCCCAGAGGCAGGGAGTGATGGAGCTGGGATTCACACCCAGACTCCACTTGACTCTAGGGCTTGAGATCTTTCTGTGACACCCAGCTCCCAGGAGAGCCACAGGCATTGAAAATATTTAAAAACAAGCCCCTGACTTTCCTGTCCCCACAGTCCCCTGGCCTCTGAGACCGCATGGTGGTCAGACAGATGATGAGGGAGAAGACCTATATTTGGCGCTGAAAATTGTCCCCAGTCAAGCAGCATCCCAGGATCTGTGAGAGGTGAGGCTTAGAATGTCAAGGCCTTGGGCTGAGCTTTGCAGACCTGTTCTGGTCAGGACTGGTAACAGGACAACCAGTCCCTTCCTTGCCAGCAGGACATGTAACTCAGCTGGACAAATGGGCCAAAGCCTCTTCCTATGTTCTAGGATGTAAATGCCAACCCAGCTTCAGCACCTAAGATCTGCACCCAGAGATCTCTTTCCTCGGGGCTCAGCCAGCCTGATGCCCCTGGGAGCTGGGCCAGAAGCTGGGACCCCTTCTTCCAGGGGGTTTCAAGGACAGCTTACTTATGGAGATCTCTGTGGTTCTAAACAGGGTGAGACCAACCAAGTTCTAAGAGGAGACTTATTGTTCACTTGGGGTCCCTTACCCCATTACACTTCTACTCACTATCAGGCCTGTAGGGTAGGAGCTTAACTCCCACCTGTATCCAGGATGGGGGCTCTGATGGTAGAATTTGAATGTTTAAGTGTCAAGCTGCTTAAAATCTTACCACTCGTAGTGACATTTGAACATTAAACAAAACAAAACCCATCATTTCCCGTTTCCTAACTGCTTCCAGTCTCTTTATTCCAACCACTAACTTTTGAACTGCTGGTAAGGAGACCTGCATTGTCCTCCAGGGCCCAACACACTGGTTCCAACTTCACCTGGACCCATTTGAGGACTCTCCCACGGATGGTGAGATCAGCCATGCCTCGGCTGGGGACAGGTGGTGAAGGAACAGCGTCCAGGCAGAAGAGACTCCACGATATTATGCTTTTTAATCCTTGATGTAAGCTCAGCTCGCAGCCAGCCCTTCACGGTTGCTCCTCCTGACTCCCGGAGCCACCAGGACATGAGGCCTGGGAGTTTTACCCCTGGCAGCAGCTGATTCCTTTTGGCTTGCAGAGGTTTTGGGGGTGCAGACAGAGCACTCTTCCTGATGAAGGGACTCGCAGGTCTGCACCTGGCATAGCCGCCTAGGAGGAGTGTGGGAGTGTGGCAGCACCCTCACTGAGTGCTCAAACGCCAGCTGTCATGGGAATGGGAAGAGCTTCACCACACTTCCACCAGAGAATCCGGTCACCCCCACCTGTGAACATGCCGCTTCCTTCGGCTCTCAGAGATTTCCCCAGGAGGAGAGTCCCGACACCTGGTGCCCCAGAGGGGTCCAGTTGCCGCTGGGGCAGACGTCCACTCCGGCTCCCTCCTCTGGGTGTTCACACCAGCCCTCCCGCCGATTTCTCTCTCCTTTGGATACAAGCACCTGTCCGGGCTCCTCGTGGAGAGGAGAGTCCGGACTAAGGGAGGCAGGTGGCACAGCCCACCTCGGCGCCTAGCACCCCCAAGCCCAGACAGGGGAACAAAAGGAAGAAGGTGGCTTACCTTTCGAGGGTCGCCTTTGTTTGGTTTGCAGAGATGAGAAGGTGCCCATGACGGCCCCCATGGCAGCGAAGACTTGAGTGCGAGTTGGGACCCCGGGCCCGGCCCCTCCCCTACCCTGGAAAGAAATCCCCGTGGTTTGTCTACTCTGAATTGGAGGAGAGAAAAGCGCCCGGCAGCTCGCCTGCAGCTTGGTATTCAGCAAGCGTGGAGGCGAGGCTAGGAGGCTTCTGGCTTCCTTCTTCAGCCCCGCACATGCAGGGACTCAGGGCTAGCCGCTCCCCGCGAGCCTTCGGAACCGCTTCCCCGCGCGAGGACCCGGCCCGGCGGTTCCCTCGCCCAGGGCCGAGGACGGTGCCCTGAAGCCTGCCTGGCACTGGACACGGGGCCAGAGCGGCCGCCCGGCCGAGGCTGCCGAGCCAGCGCCGCGTGCGGTGCGGGAGCCGCCGTCCGCCCGCCCCTCCTGCCGCACACTCGGCTCCCCTCCCTGCGCTCGGGCTGGGTCTCGGAGGGCCGAGTACCAATCATGAATGAACAGAGCCCGGACCGCGCGGCGCGGAGCCACAGCGCGCCCGCCTGCTGCCTGCTGCCTGCTGCCAGCGCTCGGGGCGAGAGTCGGAGCGGCGGAGGGGGCGGCGGAGGGGGCGGCGGGCGGGCAACTACGGAGGGGCGGGGCGGGGGCGAGGGCTGCACGGTGGGGGCGGGGGACGCCCAGCCCTGCGCCCTCACCCCTGCGCACCCTCATCTGCCGGGGTATGTGCGGGAGCCCCGGGAGCATGTAACCCTAAGAGACAGACCCGGGGCCAGGCACCTGGCTGATGGGTGAGGTTCAGGGGGCAGTAGATTGGCCCCAGGGAGACTGTGTGTGTGTATGTGTGTGTGTGTGTGTGTGTGTGTGTGTGTGTGTGTGTGATGTGCGTGCGTGCGTGTGTGTGTGTGTGTGTCCCTGTGTGTGGTGCATTGTGATTTCATTCGACTTCAAGGGAAATCTTATTTAACCCACTGCCTGAACTCATGGGGAGGGGGAAAGTCTGCCCCACCCAGAAAGGGGTGAAAAACACATCCAAATGGGTGGTCATGGGAAGAAGGTGCCGTCCTGCTCCGCGGGTCCTTGAGGGTTCTGCAGAATCCTCCTATGGCAGGGCCCACCTTCTAGTGACAGGGAGTTGGGGAGGAGAAAGGAGCCCTCAGCCCCTCTGGGCCCTTACACTCTCATTTTTCTTTTTCTTTTTTTTTTTTTTTTGAGACGGAGTCTCGCTCTGTTGCCCAGGCTGGAGTGCAGTGGTGCGATCTCTGCTCACTGCAACCTCTGCCTCCCAGATTCAAGCGATTCTCCTGCCTCAGCCTCCGGAGTAGCTGGGATTACAGGCGCCCACCACTAGGCCCAGCTAAATTTTTTTGTATTTTTTAATAGAGACGGGGTTTCGCCATGTTGGGCTGGCTGGGCTTGAACTCCTGACCTCAGGTGATCCACCCGCCTTGGCCTCCCAAAGTGCTGAGATTACAGGCGAGAGCCACCCCACCCGGCCTGCTCTCTCATTTTTCTGTTTCTTTCCTCCTTGGTTCTACCTCTTCTCCCTTTCCAGCTCAATAATTCATTAGCCATCAGCTCCTGGGCACGGGTTGTTAGTGCTTGAAGGGGCAATGATTAGATTTAGGAAGCCATTTCCCTTCTGTGAGTGGCGTCTCACCCAATGGGCAAAGTTTGCGTCCCTGCCTGTGGACTCAAAGCCTTGTGGTGTTGAATTGCAAGGTTTGCTCCCTGGAAGGTGGAGGAAGAGCTTCCCCTCCCCCAAGTCTGAGCTGCTTGGGTTCCCACTGAGACCCATTTTGATTGACACTGAGGATCCTTTGCCCAAGCTGCCCCCTACAATCCCACCCAGCCATTTTCTGTCTGCCACACAGATACACACCATGCTAGCAGTTCACAGAATACCCGGATGTATGGCCTCATAAACAAGCATGCATGCCCAGAAAGTCCCACAAACATATGGGCGCAGGTCCTTAAGTCCGCACAGACATTGCTATTGTACACACAGACAGACCCAAGGCTCATAATACACCTACAGTTGCCCCCCACGAAGGTGGAGAGACACACAAACACACAGGCATGCAGACGCACACACAGCAAAACAGCATGACAGTCACCACATTCACACAGGCTCAATGCCACATAGGCACAGAGTTGAATCCCCAGGATACAGGCCCCTTGAGAGCTGCTTCCCCTAATGCCAACCCATGAGCTGTCCCCTCAGGGCCACAGGTAGCCTGTGACTTGGCCAGGGTCCTTGAATAGTTTTCTTCACCTGTGCAGCATTTATTGCTTTTCTGCAATCCCAGCATGTGTCCTGTTTTGTGCAACAGGGGAGGGGCACTTACTAACATACTTCCTTTCCTTTGCATTGCCCACTGCTGTGCAACCACATTGTCCACGTGATGCCCACCAAACCCCTGTGAATTAAGCAGGTGCCTGATCATTACCCCAGAGAGAAATTGAGGCTTACCTTGTGTTAGAAATTTGCCTGAAGTTGCCCAGCCAGGATGTGGGATTAGAACTTGGGTTCCAGGCCTCTGTCGTGGTCTCCTGGGGAACCCCTGCTCACAGATGAGGGCACTGAGCCAGAAAGACCTGCTGGGGGTCCCACCAGATTCACAACCTCTGCTCTCCTAACTGCCAGCTCAGGGCTTGTCCAGGCCAGGGAGGCCTGGAATCCTGGAAGATGGAGCAGGGGCTGGTCCCTGCTTCCCTCCTGCCTTCTCTGTTCGAGAAGAGGGCATGCGAGGCTGAAGCTTGGGGTCACTAGAGGACCCAGTGGGATATCCAGGATTCAGGGAACAGAGGAGAGCTCTTTGCTGAGGAGAAAGTTAAGCCACCCTGGGTGTCTTTGCCAACTTGTCAGGGATACCACTGGGTGAGCACCAAGCTACTTCCCCCTTGGGGCTCTGCTAATTTTCATGGTACCTGAATGACCATAAGGACAGCACTTGAGAGGTCACAAAAGGCTAGAATGTCATCCTCTCATTTCTGCTTCCCCACAACCCACTGAAGAAGCAGAGTACAGATGACTTGCTCCATTTTGCAGATCAGAAATAGCAAAGTGCTTCTGGACGTGTTTGCAATTGGCTGCCTCTGAACAGTAGGTATAAAGTGAAGTCACCAAAATAAAATCCAAACCATTGAACATGAATTATGAGGTCTTTTTTGTGGCCTGTGGCTTCTTCTACAAATCCTCCCTGACCCCTGGTGTTCCCTTTGTGGCTCAGCCACCCAGACCCCTCACTATTTCTCAGATGCGTGTTGTGGTTCTCCTTCAGGGCCTTTGCACGTGCTGTTCCCCTTGCCTGGAATGTTCCTCACCTCTTTCTCCTTCTGGCCACCTGCTGCTTACCCTGGAATATCTACTGCAGATGTCATCTCCTCCAGGGATCCCTCCCTGGCCCTGAGTCGGTGCCCTGCTTGTGGTTTCCATAGCACCCAGGGCTTCTTATCAGAGCACTCCTTACTTTGTTTCTCATTGTTCCTTTCCTTGCCTGTCTCTCCCTCTGGACTGTTTTAACTGCTTTACATACTGATTTAACTCTCTACTTTCTGCTTAACCTCCGGTTTCTGACAGGGGTGCAGCCAACCTATGCTGAATAAATGAATGAGTGAGTCTCTTTTCTTTGCTCAGTGACCCAGTTAGTAAGCAGAAACTGATGATTACCAGATCATCCTTGCCCCTTAAAGGAAGACACATGCTCTGCCAAGTGAAGATTCATTCATTCACTTATTTATTCAACAAATATTCATTCATTCATGTATCTACCATGTACCAGATATTTACATGCACAATAGCTCATTTATTCCTGCGGACGCCTTGTGACATGGGTATTATTTGCAGATAAATACACACACATACGCACGTGCCCACTGTACAATGCAGCCAACATCACCCATGAGATGCTCACAAAGAATGTGTCTAAGTAGAAGAACACAGGTAAGTGTGAGGGGCAAGAGAGAAAGATGATGATAACAGGCCCTCTGCCTGCCTCCTGGGAACTTGCAACAGAGAGCAAAGAACTGCATGGGGAGAGAGGGAGTGACAAAATGAATGTGCAGAGGGAGTGCTGAAGAAGCCTCCCATCAGTCACCCTGACTGCAGGAGCCATTTGTCCTGTTGTCCCTCCCATGATGTACTCAATACAGCGACCTTGCCAGCCCCATCCAACCTGAGCTTCAGTGGCTGTTGCTCCCTTTACTCTGGAAGGTGAACTAGCTCATGCACTTTCTCCAGCTCTGACCCCTCCCTCATGCACCCCGGTGTGGACTGAATGTTTGTGTCCCTCCAAAATCCCTGTGTTGAAGCTCTAAGCCCCTGTATGGCTGTATTTGAAGAAGGGACCTCTAAGGAACTAATGAAGGTTAAAAGAGGTCATAAGGGTGGGGCCCTGATCTGATAGAGTTAGTGTCCTTACAAGGAGAGACTCCAAAGACCCCCCACGCACAAAGATACCATGTGAGCACACAGGGAAAAGGCAGTTGCAACACAAGGTGAGAGGCCTCACCAGACACCAACCCTGCTGGCACCTTGATCTTGGACTTCCAGTTTTCAGAACCATGAGAAAATAGATTTCTGTTGTATAAGCCACCCAGACTGGGGTATTTTTTGAAGGCATTCCAAGCAGACTGATGCGCAACCCCAGTGTCAATCCATGAGCTCAGAAAGTTCTGGACGCAAGGCCTTCCTTCTGCCATAAGCCTCTATATAGGACTCCTTAGGCAACCCCTCTAAGGTTGTTCAGGGAGGAAGGAGTGAGATTGTCAGACCTGCAGGAATCCTGTTAAAACATGCATGTGCTTGTCTGAGTTTATGTAACACACAAGCCCTGTTCTTTCCCTCCCTCCCCCTCTCCTTTCTTCCTCTTTGTATCTCTTTCTTTCTTAATTTATTTCTTCCTCCCTGCTGCCTCCTTCCTCCCTACTCAGTGCTCCCTTAGCCATGTTTCTTCTCATCCTTATGGACAACAGTAGTTCCTTCCAGGCACAGAGGTAGCATAGAGTCAGATTGAGAGCATTAATTTGGGAGGCTGCTAGAATTGGGTTCAAACACTGAGCTTGCCCCTTTACTCTGAGACTGTGGGCATGATGAGTACGATCTCTGAACCCTGCTTTCAGCTTCTTGTGGATTACTTTCATAATTCCTTTAGTAAGTGGTAGTGTTGCTGTGAGGGATTGGTGACATGATGTTTGTGGGGCCCTTAGCAGGTGCCTGGCACATAGAGTGGCCCATTATTGAAGGTGGACTGCCCTATTCCTGTTGCTGTGGGCCAGACATCATGCTGGGTTACAGGGGTATAAAAATGAGTAAGCCACAGCATTTCCCTCGGCTCCCATCTTTGCTCTTCATCTGTTTGATAGGAAATCTATTCTCAGGGTCCCCATCTGGTATTAAAAGACTCAGATTAGTTAAGGAAGGGAATGCAGTTGGCACCTGATTATGTGCAATTCAGCACTATGCTTGCTGCTGTCTTGTACCATTTCCCAAATGTTCTGCATGCATAAGTCTGGCCTCAAATAGACTGGGAGCTTTTAGAAAGCAAAGGCCGAGTTTCCTGCTTTGCATACCCCACCTCCACCGCCCCCATCCACCGCCACTCAGCCTGGCCCAGAACATCCTAAGTGTGCTACAAATACTCAAACTGAGATCCTTCAGGGCAGGGGAAAGGGTGTCATCATTTACCCCTGAGCTCATATGAACCCAGTCCCATGTCCCCTGGTATGTACACCTGGCCGTTAGCCTCCTCATCTGTGAAACATGAACCCAATCATGTCAGGGGATTGTTGTGAGAATGGGGTAAGATAAAGTAAAGGGAAAGCACTTGTCTCTCTGTAGAGCACTCTGCAAATGTCCTTTATTGTTATTTGCTTTGGGGCTCATTGGATCATTCATTCATTCATTTATTCAATGAATATTTATTAAGCACCATCTACCTGCCAGGCGCTATTCTAAATATATGGATCAATAATGAGCAAGAAGAGGCAAGAGTACCTGCTCTCAGGAAGCTGGAGGTCTAGGGCTGAAGAAAATCAAATCATCTCCTCATTGCAAATTGCATTCAGGCTAGGAAGGAAAGAGTGGTGCAGTAAGTTCAGGGTAGCAGGTGCTTGGAGAAGCCAGGTATCACCTTGTGTGAACAGTGAAGTGATGACATAGGACATATAGATCTTCAGAGGGCAGGGAAGTAGATATGAGTTTCAGGTCAAGCAGATCAGGCTTAAAGTCCCGGATTTGTTTTGTGACTTTGGGCAAGTTATTTGACCTTTGAGCCCCTCAATTTCCTCATGTTTGCAAGGAGAACAATCTCAGCAATGTCGTTGGAGGTCGCAGGGTGAGGCTGAAAGTGATCGTGATTACAAAAGTGCCTGACACAGGGTCTCCCTGGCTGGAACACAGTCCTGATTCAGAAAACACAAACTCCATGCCTCACTTTCCCCTTCCAGTTCCCTTTGCTTGGACCTTCTCCCCTACCTCCCCAGGAGGAAGAAAAGACCTTTGAATAGGACTTGGGTTTGGGAGGCAGCTCTCCCTGGCTGCATCCTTATGCATCAAGCATGGCCTCATCTGTCCCGGTTGATCATGTTCTGGAGGGAGCAGGACTGATGTAGACTGCAGCGGAAGCCGGGGAAGCCGGGGCACAGGCTCTGCCCTTCATGTCCTGATGGCTGCGCTGCCTGAGGATTCCCCCTGCACGCTTCTGCGCTGCCACAGTCTCCACCAGAGCTGAGATGAGTTCAGACAGAGTGCAGCCACCCACGCAGCTGGGACACTGGCGGTAAAGCCCTCCCAGTTACCCAGATCCTGCAAGGAGTGTGTGTGTGGTGAGGCGGGGGCAGGGGTAGTCAGGGAGAGGGGGAAGGATATTTCTGGAGACCAGGGAATTCATGGGTGCCAGCACTATGCTTGGCGCAAGGCAGATATTTCATGAATATTGATCAAATGGCTGTCTGGGGGTGGACAGAAGGGTGGATTGAAAGGGGACGGGTGGTTAGATGGATGGATTCAAATATGTTCTAACAAACTGTAAGTATCTGATAAAACCTGTGAACCTTTTCCCCCAGAGTTACCATGCTGCATGAACACATGCTCATGCTTGGTGTAGAATTTCAGACTCTCCCCAGTGAAACACAGCCTTGGACAGTTGGTGAAGAAACTTTGTCCTAAGGAGGAAAGGTTATGGTAAAGGATTTTATCCATTCATCCCTTAGCTGTGTGCCTTTAACTTCACTGATCCTCAGTTTCAACATCTATAAAATAGGTACAATAATTACGCCTATGTCTTAGGGTTGCTATGAGGATTAAATGAGTGGAAGCATTTAAGTGCTTTAGTGTGGTACCTGGGAGGTTGCAAGGCTCATGAAAAAGGCAGGTCATTAACATAATCACTAATCTTCATTCAATCATTCATTCACTCATTCATTCATTCACTCACAACTTTGTGAGGGCATCAAGTGAGTGCCTCCTGTTCATCACACCTGAGCAGGGCTCTGGGGCTCTCTGCAGAGGTTGATGCTCCCTGCATTAGGGAACTCACAGTCTCAGGGCACTTAGATAAACAAGTCACTATAACATCCCAGACTTCACCGAGATCCCTCTCTACCTCTGCTGCTGAGGGTCAAAGGCACCAAAGTCCTAGATACTCGGCAAGATCAGGGGTCTAGATCAGACTAGGAGGGTAAAGGTCATGGTGGAGAAATCAGGGTGGAGCTGGGTAGAAAGGGATGGGAGCTGGAAGGAGTGGAAGTGAGACTTGAGCAGAGCAGGGCTGAGGTGGGGTGAGAGTGGCCCTGGGCAACCGCATTTCCGGGCCACAGTGGTGAGGTTGAGGGTGGACGGGTGAGACTGAAATGACGGGGGCAGTGGAGACAGATGCTGTGGTTAGAATTCCTTGTCTTTCTAAAGTGTGTGCAAAACATGGATCCATAATCTCCTTGGGTAAATGTCCAGGAGTCAATGGTGTTTCCTCCCCTGCTTTAGTCTCCTGAGGTGATAGAATAATTGCATTAGCAGTGGTGACCTCTGTTTATGGAGTTCTTACTGTGTGCCATCACATGCCTGATCTCACTTAATCATTTCAATAGCCCCATAAGGAAAGACTCTCATTGTTTCCTGTTTTATAGATGAGGCAGCTAAGGCACAGAGAGGTTAAGCAACCTTCCTGAAGTCACAGTGAATAGATGGTGGAGCTGGCCTTGAACTCAGCTGGTCTGACTCCGGAGCTCACACTCTGCATGTAGCTCCAAGTCCTCCTGCTGCTCTTGCCACTGACTTCTAGCACTGTTTCTCTAGGGAGGCAGCAGTTCACTGGGGACTCAGAGATAGGAGAGATGGATGCACATGGGAGGGACAAGGGTCCCCAGCCCTTTGAGTGGTGGATGATGCTCCCACCCATCCTTTTAGTGCCTGGGGGCTGCAGCTGTGATTATCAGCCTGCCAGGGTGCACGCAGGGTCTTTCCCTCTTCGGCTCCTGCAGCCTGAAGACCCTGAGGAAGTGAGCAGGGAGGGGAGGAGGGAACAGTAACCCTGCCGCTGCCTGATGATTAGTAATCATGCCAGTGATGAGCCGATGAGCATGCCCCTGACCCTGCACGGCCCGCTGAACATGTCAGAGCTGGCTCCGGGCTCCCAGGATCTCCGCTCCCAGCATTGCTGCTGCTGCAATTGGAGCCTGAAAAAGGAAGAAACCCAGGAAGAGGGAAGGAGGAAGGAATGGGGGAGAAAAGAGTCTCAGCTGCCCTCGTGCTGAGGACTGACTCTGGGACAGGGCCTGCAAAAATGAGGCCACATACAACTGAGATATTAACCGGGGCTCCTTCTGTTATTTCCTGTGACCACACAACCTGCCGCACATTTGAGCTGCGGCATTCACTACCTGTGGCAGAGGTGGCACGGAAACAATGGTCACATCTTGGATTTTGAGATGAAAGGCCTGGAAGAATATGTGACTGGTTGGAGGGCAGGAGCAAGAGGGGTTTGCCCTTGTCCTCCACCTCAGGCAGAGTTCGAGGGTTGGTGGCCTGTTTGGCACTGAAACCCCAGACTTTGGCGGAATGTGGGAGCTGAGAGCAGACCCTGGCTTTTCCAAAGTGGAGCCTGGGAGAGTGAACACAGCCTAGGGTTCCCCTCTAAGGCCTGCCACCTCTGTGTGTAGCAGGAGCATTGCACAGCCACTGACTTGTGTGTCTTTTTCAGGCAGGGGTTCCTGACCTACCTCTCCTGGGCAAGTCCGGTAAGGAGAAGGGGAATCTTCCCCTGCACCCAACAGTGGTGCGGTCCAGGAAACCCTCCTAGAGCCTGGGAGGCCCCAGCTGCGACCTGAATGGCACAGTGACCACAGAATGCACAGGAAGCAGAACCTCTTGGGGTGCCTTTCTGTAGGAATGGTAGGGCTGCCCACCAGAGGTAGAGCCCACTTCAGGCTCCATGCTCCGTAAGCCCACCCCAAAACATTCAGGCAACACTGGGGATGGGGCATCCTGAACTGATTGAGGGTTCTCTGCCACTGAGAGGAATGGGAACTTGGAGTAGAAATTAAGTTCAGTGATTGAAGCAGTAAGCAAAGTAACTTTCTGGTACATCAGAGTGAGTTACCTGAAATTCTTAGCTATTCATAAAATGATCCTCACAATGCCACTGTGGCAGGTACTTCTCTTTTCTCCATTTTATAGACTAGCAAACTGAAGTTCAGAGGCATGGTGTAATTCGCCCAAGCCACAAAGCTTGAGTGATCTGTAGAGTCTGGGTTTGAACCCGATCTCTCTGCCTTCAAATTTAATGCTTTTATCCACTAAGGAAGGAAAGCAGATGGGAGCAGTGGAGGGAAGAGAAAGAACTGGGAGGAAACAGCAGTATTGGGAAGAAGAGGTGAGGGGACGGGGAGCCTGTCATCCTCCCTCCCAGGATGGAGTTGGTACTGGGTCAGAGAAGAGTGGCTGTGAAGAGCTTTGGTCTTGGTTTAGAGGACAACACAGGACGTACGCTGGTGGCCTGGCACATAGATGGCCAGGTGGAGGGAAAAGGATGAAGCAGCAGTTCCAAGAGCCGTGGCATTCGTGTAGCAATTATTACCTGGGCCCCCAAGAGCACCACCTTTCCTCCCAAGAGTGCCTGTGGGAACCTCTTCCTGAGAGGCCAGGCTGGCTCTCTTCTTCCCTCACTCTACATGGAAGATCCCTTTCCAGGCTGCCACAACACACTACCTTGACTAGAGCAGTCCTTCAAGCCGAGTTCTTTTTCTGTTGCTCCTTCTTGCATTGGGCTGGCCTGTATCAAGTGAAGGGGTTGGGCACTGTAGCTGGTGCTGGGGGGAGCTAATTGACAGTCCAGGGCACTCTTGCCCTAGGCTGGCATTTGCATGATCCATTAGTATTCGTGCCCACAGCTCAGGGCTGCTCTGGATGGAGGACACTATGCAGATGAGCATTGAGCAGGGTGTGCAATGAGAAATTGATGTGGTTTGCTGGGAATCAAGGCTACTGAGTGAGGAGACTGAGGAAGGCTGCAGACCTGAGACTGGGGCTTCTCACCTGGTTCCCACACTGCCAGTCCCTGGGGTATCTGCTGTCTGTGATGTATGGGCTCCCAGCCAGTCCCTCCAACAATTTAGCCAGCAGCCACCGGGCCCCTGCTCTGCCCCACCTGTCCTGCGATGGCACCAGGGAGGCAGTGAGAGATGAGGTGGGTATGGTTCTGGCCCTTAGAAAGCTCACAGTTCCGTGGAGAGAGAGTGGAGTATGCACTATTTGCAATCAACCAAGAGGTCACACCAGCTGAGAAGAGACATTTAATTAAACCTGGGGAAGGAAGAGTGGGGCATGGGGAGAGGGCCAGGCCAGGCTTCTCAAAAGAGGAGATGCTTGAGCAGGGTCCTGAAAGATGAATCAGAATTTGCCAGCCAAACACCACTCTTAACACATGACTTTGTTCAGTGTCCTCTTCCTTAACCAACTGCAGAGGAGTCACGGTCTACTTCACTCTCATAAGGGTGCCCTGGTGAGCTGACCAACAATGCTTCACTAACCCCATCTATGGGCTCACCAACCTGCAGCTGGAGGGACTTTGGAGAAAGCAGGTCCAGCCACCATGGTGACTTAACTCGATAATGCCTGTAATTCATGATTGAAATGAGCGACTGAGTCACCCAGAGCAATGGGATCTTCCTAAAGATCTCCAGGGATGGAACCTTCCTAGCTTCTATATGCAACCTATTCCAACTTCTACGCAGATCTAGGAAGTGCTTTCTAATATCTCATGAATTTCTGCTGAACTGAAAAGCATTGACTCTTACTACTCCAGGAAGAAGGGCATGGAATACCTCATCTGAGAACCCATTGTGCAAGCTGCCAGAGCCACACAAAGCCCTGAGTGTCCTCAGTTCAGCATCAGGGTGGGATGGGGGAGCTCGCATTTGGTGGGGGATACAGATACAGATAGTAAACAAAACTTTCTACCACAGAAACCAAGTGGGCGGGACTGGTGGAGGGCTAAGGGATTTGACCTGCACCTCAGGCTCTGATTCTGACTGTGCCCATCTGTGGTGTCATAGAAAGGGGCCGGGGGAGGTGGCTTACGCCTGTAATCCCAGCACTTTGGGAGGTCAAGGTGGTTGGATCATGAGGTCAGGGAATCAATACCATCCTGGCCAGCATGGTGAAACCCCGTCTCTACTAAAAATACAAAAATTAGCCAGGCATGGTGGTGGGCACCTGTAGTCCCAGCTACTTGGGAGGCTGAGGCAGGAGAATCACTTGAACCTGGGAGGCAGATGTTGTGCCACTGCACTCCAGCCTGGGTGACAGAGTGAGACTCCGTCTCAAAAAATAAATAAATAAATAAATAAATAGATAGATATTTGGTCTCTGTCTCCCATTCCTAGCACAAAGCCCCTAAAACCCTTGGAGTTTCCCGAGTGATGAGGGTATAGGAGCATCTTTTGTTCCAGTGAGGTGACTCTTGGTGAGCCTTTGATAGCTTCAGGATTGGGCTGGTCACCAAAAAGACCAAGCCTTGACTGGAAGCTTGAGACTTTCAGCCCCATCCCCAACTTCTGGAGAGAAGGAAGAGGCTGGAGATTGAGTCAGTCACCATTGGCCAATAATTTGATCAATCATGCTTATGTAATTGAACCTCCATAAAAACCCCTAAGCACCAAGATTTGGAGAGCTTCCCTGTTGGAGAACGCGTCCAAGTGCTGGGAGAAAGGCATGCCTGGAGAGGGCATAGAAACTCGATGCCTCATCCCCCAACCCCATATCTTGCCTGATTCAGTCATTTCATTTGGCTGTTTCTGAGTTGCATCCTTGAAAACAAACCAGTAAACATAAGTAAAGTGTGTTCCTGAGTTCTGTGAGCTTCTTTAGCAAATTATTAGACCTGAGGAAGGAGTCTTAGGAATCCTTGACTTATAGCTGGTTGGTCAGAAGTACAGGGGGTCTGAGACTGGCCACTGGTGTCTGAAGTGGGGGCAGTTTTGTGGGACGAGGCCTTTAACCTGTGGGGCCTCTGCTAACTCTGGATAGTTAGTGTCAGAACTGGATTGAATTGTTGGGTACCCAGAACTGGTGTCCGAGAACTGGAGAAAAGTCGGCGTGAGCAAGAAAAGAGAACTACTCAACATTATTATGAAAACTCAGAAAGAGTCTCCCCAGAAAACAAGGGCTCCTCTAGAGTTTTACTACTGGAAGTCAGAGGGCCTTTATATGCCATCGAGCTGGGCCCTATTTTCACAGACGGCCCACGGAGGGGCGAAGTCTGTTTAGCAAAGCACAGAGAGACAGTGACAGAGCTGGGACTGCAACTCAGGGCTCTGGAAAGTTTCCGGCATATTTAAAATTCCCTGAGTTTGCTGTAACTGCCAAGACCTCCCCTGTAGGTCTAGATGCACATTTACTCTTGGCTTCCTGTGAGGCACAAATGAGCACAGGAAAAGGCCTCTGTCCAAAAATGTTCCTTCTTCCCCTTTACTAAATGCCCTTAAGATGACGTAATATCACATGAAGCTTAAACCACAAATATCTGGAGGAAGTTGGCACTGACCTGGAATTCAGACTGAAGTATAAATGACTGATATTATACTGTGAGCCAGATTTGCTAGGTAAGTGATGAGGAGGAAATATGAGCACTGGAGATTTGAATCCTGTTAGAGGGGTGGGAGATGTGGGCGGGGAGAGTAGCCTGAGGCCTTCAGTACATCACCGAAGCAGGTGTATGTGTTTAAAAATAGTATGAGTCCTGGCTGGGAAAGTCTGCACTAGGTAACCTTGTTTTCACTTCTGCTAGAATGCTACTTTGTGTGGTGCATTCATTCATTCATTCTTCATTCATTCTTCATTCATTCATTCATTCATCTACCATTGATATTCACTGCACTCCTGCCTGTGCCTGCCCCTGTTGCAGTTTCCAGGATACACTGGTGACCAAGATAACATTTTCTCTGCTTCATTCTCAGAGGGAGGGGAGGTCCGGACTGACAGTGATAGGTAAGCAAACAAACGAATCAGATCATGTCTGATGATAGCAGGACTCTACACTTGATCTTAGCCAAAAACCAAGAGGTGATGGTGATGTAGCACCCTAAACACAGTGGAAGGGCCAACTGTATTAGGGCTGAAGGGATCAGCCTGAGAAAGAAGGCCTTACAAGAAAAGGAGACTGATTGTGAAATTTGAATGACAGAAGTTACTTGTGTTTAGGATTTGGGGCGAGAGAACTTGAGGTAAAAGAAACAGCAAGGCCTACAGCCTCACAGAGTGGGCTGGGTGTGCTCAAGGTGCAGAGAGAAGGGGATGGGGCTGGGCCTAGGGAGCTTGGGGAGAGGTTGGAGAGGAGACAGAGGCCAGATTACAGCGGGCCTGTGGTGCTCCGTGAGGAGTGTGGATTTTATAAGCAGAGTAGTGAGAAGTCATGTGAGATTTTTTAATAACCTTTTCTTTTGAAAGGATTATAGACTCACAGAAAATTCCCATAATAATACTGAGAGGCCCTTGCACCCTTCACCCAGTTTCCCCCAGTGGTAACATCTTAGGGAACCACAGGACAATGTCAAAGTCAAAAAACTGACATTGGCATGGTCCACACACCTTGCTTGGATCTAACCAGTTTTATATGCACTCTTATGGGTGTGTGTATGTGTGTAGTTCTGTGTCATTTTATCACACACATAGATTTGTGTAAACACCACAGTCAAGATACCAACTGTTTCATCACCACGGGGGGCTCCCTTGTGCTTCTCAATTGTAGTTGCCCTACCCCCAGCCCGTCAATGTGGGAGAATTTCACACAGTGAAAGCAAGGGTGAGAGCAGTCAGCTGGGTCAGGGACATGGCCTATCCAACTTTGGATGTCCCAGAGGCCTTAGAACAAAGTAGGTTCACCATGAATACAGATGATTTTGAATGCCTTCACTTTGCAGGGGAGGAGCATGAACAGAGAGTTTAAACAACTCAGTCATGGTCACACAGCGCTTCTCATGGCTTACTGAGTATCTCAATGTACATGCAGGTATTGGCTGGAAGGTAATGGAGAGAACCTGTTGCCCCCACCTTGAGCCCTCTCAGTCTCATTCACTGGGGTGGGGTGGAGATGAGTGTGCTGGGAGACTGGTGAATGTCCTTAACCCTCAAACCCTGGAGCTCATCTCCTTCTTGCAGCTGCCAGGCTCATTATTCCCTGCACATGGCAGATATCCCAGGGCCGCCTGCAGGCATGTGGGGCTTGGGGCAGTTGGAGGGCAGACCTGGGGGAGACCCTCAGTTCTCCAGTTTCTTTGCTAGGGACCCAGTGGCTAAGTTTACTTCATGAGGCTGGAAATAGGGCATAGGTTTTAGCCTCAGGCTTCATTCCCCAGGATAGCTCCCGTCAGTTGTAAAGGGGGTAACTTCTGCCCTGAGCCTCCATTTTTTCTCAAATTGTTCATGGGAGAGGAGTATGAGTGATTGCTACCTTTCAACTTCAAGACCAAGCACAGTTCTGGGTCCAGAATGCCTGCTGCAAATAACATCACAGTTGTATTTTGCGTGGTCTGCTCAGAACTGTCTGAAGGTGTGGGTGCACACCAGTGGGAGGAGGCAGGGGACCAAGAGAAGGGGGTCTAGCAATATGGAGAAAGAAGGAGAGAGGTCAGGGGTTGGGGCAGCCCTGGGGCCTTTCCAGGACACTGAGGGAGAGGAGAAGGGCCGGCCCTTGCCCAGGGGCCTCCTGCACGAGGCCCTTACCTGCAGGACAGCCCTGGCCAAAGTCTAGCGGCAACCAGACAGTCTCATTCCTTCTCTGCTGACAATGTGCAAATCTTGATTGCCTATAGCATGGCTTTCTCCTTCTCAAGGGAAATTTCTGTCTGTTTCTGCCAGCAGTCCTCCATCTTTTGGGGTAAGTGCCGAGGTGACAGATGGAGTCATCGTCCCCTACCTCTTCCTTCAGTGCCTGCAGCCTCCCAGGCTGCTCCATCACCATTCCGGGGCCATTGGGTCAGCCTCCCCGCCTGGCTGGTCTCCTGCCCTCTGGCCTCCGGGGGAGAAGGCACATCCTTCCTCTCTAACACTAATGAAATCTTCCTTCTGCTCAGAGCCCGAGTGGGCTCGGGGTCAGTACTCTTACCTGCTTGGCTCAGCTCTGCACTCTGGCTTGGTAATTACACCCCACACCTCACTGTAGTCAGGCCCCGGCTCAGCTTCTCTGCACCGTCACCGGGAATCTTAAAAAGTCCTCTCCAGGCTTCAGGGACTGTGGGTGTGTAAATTCTCTCCCTTCTCTGGGTCCTCTGCAGGCCTGGCATTTGCTCACGTGGATGCTCCCCCCAGCACACACACTCAAGACACCCTTCCCCGGGCTCTGTTCCATCTGGCTGAGTCCCAGTCCTTGCTCTTGGCTTCGCTCATGTCATGCGGCCTCTCCCCCAGGGAGCCTTCCTTGGTTTACTTTACAGTCTCTCTCTACCTTCTGAGACCAACATGTGGTGCCTGCTTGCTTCTCGGAGCTCTGAACACCCGCTGCTGGGAGCACTGGGCTTTGTACCTTGTAGATGCATACACTAAATTGTGAATGGATGAGCAGATGAACAAATGAATATGTAATTATGTGTCTATCCTCCTCCTCTGATGCTTAACCGTATGTTACTTTGTTTTGCTTTTTCACTGCTTCATAGAGAGTGATGATGGAAAACCCTTGAAGGAAGGACACTTTTCCTACATGTGACTACTCATTCATCACCCAGGCTCATCCAGCAGACCTCATCTGCACCAGGCATAAGGACACAAGGGAACTCATGAAGCATGCCTCTGCCCTTCGAGAAGCCCTAATCTCAAGGCTCTTGGCCCTTCCTGGGATCCTTTTGAAGATCTGATGAAACCCTGAACTCTCTTCCCGGAAACACAAGCACATCAAATGGTAAAAATATGGGGTAAGTGTCAAGAAGCCCTGAAATCATAATTTAAGAACTGCTGGTTTGGTGAGAAAGAGAAGCAAGTTGATTAGGCAATTTTAATATCTTTTGCTAAAGGCTATTCCAGGAGGCACCATCAGCTTATATTGGGGGTTCACAGAAAATAAAGTGATTGACTCAGTTTGAGGTGGGACAGGGTGCTTCTAGTAGGTGGGATCAAGGAAGATATTTCAGAAGGGCTAACTCTTGAGGAATGAGTGGAAATTTATGAGGCAGTCAAAGGGAGGCAAGGAGGAAGGTGAACCAGCATGAACAACATGCAGACCAATGTGTTTATTGGTTGCCAGGAGCTGGGAGGAGTCAGGGTTTTTTTTCTGGGGCAAGAAAAATGTACTGTGACTGGGCCGTGCGCAGTGGTTCATGCCTGTAATCCCAGCACTTTGGGAGGCCAGGGTAGGTGGATACCTTGAGCCCAGGAGTTCGAGACCAGCCTGGGTAACATGGCCCCTGTCTCTACAAAAAATACAAAAATTAGCTGGATTTGGTGGCATGCGCCTGTGGTTCCAGCTACTCGAGGGGCTGAGGTGGGAGGATTGCTTGAACTGAGGAGGTGGAGGTTATAGTGAGTTGAGATCACTTCACTGCACTCCAGCCTGGGTGACACAGCCAGACCCTGTCTTAAAAAAAAAAAAAAAAAAGTTCCGTGACTATATCGTGATGATGATGACCTTGTGAACATGCTAAAAACATGGAATTGTGCACTTTAGAAGGGTTCATTTTATGCTACGGTATGTGAATTGTGTCGGTTAATTTTGCGTGTCAACTTGCCTAGGCCATAGTACCCAGTTGTTTGGTCAAACACCAGTCTAGATGTTGCTGTGAAGGCAATTTTTTCAAAGAAATTAACATTTAAAGCAGGAGTCTTTGAAGAAAGTGGATTACTCTCCATAATATGGGTAAACTTCATTGAGTCAGCTGAAGGCCTTCAGGGAAAAAGACTGAGGTCTCTCCCAGGAAGAAACAATTCTGCCTGCAACTTTTCCCTAGGCTTCTTGCCCTGCCAATTTTGAATTTCCCTTGACTACTTGCCCTGCCGATTTTGAATTTGCCAGCCCCTACAATCATGTAGGCCAATTCCTTAAAGGAAATCTCTTTCTCTCTCTAGATATATAGATATGTCTGTGTGTGTGCATGTGTGTAATATATAATAATGTGTATAATATATATACACACACATCCTGTTGGTTCTGTTTCTCTGGAGAACCCTGACTAATACATGAATTATACTTCAACTTAGAAATGTTCATTAATGAGGGATTAAATAAATTATAGTGAGACCATAAAAGACAAGTACACAGGCGTGTACCAGTGTGGTGTGCTCAGGGTGGCAGGTACAGGCTGGGGAGGAAAGAAAGCTGGCTGGGGCAGGCAGGGCCCAGACAATGGCTAACCTTGACTATCAAGCTGTGGCCCTCTCTTGCCTGCAGGATAGCAAATCTTAGTTGGGTTATTTTTGATTGCAAAAACCAGAAACTGACTCTGGCTGAAGAAGCTATGAGAAGGGTATGGGGCTCACACACCCAGAAAATGCTTAAGAACCAAATCCAGAAACTGGCAGGAGCCAGGGAAATCCCAGAAATCTTGGCAGCAGGAACTCATTACTTGGATTTCTTAAGGATAAATCAGTTGCCACCACTTTTTGTTCTTGATTCCTCTGGTCAAAATGCAGGATCTCAGGAAAGACAATGTGATTGGTCACATGTGAGTCCACGTGCCCAACCCTTGCACCGGAGTGCAAGGCAGAACCCCTTGTTTGAAATTTCTGCCAGTTGGGTGGTGTCTGCGGCTGCTGCTGGGAAAATGGGGAGTAGAGGCTTGCAGGTAGATCAGCTGGAATACATGGCACAGGTGACACTGGAATCCCTGACCTGCTAATGAATGAAAACAGGGCCTGATGTCCACTGAGTTGAGCAACAGGGCCTTTGTTACTGCAAGGACGTTGTCCCCACCTCCGGCTGTGTTAGGATCACAGAACACCTGTCACCAGGGAACAGAGCTTTTTCGCAGGTCCCTGATGTTTGTAGCTGTGTGACCTTAGTCAACACGCTCAGCCTCTCTGAAATGCAACATCTGGGGGAAAAAATGAAAGAAAAATGAAGCAAAAAGAAGAAGAAGAAGAAGGAGGAGGAGGAAGAGGAGAAAGGTAATGTCCTCATCTGTTTGGGACAGGCCATTTTACGCACCTTCTGGGCTTCTTAGGACGATAAAATGAGAAAACGCGTGGGGTGACGTCTGGCCCAGCGTCTGATGATTCAAATGCTCTGTCCCTCCAGTCTTGATGATGCTGAGTCTAGAGGAAGGGCAAAAGCAGCCTTTTCCAGTCTGTTTTCAATTAGTTTGAGCCCAGCTGGGGCTGGGGCTGGGGCTGGGGGTCCTTGGGCTGGGCTGGGTTGATCTTTCCTTGGGCTCCCTATTTTCTCCTCCTCCTTCCTGTGCCAGGCCCAGAGGCAGCCTGGAGGCCTTGGCCTTCCTCTGAGATCATGTCATCAGCAGCCCCTCTCCCTGGCCCCTTTGGGAAGGGAAGTGAAGCTCAGCCCTGAGAGGCGGAGGGTGGGCCTGGTGGAGACTCAGAGCTGCCCTAGCTCCCTTGATGATTCCTGGAGGCACTTCGCAGAATAGGGTTTATGAATCCTCATGACCCTGAAGGTGGGCCATGTGTCTGTGTGTGAGTCTAGGCATGCTGTTGACTCACAGGGCTCAGCTCTGGGCCACCAGCCACCCTCCCCGTCCACACCCTGGGCCCAGAGCTGGGCTCTGTGGGCTTGAGTTTGGGATGTGGAGAGGTGTGGTGAAGGAAGGAGCAAAGGTTTTATCCTTAAGAAATCCAGCTGAGGGAGGGAGGATGGGACTCCCTTCCAGGCCCAAGACCAGAGGCCCAGGCCAGGCCAGGGTTGTGTAGGGGGATGAAAGACCTAGATCTGGCTGGGTGCGGTGGCTTACACCTATAATCCTGGCACTTTGAGAGGCCGAGGCAGGCAGATCACCTGAGGTCGGGAGCTTGAGACTAGCCTGACCAACATGGAGAAATCCCGTCTCTACTAAAAATACAAAATTAGCCGGGCGTGGTGGCGCATGACTGTAATCGCAGCTACTCAGGAGGCTGAGGCAAGAGAATTGCTTGAAACTAGGAGGCAGAGATTGCAGTGAGTGGAGATTGCGCCACTGCACTCCAGCCTGGGCAACAAGAGTGAAACTCCATCTCAAAAAAAAAAAAAAAGAAAAAAGAAAAAACAAAAAAAAGAAAGACCCAGCTCTGAGCCCACTGGGTGTGGCTACAGAGAGGGAGGGTGGCAAATGGAAGAAGATGTGGAGAGGGCAGATAAGTGAGCCAGAGACACGGAAGGAAGAAGGGAGAAGCAGAACGCAGAGAGAGGGTGGAAAGGTGGAGGAGGGTTTGAGAGGCAAAGGGCGAAAAGGAGCCTGGCTAAGAGAGATTTGGGAAAGGAAGAGAGGGAGAGGGAAAGAGGGAGGAGAGAGAGAAGGGGAGGGGGAAACGGGTAGAGAGAAGGACATGTTGAGAGGAGAAGAGAAAGAGAATGGCAACAGAAAGAGAAGAGGAAGAAAAGACGAATGGGTAGACAGAAACAGAACAGAGCAATGGAATGAAAAAAGGAGAGACAAGGTGGGGAGCACACAGCCTTGGAGGGAGAGAGGATGCCAGAGGGAGGCCCGGCAGCCACCAGGCTCTTTCCAGCTTCCCCAACGTGCGATGGAGGGCGTGCTGGCTGGGAGTCACCTGCCAGCCTCCTGGAGGGCCTGCACCTGATCAGCTTGTTTTCGCCATCTGAAGCTCTAAATGGTCTATTATCACAGAGAGAGCTCTTCACGTGTTTCCTCCCACCGCCGCCCCCGAGGAACACGTGCTGTATTTGTGAGGTGACTCATCTGGCTGCCACAACCTCTGGGATCCCAGGCAGAATGCACGTTAGGAGTTCACCTTCAATTGGCCACAGGGCGGAGGAGACGAGGCCTCAGTGGGGAGAGGGTGTGGAAGGAGCAACTTGGATGTGCCAGTCTTCTATCCTGTGGGGGTCGGGCTGATGCAGATGGCCAGCGGGATGCTCTGTGGGGGGATGGCATGATGTGAGTGCCCCCTGCTCCCTGGTGCCTTTTTTAGGCTGCCAGTCTCACCGAGGGACCTGAGAACTTGTCTAAGAAATTCCTGTTTCTCTTGGCAGCAAAGTGATGAGGTGGAGAATGGACACTCTCTCTCCCTTCTGGCCACAACTCAATTCCCCCAGGCTGTCTAAGTGCATCCTACTTCTCCTTTGTCACATTCATCAGTCATCACGTCACACTCATTGTGAAGTATTCTCATTATCATTGCGTCTTGCATGCCAGTAGACTGAAAGCTCCCTGACTGCAGAATGAACCAACGAATGAACCTATTTGCACCTATTTGGGAATCTACTTGCACCTATTTGGGAATCTACAGATGCTGCGTTTTTATCCCATGGAGGTATTTTTGACAACCATAAGGAAGGTGAAGTTCAGAGACAGGCAGCCACTAACTTGCAGGATACAGCTGTAAAGATGAGTGGGGGATTTAACCAACCCAAATGTGACTGATTGTAGAGTTGTCCCAACCATCTGGAACCTTGCGGCCCCACACAGATCACCATTGACATGCATTACCCAAGTTATGGAGTGATTGGTACTCTCTTCTTGCATGTTAACCCAATACAACCAGCCAGATATCCTTAAAGAAAAAGAAGCGAGAGGGGCTGTAGCAGACAGGAGATGTGGTCTTAAAATGGAGAGGATGGCTAGGTCCACTTTAAGGGGATTTAGAAGGTGACTGCAGATCTGTGCAATATCCCAGTGATGGTCACTAGAGAGTGCAGGAGTTGCATCTCCTCCTGGGGAGGGAATGTTGGCTTTCATCTTTTTAGTCCAAAGGTCCCCAGCCTGGGATCACCCTAGGGTGTTCCCACCACCCTGGGTTCCTCTTGCCTCATAGTTACCTATGATTTTCAGGCCTGGATGAGAGGCAGGGCGAGTGAGCTCCATGGAAATACCTGTCTCCACAGCCTGCAGGTGCACACACGTACTGCCCAAGCTATCCGGCTCTGCGGGCCCCAGTTCCACTTTTGACTCCATCTGTCCTTGGAAACAAAAGGGAAGAAAGGCTGTTTCTTCCACCTCATACTTTAATTTAAAATTTAGGCTATGTTTTCTAGGGATGCATGGAATCTAGTCATGACCTATTTGAAATACTGAAAGACCAGATAAAACCTCTCAGGACAGAAGGGGTGGGACAATAGCACCAAAATGCTTCTCCTGATAATTGTCCCAAACTCATACCTCTAAACATCACCAGCGCTGTTTCAGTGGAAGGCAGAATTGGTGGAAGAAGGCTGTGGAAGTTATTATAATTTTGGAGCTAATAAAAACCTCTCTCAGACAGGCTTGGCCTTGGACGTTACTTGACTCCCACAGCATACCAGATGAAATCTGGTCTCTGGGGACTTTTAAATCATCAATACCCAAGCCTCAGCAAAGACAAATTACATAAGAATGTCTGGGAGCTATGGCTTTTGGGGAGAGTGATTCCTCAAAACACTAACATCAGATATATCTAATTCCAGGCTCTGCCACCGCTCATCTGTGAGTCCTAGAGAAATCACTTCAGTTACTTGATCCGTGGTTTCCCCAAAAGTAAAATGAAGCAAATCATGGTGCAAATTTCATGGGGCTGTTGTAAGGGTTTTATGATATAATAGCTGCAAAAGGCCCCGTACTGTGCCTGGCACACATTAGGGATTCAAACATTGGCCATTGTAATTTTACTGTTATTATTCTTATTGATAAATATTGACTAATCGCTGGCTAAAATTATACCCTTCTTTGAACCCTGGGGAAAGTATATGAACTTGATGGTAGATGGGCACTGCTGGGGGAAGATTAATGGAGGTGTCCTGTGCTGCCTAAATAATAAATCTCTTCTCAAAGTGGACTCCAAGCAGAAGTGTCTTTCCTGTTATCAGCTGGTTGGAAAATATTAATATCACCCACATTCTCAATTGGCCTAAAACACCACCACTAGAGGAAATGCTAACATGGCTGGCTTGGTTTAAGACATAGACTGCAAAGCATCCCGTAACCACAGCCAACATTCTGTTAATCTTATCAGAGGGAAGCAGAATGCTTTAGCAGCTGATGGAGGGCAGGGATTTAAAGAATTCACTTTACTACCTACAGAAACAAAGAACAAGACTTGGAAACGGGGGCTCAGAAGCAAGAAGGGATGATTTCAGTTCTGATATGACCATACAGACCACTCAGGGAAAAACCCACCATGGATGAGTTCCTTCTTGTCACTATGAAATAAACTATAAAGAGCGATTGCTATAAAGCATGGGTGGGGTCATTCTCAATATTTCTTTCTGTCAAGGTAATAAATCCCAAATTCATAAGCCCCTTCAGATAAGGTTAGATGCAGGCCCCTCACTAAGGTGAACCTGACCTTACTTCTACACCCTTCAATTGAGTGACCAAGGATTGATGAGAAATATCAAGTATTTCATAAATATTTATTTTCTAAATATACAACTATAGAAAAGTGAGGTGTAACATATAGCTTGGATGAAGGGTTAAAATGTTAAGTATCTCATTGAGAAAAATGTGTTTGACATTTTTACATTAGAACAACATAATGGAGCAATGCTCACGCTAAACTGGGAACACTAATGTGAACTCAACTTAAATATTTTCCCACTTCTGTCACTAACAGTGGACACAGCAGCAGCAGCAGCAGCAGCAGCAGGAGTAGTACTAATGCCCACCACAACTCTCCTGTACCCCTAAATGGCCAGACTTTGTCTCTAACAGTTTTCTCCACTTAAAGAAACAGGGGCTCTTTGGAAGGGTTGTCCTGAGTAGGGTAAAACAAATGGTTTAAGCCTGGAAGTTTCTTTTGTAACCAGAAAGCAAGGATGCTTTCTAGAATATCACAGGGTGGTTCTGGAAGGACTAAGAAGCTAGATTAAAGAGGTTTCCTCTGGTCAAGCTCTGAGATTTTGAATATCAAATAAGATTGATGGCTATAATCAATTAAAACACATGGAGTCTGTGAAGAGCTGTAAGTTCCTAATGAAGCTATGAAGAGAAAAGTTGATGTAAATGGCAAATGCGATAGGGTTTTATTTCATATTATTTTTAATGGCAGATTTATATATGGGTGATATTATTTCTTCTATTAAATATATGTTGGGTTATTAAGCATCGATAGGCACTTTTCTCTATCCTTGTAAGAAGGAAAGAGTGAATTTTGAATACAACTAATAGTCCTGGAAAAAAATAGAAATTAGTAGTCATGCTTGGTAACATGTAAAGAGGGAACTGATAACATGGAAGGATAATTGGCCAAATGTGCTCGTAAGGACAGCAAACTGCAGGGTTTAAATTCCTCGTCTTGGCCGGGTGCAGTGCCTCACGCCTGTAATCCCAGCAGTTTGGGAGGTTGAGGTGGGTGGATCACTTGATCCTGGGAGTTTGAGACCAGCCTGTGAAATATGGAGAGACCCCATCTCAAATACAAAAAATACAAAAAATTAACCAGGCGTGGTGGCATGAGAATCTCTTGAACCCAGGAGGCAGAGGCTGCAGTGAGCCGAGATCACAACACTGCACTCTAGCCTGGGTGATAGAGCGAGACTTTGTCTCAAAAAAAAAAAAAAAAAATCCCTAGTCTCCTAGGAGATGAAGCGCACTTTAGGAAACACTCTGGTCTCAGAAAAGGATACCAATGTGAAGGCACGGACTTTTATATTCTTAGGCCACATTTAAGCTCAAGTGCAATAATGTTGGGAGACACTTTATCAGTTTCAAATAAGAATCAGTAACCCCAGAGCTGGCTGGCCTGAGATTATTTTTCTTTTGGTTCTGAAAGAAATTTGTATTCTTAGGAGAAACTGTATCACTTCATACTCTAATCCTAGGAAACGATCGCATTGACTCTAAGAAAGTAACAGAGAAAATATAAGAATAAGTATAAAAGTACTTTTTAAAACCAATATATACCCATAATCTTCATGCCTTTGTAACCAGTGTAAAGGTAAGTGTGCATATATATTTTTCAATCAGTATGACGTTTTGTGTGCATTTTTGCTGACTTTTTAGGTGTTTGAAACATTTAAAAGGGTCTGACATATTAAACTTATGGTTTTATTTAAAAGTGTTGGAGAGTGTGGTTAAATAATTTTGTAAACAATGGTTTATAAGTTTGGGAATTTTTAATTGTTTCAATTTTTAATAAGTTTTTGATTTATTAATTGTGCAGATAGTGTTCGAATGTCAAGAGGAATATTGTTTAATAGATGTATAAAATTCGGAAGTTAAATGTTAAACAAAGCACAAATATGAATCAGGAACACTAATCAGTGCTTTGTTTAATATTTAACTGATTGCTGAGTCAGTTTTGGTGACAAATATCCTACCAATGCATCACAGCCAAGATTCCAGAGCCCCCATGTGGGCAAAACAACTCGGTATTACCCTTATGGAACTGTAGTAAAAGCAGAAGGGACAGATACATTTTTCCTTGGGGTATGTCATGCTGAGCTTGCATTTTACTATGGCGATTCTTAGAAAAGGAGAAGTCTTCATGTCTTAAAGGAATTGATCAAATGGAGCTTTTCTTGGTCCTTTGCAGAAGGTGATTTAATTCTTCTATTAAATATATGTTGGGTTATTAAGCATCGATAGGCACTTTTCTCTATCCTTGTAAGAAGAGTGAATTTTGAATACATCTAATAGTCTTGGAAAAAAATAGAAATTAGTAGTCATGTTTGGTAACATGTAAAGAGGGAACTGATAACATGGCAGGATAATTGAGGGGGATCTTTGGGACAGGAGTCCTAACCTCTCCCCCAGTTTTCTCTGGTGCTTTCTGCTAGTGCCTGCTAAGACCTGAAGTTTACTTGTTTTCCATCAGAACTCTGAGATTCTTATTTTATTAAACCATATAATCAGGATTTTATAGTCTAGGAAAACATAGACCATTACCTGCTCAGCGCCTCCAGCTAGTGACATCTTAGAAATACAAGCCCCTAGTTCTCTTAGTAACCAAAGGAGTGGAGTCCTTTCTGAAGGCTTGAATTCTATCTGACACTACACATTTGTGGATTTCTCTGCTTTGATGCCTTCTTGACAGATAACGTGCAATCCCCCTTTTCAAAGTCTAAAGAAAACAGGATTGAAACATTTGGGAGCAAATGCCCTGCAAATATGGCCAACCTTTTTTTTTTTTATCTTCCTTTTCATTAACCACATTGAGAGTCATGCATGAAACTTAGATCTATATTGGTGTTTCATTTATAGGAAGTGTTCAGCTGTCTGTCATTTTTATTCACCCTAAGCATCTTGAACATCCTACCGAACTGTAATCTTGAAAGCTAATGCTTCATGAGAAACCTTTTCTTTTTTTCTTTAGAGCATACAAGTGTGTCCTATTTAAAAGGAACCCAAGATGCCAAAATTCTCACATAGAAACTTAGACATCTTGGCAATTGTTCTTGCAATGGAAAACTGGGCTTGGTAGAGAGATGGTTCCCCGGGGAAACTGACCATGGTGGAGTCGCACAGTCTTGCAGTAAGCCTTCGGACACAGGCTGAGTTCAGAGTCCCTAGGGCCATCTGGAGCTGCCAGCCAGAAAGTAACACACCTTTGTGAGGATGGCAGCCCGAGGGATCTACACTCCATCAGGACTGCCATTAACAGCAGGTGTCCTTATGGGACTGGAAGGCCGGGGAAGCTTGTCCTCCAGCCATGAGCGTTGCATAGTCTCTCAGTCCATTAAAAGAGCCAAATTAAAGGAACATGCATCCTTTTCCTAAGTCTGTGATATCTTTCTAACCATTATGCTCCCAAACTTTATGATAATCATGTAATAACTAAACAAGGAACTTACAAAAGGTATCAAATGAATACAACTACAATAAAGTCCATTTGGATAAAGCCCCAAATCTTTACCTGCCCCTTCCCGCCCCAGGCCTTCTATCATTTGACCACTGTTGCCTCTCTGGCTTCATCTTGGCAGGTCCCCTCATGTGCCCTCTGCACTGAAAGATGGAGGTAGGTGTCTTGGACTGAACCTCCCAGGAGGCATGAAATTCTGAGATCCTTCAATGAGGCTTCTGCCATGAACCCTCCCCTGACACCTCCCCAGCAACCAGTTCAATTGGTACCATCTTCCCTGGAGGCACTTCTATTGGAGTTTTTTTGTCATACTCTACTGCAAATATTAATTTATAGATCTATGAAGATGTGGGCTCTGAGGACAGGACTGTGTGGGATTCATCGCTATCTATCCAGTGGCCTGTACAGCACAACACTCAAAAATGTTTGTTCAAGGAGTAAGCAACAGCCACTAATGACTCCAAACCTGGCTATCAAGTAAATAGATAAGAGCCAACCCGGCCAGGTGCTTTCACTCACACCTCTAATCCCAGCACTTTGGGAGGCCGAGGCAGGCAGATCACAAGGTCAGGAGTTCAAGACCAGCCTGGCCCACACGGTGAAACTGTGTCTCTACTAAAAAATACAAAAATTAGCTGAGCATGGTGGCATGTGCCTGTAATCCCAGCTACTTGGGAGGCTGAGGCAGGAGAATTGCTTGAACTGGGACCCAGGAGGTGGAGGTTGCAGTGAGTGGAGACTGTGCCACCGCACTCCAGCCTGGGCTACAGAACGAGACTCTGCCTCAAAAACAAATAAACAAAACAAAACAAAACAAAAAAGCCAACCCAGGAAATAAACACCTTTAGAGGGCAGTTATATCTCAGATTTTAACAAGAAATATTTACTTTCTAATATATATGTGTATATATATATATGTAATATATATGTGTATATATATATACACACACATCCCCAGAGTGAATTTACAGGTCCAAGTAACATATACTTTCTGATATATATATATATCTCCCCAGAGTGAATTTACAGGTCCAAGTAACATATAGGAAATGTCTTCATTTCTCAGCCCAAGAAAAGGCCATTTATTTACTGACTTATGTATTTACTTACTTCTACTTTTTTGAGCAGTCTTAGGTTCACAGTAAAATTGAGCAGAAAGTACAGAGAATTCCCATTTATCTGTCTCCATACACTTACAGCTTCCCTCACTTCAACATTCCACATTACAGCGGTGCATTTATTACAATCTGTCAACCGACATTAACACATTATTACCACCCAAAGTCTATAGTTTACATTAGGATTCACTCTTAGTCTTGTAGGGAAGGCCATTTATAATGTACATTCCCAAACTGTCTCTGTGCTTGGTAATTTATGTTGAACATTACTGCGAGGATGTGGTGAGAATATTTTCATTTTTCATGAATAGAAGGATCTTGAGACTCTTTGATATATGGTAGAGAGTGATGTGTTAGCTGGTGGGATAACAATGCTTTTCCTTAAGAGTGGATGTCTAAAGCAGAAGTCAGCAGAAACAGGCGATTTTCTGTACCAAAATTTGCCTTACGATCAAAATTTCAGGCCCGCAGCCATTTCAGCGGGTCATAGCACTATCCCAAGACCGTAACTTTGATACAAGCCACCACTGAAAGGTCAAAATTCAAGACAAATTGTCATACTGCTATTTTTTAAGGCTAAACAAAAATTTTTCTATTCATATTGTGTTTATCAACAGTGTGCTTTTAACTAATTAGCCATGAAGAAGGGGGAGATTGGAACAGAGGAGAAGTTTACCATCTAATGTATGACACCAAGACAGTTCAGTCAAAATGTAGAGAAAACAGAATCTGTTTGTTCCGGCTGGAATTGAGAGGACAGTTCAACACTTCGATATTTCATCATCTGTTATTGTAATTAGTCAGAGATATGAGCATCTAAAAATTTGGAACTGCTAATTAGAAACAAGTTTAGGCTGGGTGCAGTAGCTCATGCCTGTAATCCCAGCACTTTGGGAGGCCAAGGCTGATGGATTGCTTGAGCTCAGAAGTGAAAGACCATCCTGGGCAACATGGCAAAACACTGTCTCTACAAAAAATACAAAAATTAGCGAGGCATGGTGGCACAGGCCTGTAGTCACAGCTAGTCAGGAGGCTGAGGTGGGAGAATCACTTGAGGCTGCAGAGGTTGAGGCTGCAGTGAGCTGAGATCGCACCACTGCATTCCAGCCTGGGTGACAGAGTGAGACCCTGTTTCAAAAAAAAAAAAAAAGTTTAAACCAAAATTGTTCTAATAATCATTTCTTCTCCCTGACCCCAGAAAAAGCATGGGCCACTTGTCACCCCTCAACCTACTCCTGACAAGGGGGTAATATTGGATGATTCAGGATTTGGCTCTGAGCTGGGAATAGGATCAGTTTCTTCTCGGCAGGGGGTGGATTCCTGAACAAAATTGGGTCTGTTAGTAAGGAAGTAGGGGGAAGGAGGGGAGGACATGGAGGTGGGCTAGATAATCAGTCTGTTTTGGCTTTGAGGTCCTTTGTGGCTCTCAAATAAGAACCCCCCACAAAGAGGCCCTGCTGCAGTTGTGTTTGGAGCAGCATCCAGAACAGAAAGATATATTGAGATTTCCTGTAACTTTGTGACTTCTCCTTTTGTTTTGTTATTTTTATCTCCTCTATTTCCCTGTCTTACCAGCAGTGAGAGCCCTTAACTTAGAACAACCTAAGAAAAGCTGCTGTCTTGTTCCAGGACAGCCGTGTGGGAGTCACCTCTCAGTGGGTCTGCAGCAGGAGTCAGGGAGGTTCCTCCCAGCACCGCCCTCCTCTTCTAGACAGAAGCAAGTGGACTAGCTTCCGAAGCTTTGTTCGAATAACACTTAGGCCATGCCTGGCACGCAGGAGCTGGTCAATGTGAGGCTGAAATAAATGTGCAGAAATGGACATGGTAGAGAGGGAAGCCAAGCAATGAAATAAAAAAGCTTGGAGGTTGGTCACACTGAGAGGTGAAGCCAGCTGGACTTCTGGGTCGGGTGGGGACTTGAAGAACTTTTCTGTCTTACAAGGGGATTGTAAAATGCACCAATCAGCACTCTGTAGCTAGCTAGAGGTTTGTGAAATGTACCAATCAGTGCTCTGTCAAAATGCACCAATCAGCACTCTGTAGCTAGCTAGAGGTTTGTAAAATAGACCAATCAGCACTCTGTAAAGTGGACCAATCAGCACTTTGTAAAATGGACCAATTGGCACTCTGTAAAATGGACCAATCAGCAGGACATGGGCAGGGACAAATAAGGAAATAAAAGCTGGCTACCCTGACCAGCGGCGGCAACCCAGTGGGGTCCCCTTCTACGCGGTGGGGGGTTTGTTCTGTTGCTCTTCACAAAAAATCTTGCTGCTGCTCACTCTTTGGGTCCTTGCCACCTTTGAGGGCTGTCACACTCCCCGTGAAGGTCTGGTGGCTTCATTCTTGAAGTCAGCGAGACCACAGACCCACGGACACAACACCTGGGTTCCACTCGCAGCATTGCTGTTTCCTGGTTGTGTGACCTTGGACAAGTCACTTACCCTCTCTGAACCTCCGTTTATTCATCAGCAAAATGCAAGTAATACCACTGAAGCTAGAGGAGTCTATGGGAATCAGAAATAACACATGTAAAGCTTAAGGTCTGGGGCCTGGTGCTTACTAGGTGCTCGATAAATGGAAGCTGACTTCTCTCATAGACCAATCCTCTTGCAGGGGAGGGAACGGTGGTTAACCCCCACACTTCTAGGTTCTTTGACTGAGCTATAAATTAAATTTACATAAGACAGATTAGCAGAAGCAAAAACATTTATAATTACTTGCATAGGTATGGGGGGCGGGGGTTCCCACAATACATGAGACTCAAAGTAGGGCCAGATGATTGAAGCTAATGTAGCATCCTGAGCTACAGAAAGGAATAGGGGTGCTTTGGGTTTCTCGGAGATGGTGGAGTTCTTGGAGGGTAAGGGGAGGAAATGTATGATAAGTAAAGGTTGTCTCGTTATAAAGATAAAAAGCCTCTCGGGTAATAGAAGCTGTCTCTGAGCAGCCCTCTTCCTGATACAGATTGTTTTACTAATGTGGATTTCCTTTATAGATGTAAATTTCTTTTACAAAAGGACAGCTTTTCAGAGCTACTCCTGTGTCTGCAGTTTCTCATAATAACTAGCTTGAAAAATGCCAAAGTAGATTTTGCTGTGGCAGATTCCTGGTCGCCTACAGTCATATTTTGGAGTGGTGTGTCCTGACGCCCAACGCAGTCTAATTATTTTCTAAATTCCTGTGCCATATCCTAGCCCTGTGTCACCTGCACCAACACTACCCTGTCTCGTTGCTCATGCCACACCCTGGTGTGAGGCTGGGTCAGAGAACTGGCAAAGATACTGGGACCCTGTTGGCATCATGGGATTTGTGGGTCAGCTTCCCTGGGGGTGAATTGCTGAACAAAATTGGGTCTGTTATCAAGGAAGTGCAGTCGAGGGAAAGGAGGAAATAGAGGGGGGCTTTGTGGATGAAGTGGCAAGAGTTCAGTCTGTCCCCTTGGAAGACCACAGGTGTGGGATATCATGAGTGCAGGTGTCACTGACGGCCCCCATGCTGAGCTGCCAGGGGCCCTGGTGCTCAGCCGAACCTCTGCTTTCCCTTAGACTTCGGTGTGAGGTTGCTTTGATTATTAAAAACTCCTGGCCCCTCCCTGATTTCTCAGGGGTGATGACTTTATTGGTAAGAAGGTAGACTCTGGAGTTGGCCAGAGTTCTAATTCTGGTTCCACCATTGACTGGCTTTGTAACTTCGGGCACGTTGCTTTTGCCTCCCTATGCCTCAGTTTTCTCAACTATAAAATGGGCATAACACTGGTACACATTTTACAATATTAGTAACAAGTACAGCAACTGTGAGATTTAGCCAGCTAATACATATGACAACATGACATCCTTGGCACAGCGTCTGCAAAGCACTTAATAAATGTCAATTATAAACAATTCTCAGAAAAAGATATACAAATGGCTAAGAAACATATGAAAAAATGCTCAACATCACTAATGATAAGGGAAATGCAAATCAAAACCACAATGCGACACCACCTCACTCCTGTAAGAATGGCCATAATAAAAAATCAAAAAACAGTAGATGTAGGTGTGGATGCAGTGAACAGGGAACACTTCTACACTGCTCGTTGGAATGTCAGCTAGAACAGCCACGATGGAAAACAGTGTGGAGATTCCTTAAAGTACTAGAGGTAGAACTACCATTTGATCCAGCAATCCCACTACTGGGTATCTACCCAGAGGAAAAGAAGTCTTTATATGAAAAAGATACTTGCACACACATGTTTATAGCAGCACAATTCGCAATTGCAAAATCGTGGAACCGACCCAAATGTCCATCAATCAACGAGTGGATAAAGAAACTGTGGTATATGTAGATACAATGGAATACTACTCAGCTATAAAAAGGAATGAATTATCAGCATTTGTAGTGACCTGGATGAGATTGGAGACTATTATTCTAAGTGAAGTAACTCAGGAATGGAAAACCAAACGTCGTATGTTCTCACTGATGTGTGGGAGCTAAGCTATGAGGACGCAAAGGCATAAAACTGATACAATGGACTTTGGGGACTTGGGGGGGAGGGTGGGAGGGGGGCGAGGGATAAAAGATTGCAAATGGAGTGCAGTGTATACTGCTTGGGTGATGGGTGCACCAAAATCTCACAAATCACCACTAAAGAACTTACTCATGTAACCAAACACCACCTGTACACCAATAACCTATGGAAAAATAAAATTTTTTAAAAAGTCAGTTATTACTGTGATCATCAGAGACCCCCAATTTCACCCCATCCCTTACCCAGGCGGGCGGACCTACAGGACTGTGGGGCAGGCGCCGCCCCAGCGTCAATCCACCCTTGCAGTTTTGCCTCCATCTGCCTGGGGAGGCCTCTCATTGCGAGAGCTTTCTTCTGAATCTCACAGTGGCTCTGTCTGGTTTGGACTGAGATGATTCCCATCTTGTACATGAGACAGCTGAGGCCCAGAGAGGATGCCTTCCTTCAGCAGGGTCTGAGCATAGTCTGCAGCAGGAGGAGGATTGAGTCCCAGGTCTCCTGACTCCATGTTTGGTGCTCATTCCATCCCATCCTCAGCGTCTGGAGAATAACGGGGGTGGGCCGGCAGAGGAAGGGTCAGGAACTGCTTCCCCAAACCCAGCTCCTGCAGGAGGCCAGAAAAGGCTCTGACACTTCCACCCCATAGCCTTCATGCCTCCCACGTGGCTGCCAGGAGGCCTCTGACGGAGATGTGAAAAATGAACCAGTAAATGTATCATGACTTGTGAGGCTGTCTTAATAATTAAGTTTTATTAAAATGAACACCAAGAAATTTCCTGACATGGTCTGCCTGGTGGAACTCATCAAAAGGTGATAAATGAGTGGGTTCAGGGGAAAGAGGATCTAAAGGAGGAAGTAGGGACAGAGAGAGAGGCCCCAGGGTGGAGAAGAGAGGGAGGAGGCAGGGGGAGGCTCAGGAGCCCTGAGCAGCAGTTCAGTTCAGCACCTGGCCCGCTGCTTCCCTGCTTTGCTTGGAATTACTGCTGAGGGCACTCAGGGCCTTGCAGACTGGCATGTGGAGCCAAGCTTCAGTCACGGCGGACTTTAAATCCCAGCTGGGCCACTAGTAACTGTGGCAGCTCTCCTTCCTGGGTCTTCCTCCCTCCCTGAGCTGTGAAAAGGGAGATGGATCAGAACAAACTACCCTCGCCCTTGAAGGGAAGTGGATGGCCATCCATTTATGGAAAACTTGGTCATCCGATCTGGTCTGCAGACATTGACTAATATACTCACCAAACAGTGGTTTCTTCTGGACAAGGTATTGGGACTGGGGAGGGTGTTGTTTAGAGCAACTCTCTTATTTGGGTTTTCCACAATAAGCATTGATTGCTTTTGTACAGAAAATGAATGAACACTTCCACCCCATACAGATTCTAGAGCACCCAACCGATAGTTCAAGATAGGGGGCGAGATGGAGCACAGACCCCTCTTAGGAGCCTGCCAGGCACTCCTCTCCCCAAGCATGGAAATAAAGGAAAATCTAGAAATTCCAGGCACGTAGCAAGCCTTGAAAAGTAAATGCGCAACTTGACAAGCAAGAAGGTAATAGTAGCTTAAGACAATAGCCAAGGAAATTAGAGTCATAGGATATTTGGTTTCCTGTAGAAACTAAAGATAACATCTCAACCTACGTCCCTGAGTTGTGTTTCAGAAACCCAGACCTCCACCAAATGGAAAGTGCCATCTGCAGGCACAGAGACCTTGGATAAGGGGAAGCTGAGGACCGAACTCCAACCACCATGCTTTCTCCTAAGTTTCTTGCTGAGGGACCTGGAAGAGATCATGCCCACGGGCAAGAGCTAACGTTCTTTTCTGCCTACACCAAAATTTTAGACAAAACTTCACCTCCTTAACCCATCACAACACTGAAAAATCTTTGAATCCACCTTTCACTTGCCACACTCCCAAACTTCCGCTTCAAGATGCTTTGCCTTTTTAGGCCAAACCAACACATAGTCTCCATGTATTAATTTATGATTTTGCCTGTAACCTCTCCCCCTCTACCTTTAAAAACCCTTACCTGTAAGCCATCAGGGAGTTCTGATCTTAAGCATGAGCTGCCCAATTCTGCTTGCTTGGCGCCCTGCAATAAATGCCTCACTTTCTCTGGCTGCAATCCCAATATCAGTGTTTGGCTGCACTGTGCCGGGTGGGCAGACCCAAGATCAGTTCGGTAACAAGAGTAAAAGTCTGCTGAGAGACAGGTCCTGCCCTTGGGGAGCTCACGGTGGTCTAGGGGAGAGGGGGCATAGGGCAATTCTGTTACAGGCATGTTGATTCTGTTGTGTTAAGGGCTGGGGCAGAGGGAAGCCCAGAGTGGCTAATGTGGGGCATAGGGAGGAGCCTCAGGAAAGGTTTCCTGGGCAAGGGGACACCTGAGCTGAGATGTGAAGAAGAGCTCTTTTACTATTTAGTAGAAGAGAGGAGGAAAGGAGAAAGTGGGGGCCAGATGTGCTCAAGTGAAAGTGCAGAGGCCTGAATGAGCACTGGGAATTCAAAGACGGGCAGCTAGTTCTGTAGGAATGGGGCGACAGCTCAGATTGGCTCTTCCATTTTCACACAGGGATATCAATTCCACTATCTGCCTGGCTGATAACTCTGCCCTCAATCAAGAATAACGGCATTCTGGGCCTTGCCAGGAAATACGTGAACCTCTGCTGTCCCTATCTCTTATTAAGAAAGAGAGAAAAGCTCTATTGAAAGAATTGTTATTTATGGAGGATTGAGTGAAGGACATTCATTCTGCAAGAGTATAGGTTTTATCCATGAATCAAGTCAGGTCATCAGAAAACTTGCACCCAAGGACAGAGAGATCAATGGAAGAGAATGGAAAGGCCAGAAATAGACCCAGATACAAATGGGAATTCATTGCTAGATAAAGGTGGCTTTGCAATGCAGCAAGGAAAAGATGGCTCACGTGTTGAAAGCCGGAGAGTAAGAGATATGAGAACTGAGAAGCCTCTAGCGGGTTTGGTAAGGTGGAGGGCATTGGTGCCCTCAGAAAGCACAGTCTTGGTACAGTCAGTAGCTGGGGAGGCAGGAAGTAGAGACAGTGAGAGGATCCACTCTTGAGAGAAGTTTGGGCACAACCCAGAGGGGAGGCATGAGGCCACACCCCAAAGGCGATGAGGAAGGGAGAGAGGGATGTTAATCTTTATTCTTATGGGAAACATGAACATGTTTTTAAGATATATTGTTTTTTGTTTGTTTGTTTGTTTTGAGGCAGGGTCTCCCTCTGTTGCCCAGGCAGGAGTGCAGGGCGTGATCATGGTTCACTATAGCCTTGAATTCCTGGGCTCAAGTGATCCTCCTGCTTCATCCTCCTAAATAGCTGGGACTACAGGTGTACACCACCATGCTCAGCTAATTTTACATGTTTTTTTGCAGATCGGGTCTCACTATGTTGCCCAGGCTGATCTTGAACTTCTGGCCTCAAGGAATCCTCTTGTCTCAGCTCCCAAAGCTTGAGGATTACAGGCATGAACCACCACACCCGGCTCAAGTTATCTTGTTAAGCACAAAAGCAGTACAGAATGTTAGATGCAGAATATATCTCTTTGTTTAAAAATGGGGCTGGGGAGAGATTCTATGCTTATGCAAATAACATTTCTGGGCAGAAACACAAGGAACTTGTAATGATGGTTACCTCTGGGAAATGGGGCAAAGGGCTTCAGCTTTTTCCTTACATACTGGTTGATTTTTTTTTTTCATTATAGCCATTAAAAAAATTTTGTTTGAGACAGGGTCTCACTGTGTCTTCCAGGCTGGAGGGTAGGGGCGCGATCTCGGCTCACTGCACCCTCCACCTCCTGGGCTCAGGTGATCCTCCCATCTCAGTCTCCTAAGTAGCGGTGTGCCACCACATCCAGCTAATTTTTGTGTGGTTTTTTTTTTAGTAGAGATAAGGTTTCTCCATGTTGCCCAGGCTGGCCTCAAACTCCTGGGCTCAAGCTATCCACCCACCTCGGCCTCCCAAAGTGCTGAGATTACAGGAGAGAGCCACTGCACCTGGCCTAATGATATTTTTTAAATAATAAAAAAACTATTAATTAGATGCCCTCAAGAGCAGCTCTTAGGCGCCAAAAATATTGATGAAAGGTTTCTTTGTTTTTCAAAATTAACATTCAATTTATTAAAGTAACAAATTCATATGGACCCAAGTTCCTCCATAAGCTTTGAAATTCAGCTTACGAATCTTATTATTTATTTATAGGTCTAGCAAATTTTAACAATCACATTTAAGAGTACCTTTGAGAAATGTTTCGTCTCATTTACAAATGTTTTTAATTAAATTGCTCTAAACATTGTAAACTGCATTTATAGGCTTAATATATTTTAATTCCTTTTTAAGTACTTCAATTGTCTAACAAACCTTCTCAGATATTTAAGTAATTGTTATAAATCTAATTCATTAAACTTCTAAAGACGGCAAGGCTTAAATTCTTTTACAGGTTCCAAATCTTATTTAAATACAGTAAGATTTCAACTTAGAATCTGATGTCAAAGTCAATTGCTCCGTTAAACATTTTATATTAGAAGGAAAAGTTCATATATGACTCTGAAAGGCCACAGATTCTTAAACATTACAAGTGTGTAAACATAGCTTATTTCAAAGCACAAATATCTTAATAGAAAGAATATAGTTCTATTCCATACTTCTATACTTAGTTTCCTTTTTTTTTTTTTTTTTTTTTTGAGATGGAATCTGACTTTGTTGCCCAGGCTGGAGTGCAATGGCGTGATCTCAGCTCACTGCAACCTCCACCTCCTGGGTTCAAGCGATTCTCCTGCCTCAGCCTCCTGAGTAGCTGGGACTACAGACAGGCGCCAACACACCTGGCTAATTTTTGTATTTTTAGTAGAGATGGGTTTTTGCCATGTTGATCAGGCTGGTCTCTAACTCCTGACCTCAGGTGATCCACCCGCCTCGGCCTCTCGAAGCCCTGGGATTACAGGCGTGAGCCACCGCGCCCAGCCTATACTTAGTTCTAAATCTTCCTTGGGTTAGAAGATGCTCACCTATGGTCCTGCCAATGTCATCTTCCTCATTCTAAGAACCTGAGCGTGGATGGGGCCTCCCTCTGCTCCCTGCTACCTCCCTGCCCCTGCACCAGCCTCTCCTTCTTTCCACTGGTAGTAAAGAAGCTGTTCCTCCTCCCCACTCAGGCCAAAACCACCTTTGTTTTGTGAAGATCCTCCAACTTTCTTATTGGGTTGGTGCAAAAGTAATGGTGGTCTTTGCCATACTTGCCTGATATTCATCATTCTTTTCTCTCATATAGATCTAATTGTTTCCTCTCAGCTTGGACAATGTCACATCAGCATTTTAAATGTGCTCAGGTCTCTCTCTTAAATACAATAAAGCTAAAAACGTCGACCTCTGCACTGTATTAGTCACTTTCCTGTCTACCTCTGACTCACGGCCAGCTGCTTTCAGAAGCTGTCTACACTGGGTATCTTCATTTCCCCATCTTTGCCATCCGCCAGCACATTCCATCTGACTGTGCTTGTCAACTCCGCCAAAACTTCTCTCCCTAAGGTAACCAGTGATAGTCATGTCATCACATCCAATGCCTACTTTTGAGTCTCGGTTTTATTACACTCACATTCTCAGTAATGTTTGACTCAGGACTTGGTTTATTTGAGACATTGTACTCCCTTGCCTTCCATGAAATCATCCTTGTATGATTTTCATTCATCCTTCTTGGCTATTCCTCCTGCTATAGACTGAATACTTGTGACCCCTAAAGTTCATATACTGAAATCTTAACCCTCAAGGTGATGGTACTAGGAGGTGGGGATTTGGGGAGGTGATTAAGTCATGAGGGTGGAGTCTTCATGAATGGGATTAGCGTCCTCATAAATGAAGTCGCAGAGAGCTTCCGTACATCCTCTACCATGTGAGAACATAGCCAGAAGGCAGCATCTATGAGCCAGAAGGCAGACTCTCACTTGCACCTTGATCCTAGACTTCCCAGCCTCCAGAACTGTGAGAAATGAATTTCTGTGGTTTATAAGCCACTCAGGCTATGGTACTTTGTTATAGCAGCCTGAATGCACTAAGACACCTTTTCTGTTTCTAATAATGGATTTCTTTTAGCCTTGGCCCTAGATCCTTTACTCATTTCACCCTCTGCTTTTTCCCTGGAAATTCCATCCATTTAAAAATTGTATTTATTTTATTACCATCTCTTTGCAGATGACTGCTAGGGTTAGATCTTCACCCCAGACCTTTCTTCTAAGCCCCAAACCTACGTATCCACATTCTGACTAGACATATTAATGTGGATCTACATATCAGCTTGAACTCCTGCTCTCTCCCCTGCTAATCACATCCTCCTCTTGGGTGTCCTTTCTCAGTGAATGACACCACCGTTCATTCTGTTTGCAAGCCAGATTTGGGAGTCACTCTTGACATTGCCTTCTCTCTCTCTACCCCATGCATCATCTGTCACTATTCCCTGTACATTTTAATTTAGAAATCTCTCTTAAACCTCCCCACTTGTCTTCTTCTCAATTTGAGCCTCCCTAGCCCCAAGCACTATTATTTCTTTACTGGAAAAATGCACTAGTCCCCTCCTTGGTCTCCCACATCTGGCCCGTGGTACACATCCTCTCACTTGTCTTCCAAACCACATTCATCGTTCCGGTTAGTTACAAACATGGGCTTTCTGACCCTCCCCCTGTTGGATTCTCCTGCTGCTTCCTCCTGCTCCATGTGGTTCAGAAACATTGGTCTTCTTTCAGTTGCAGGAATGGACCATCTCCCTCCCTCTTGGGACCTTGCACTTGTTCTAGAATGTTCTTCTGAGGACCTTCCCCCAACACCTGCTTAACTAGCAAATTTCTTCCCATTTCTTAGGTCCTAGTTCAAGAAGCCTTCTCTGCCCTCCGGACCCAGATAAGGTTCAGAGCAGTATCTGAATACATGTATTTCTCTCTCACTCTCTCTCTCTCTCTTTCTGTCTCTCTCTTTGTGTTTGTGTGTGTGCGTGATGAAGGTCTGACTCCACCAGTGGACTGTCCCTTGAGATTAGGAAGTATCTATTTTTTTGTTTCTTCAGTGTCGTCAGAACCTAGCACAGTACTTGGTACATAGTAGGTGCTCAATAAAAGTTGACAATGGCAAATGCTTCGGAGGCCAGTGCCCTTCACATCCCTTGGTTCCCTTGGATGAAGACATTTCTTTGAGCAATAACAGCTTGGAAAAGCTCAGTTTTCTCTAAAGGACTGATGTGTGAGAGGGAAGCAAGGGAAGGAGGATGGAAAGAAAAACAGGTGGTTTATAGCCTCTGATAAGGGGCAGGCTGGGTTTTCTCCCTAGGAATTTGCAGAATCATGTTCACATTCTAGTGAGAATAATGGATATATTGTAGGATCTATAGCAAAGGTTTGTTGTACAGAAAAATTTTATCATCTGTATGAAATTTTGTGTCTCCTCCTCACAAACTGTAGCATGTTAGCTCAGCCAGCTCTGGGTGTCTGCATCTCTCTCCAGCGTCCAGCATGTCCCAGTGCTCATGTTCCTGAAGGATCCCTCACATGGCTTGGAAGTTGAAAGACTGAAAGATCATCAGAACAGGTGGAGCATGTGTACAGAGAGCACTTGTGGCACACAGGTGACAGTGGAAGTGATCATATGGGAGCTCTGGAGCTTGCCTCCTAACCGTCTGGGCATCCACACTCAAGCCAGTAGGGCAGAGACTAGAAAGCAGGCTGTCCACTGAGTGGACACTTTCAGAAATGTGGATGAGGCACAACACGCCCTGTCTGGTCGCTGGATGAGGTCCCTAAGCCAGGCTTTGGGGGTTAGAATTCCATGATTCCCAAGCGTCTTGGGCTGTCTGTTCACAGGTCCTGTGTCGAAGAAACTCAAGAGTGGTGTAGGTAGTGGCTGAGAGGATGCAATGTCTTTATACTTAGGGCAGATCTGAATGTGGACCCGCATTTGTGGTTACCCAGCTCTCTGACCTCAAGCAATTCCCCATATTTCTTTGAGCCTGGGCTCTGCATCTGAAATACTGAGACAGTGGTTCCACTTGACTGCATTGTTGTGAGGTTTTGAGATGATAAATATTACCGTACTCAGTTCAATGTTTTCACTGCCATAGCTTTGAAGTAAGATTCGAAATCAGGAAGTGCAAGATGGACTTTGTCTAGCTTTGTTCTTTATCAGGATTGTTTTGGCTATTTGGGGTCACTTGCAATCCATATGAATTCCAGCAATAGCTTTTCCATTTCTGCAAAAATGGCCATGGGATTTTGACACGGGTTGCATTAAATCTGTAAATCACTTTGCAGTATAAATAACTGCAAAAAATGCTATGAAACTTTGACAGAGATTGCATCGAATCACTTTGAACCTATAAATCAATTTGTAAATCACTTTATAATATTAAGTATTGCCATCTTAACAATATAAGTCTTCTGATCATGAACATGGATGTCTTTGCATTTATTTCCATCTTTAATTTATTTCAATGATATTTTGTCGTGTTTAGAGTATATATAAGTTTTAGACTTCTGTTAAATTTATTCATAAGGATTTTATTTTCTTGATGCTATTGTAAGTGGGATTGTTTTTTGAATTTTATTTTTGGATTATTCATTACTAGTGTATAGGAATTTTAATTTTATATCCTGTAACCTTGCTGATCTTGTTAATTAGTTCTGATAATTCTAATAATGGATTATTTAGGATTGTCTCTATATAAGGTGGTATCATCCGGAAATAGTTTTATTTCTTCCTTTCCAATTTGAGTTCATTTTATTTCATTTCCTTGCCTAATTGTTCTGGCTAGAACTTCCAGTACAATATTTAATAAAAGTGCTGAGAGCAGACATCCTTGTATTTTTCCTGATCTTAGAGGAAAAACATTCAGTCTTTTACCATTATTTATCATATTAGCTGTGGATTTTTGGTAGATGTCCTTTATCACATTGAGAAAGTTCCACTCTATTTCTAGTTTGTTGAGTGTTTTTATCATGACGTCAGTTTGGATTTTGTTAAATGATTTTTCTGTGTCTAATAAGATGATCATGTGTTTTTTTCTCTTTTCTATTGAATTATGTATTATATTAATTAATTTTCAAATGTTAAACCAACTTTGCATTCCTTTGATAAATCCTATTTGGTCATGGTGTTAGTCTTTTTAACAGACTGCTGGATTCAGTTTACTAGTATTTTGTTGAGGATTTTTATGTTTATATTCATAAGCAGTATTGGTCTGTAGTTTTCTTTGTAGTGGCTTTGTATGGTTTGGTAATGGGATAATACTGGCCTCACAAAATGAAATGGAAAATGTCCCCTCTTCTTCTACATTTTAGAAGACTTTGTGAAGAATTGACATTAATTCTTTAATTTAAATATTCTGTATAATTCACCAGTGAAGCTGTCTGGGCTTAAGCTGTTCTTTGTGGGAAGTTTTAAAATGACAAATTCAATTTCTTTGTTATTTGGTAGTTTTAAAATTTTATTTTTATTTTTTTTATTTTCATAGGTTATTGGGGAACAGGTGATGTTTTGTTACATGAGTGAGTCCTTTGGTGGTGATTTGTGAGATTTTGGTGCACCCATCACCCGAGCAGTATATACTGCACCATATTTGTGGTCTTTTATCCCTCATCCACTCCCCACCCTCTCCCCCTGAGTCCCCAAAGTCCACTGTGTCACTCTTATGCCTTTGCATCCTCATAGTTTAGCTCCCACTTATGAATGAGAACATATGATGATTGATTTTCCATTGCTGAGTTACTTCACTTAGAATAATAGTCTCCAATCTCATCCAGGTTGCTGTGAATGCCACTAATTCATTCCTTTTTTTGGCTGAGTAGTATTCCATTTATATATATATATATCCACTCGTTGCTTTATGTGCATTTGGGCTGGTTCCACGTTTTTACAATTGCGAATTGTGCTGCTGTAAATATGTGTGTGCAAGTATCTTTTTCGTATAATGACTTCTTTTCCTCTGGGTAGACACCCAGTAGTGGGATTGCTGGATCAAATGGTAGTTCTACTTTTAGTACTTTAAGGAATCTCCACACTGTTTTCCATAGTGGTTGTACTAGTTTTACATTTTCACCAGCAGTGTAGAAGTGTTCCCTGTTCACCACATCCATGCCAGTGTCTATTATTTTTTGATTTTTTTATTATGGCCATCCTTGCAAGAGTGAGGTGGTATCACATTGTGGTTTTGATTTTCATTTCCCTGATCATTAGTGATGTTGAACATTTTTTCATATTTTTCTTGGCCATTTGTATATCTTCTTTTGAGAATTGTCTATTCATGTCCTTAGCCCAATTTTTGATGATTTTTTTTGGTAGTTTTTTTTTTTTTTTTTTTTTGCTAATTTGTTTGAGTTTGTTGTAGATTCTGGATATTAGTCCTTGGTCAGATGTATAGATTGTGAAGATTTTCTCCCACTCTCTGGGTTGTCTGTTTACTCTGCTGACTGTTCATTTTGCTGTGCAAAAGCTCTTTAGTTTAATTAAGTCCCAGCTATTTATCTTTGTTTTTATTGCATTTGCTTTTGGTTCTTGGTTATGAAATCCTTGCCTAAGCGAATGTCTAGAAGGGGTTTTCCAATGTTATCTTCTAGAATTTTTATAGTTTCAGGTCTTAGATTTAAGCCCTTGATCCATCTTGAGTTGATTTTTGTATAAGGTGAGAGATGAGGATCCAGTTTCATTCTCCTACATGTGGCTTGCCAATTATCCCAGCACTATTCCTTGAATGAGGTGTCCTTTCCCCACTATATGTTTTTGTTTGCTTTGTCAAAGATCAGTTTGCTGTAAGCGTTCGGGTTTATTTCTGCGTTCTCTCTTCTGTTCCATTGGTCTATTTGCCTTTTTTTTTTTTTGAGATGGAGTCTCGTTTTGTCGCCCGGGCTGGAGTGCAGTGGCTCTATCTCAGCTCACTGCAAGCTCTGCCTCCCGGGTTCATGCCATTCTCCTGCCTCAGCCTCCCGAGTAGCTGGGAGTACAGGCGTCTGCCACCACACCTGGCTAATTTTTTGTATTTTTAGTAGAGACGGAGTTTTACCATGTTAGCCAGGATGGTCTCAATCTCCTGACTTTGTGATCCGCCTGCCTCGGTCTCCCAAAGTGCTGGGATTACAGGTGTGAGCCACTGCACCCAACCCTATGTGCCTATTTTTATACCAGTACCATGCTGTTTGGGTGACTATGGCCTTATAGTATAGTTTGAAATCAGGTAATGTGATGCCTCCAGATTTGTTCTTTTTGCTTAGTCTTGCTTTGGCTATGTGGGCTCTTTTTTGCTTCCATGTGAATTTTAAGACTGTTTTTTTCTAATTCTGTGAAGAATGATAGTAGTATTTTGATGGAATTGCACTGAATTTGTAGATTGCTTTTGGTAGTATTGTCATTTTCACAATATTTAATCTACCCATACATGAGCATTGGATGTGTTTCCATTTGTCTGTGTCATCTATGATTTCTTTCAGCAGTGTTTTGTAGTCTTCCTTGTAGAGGTCTTTCATCTCCTTGGTTAGGTATATTCCTAAGTATTTTATTTTATTTTTTTTGCAGCTATTGTAAAAGAGGTTGAGTTCTTGATTTGATTCTCAGCTTGGTTGCAGTTGGTGGATAGAAGAGCTACTGATTTGTGTACATTAATTTTGTATTCAAAACTTTGCTGAATTCTTTGATCAGTTCTAGGAGCTTTCTGGAGGCATCTTTAGGTTTTTCTAGGTAAACAATAATATCATCAGCAAACAGTGACAGTTTGACTTCCTCTTTACTGATTTGGATGCCTTTTATTTCTTTCTCTTGTCTTATTGCTCTGGCTAGGACTTCCATTACTAGGTTGAAGAAGAGTGGTGAGACTGGGCATCTTTGTTCCAGTTCTCAGTATTATGTAGGCTGTGGGTTTGTCATAGATGACTTTTATTACACTGAGGTATGTCCCTTGTGTGCCAATTTTGCTGAGAGTTTTAATCATAGAAGCGTGCTGGATTTTGTTGAATGCTTTTTCTGCATCTATTGAGATGATCCTGTGATTTTTGTTTTTAATTATGTTTATGTGGTGTATCACATTTATTGACTTTGCATATGTTAAACCCTCCCTGCATCCCTGGTATTAAACTCACTTGATCATGGTGGATTATCTTTTTGATATGTTGTTGGATTCGGTTAGCTAGCATTTTGTTAAGGATTTTTTGCATCTATGTTCATCAGGGATATTGGTCTGTAGTTTTCTTTTTTGGTTGTGTCCTTTCCTGGTTTTGGTATTAGGATGACACTGGCTTCCTAGGATGATTTAGGGAGGTTTCCTTCTTTCTCTATCTTGTGGAATAGTGTCAGTAGGATTGGTACCATTTCTTCTTTGAATGTCTGGTAGAATTCTGGTATGAATCCACCTGGTCCTGGACTTTTTTATTGGTAATTTTTTAATTACCATTTCAATCTCACTGCTTGTTATTGGTCTGTTCATGGTATCGAATTCTCCCTGATTTAAGCAAGGAGGGTTGTATCTATCCAGGAATTTATCCATCTCCTTTAGGTTTTCAAGTTTATGCACATAAAGGTGTTCAGAGTAGCCTTGAATGTTCTCTTGTATTTCTGTGGTTTTCAGTTGCAATGTCTCCCATTTCATTTCTAATTGAGCTTATTTGGATTTTCTCTCTTCCTATCTTGGTTAATCTTGCTAATGGTCTATCAATCGTATTTATCTTTTCAAAGAATCAGCTATTTGTTTCATTTATCTTTTGTAATTTTTTTGTTTCAATTTCATTTAGTTCTGCTCTGATCTTGGTTATTTCCTTTCTTCTGCTGAATTTGGGTTTGGTTTGTTCTTGTTTCTCTAGTTCCTTGAGGTGTGACTTTAGATTATCTATTTGTGCTCTTTCAGACTTTTCAATGTAGGCCTTTAGGGCTATGAACTTTCCTCTTAGCATCCCCTTTGCTGGATCCCAGAGGTTTTGATAGGTTGTGTCAGTACTGTCATTCAGTTTGAATAATTTTTAAATTTGCATTTTGATTTCATTTTTGACCCAGTGATATTCAGGAGCAGGTTATTTAATTTCCATGTATTTGCATGATTTAGAAAGTCCTTTTGGCCTTAATTTCCAGTTTTATTCCACTGTGGTCTAACAGAGTGCTTGATATAATTTCAATTTTCTTAAATTTATCAAGGCTCATTTTGTGACCTATCATATGGTCTATCTTGGAGAAAGTTCCATATGCAGTTGAATAGAATGTATATTCCACAGTTGTTTGATAGAATGTTCTATAAATATCTGTTAAGTCCATTTGTTCCAGGATATACTTTAAATCCATTGTTCTTTGTTGACTTTCTGTCTTGATGACCTGTCTAGTGCTGTCAGTGGAGTATTGAAGTCCCCCTCTGTTACTGTGTTGCCGTCTATCTCATTTCTTAGGTCTATTAGTAATTGTTTTATAAATTTAGGAGCTTCAGTGTTAGGTGCATATATATTTAGGATTGTGATATTTTCTTGTTGGTCAAGGCCTTTTATCATTATATAATGTCCCTCTTTGTCTTTTTTAACTGCTGTTGCTCTAAAATTTGTTTTGTCTGATATAAGAATAGTTACTCCATTTGCATAGAATGTCTTTTCCACCCCTTTACCTTAAGTTTATTTGTGTCCTTATGTGTTAGGTGAGTCTCTTGAAGGCAGCAGATAGCTGGTTGGTGAATTCTTAGCCATTCTGCAATTCTGTATCTTTTAAGTGGAGCATGTAGGCCATTTACATTCAATGTTAGTATTGAGGTGTGAGGTACCATTACATTCTTCATGCTATTTGTTGTCCGTATACCTTGTTTTTTGTTGTTGTCTTAATTGTATTTTTGTTTTATAGTTTCTGTGAGATTTATGCCTTAAAGACGTTCTGTTTTGATGTGTTTCCAGGATTTGATTGAAGGTTTAGAGCTCCTTTTAGTAGTTCTTGTAGTGCTGACTTGGTAGTGGTGAATTCTCTCAGCATTTGTTTATCTGAAAAAGACTGTATCTTTCCTTCATTTATAAAGCTTAGTTTCACTGGCTACAAAATTCTTGGCTGATAATTGTTTTGTTTAAGGAGGCTGAAGATAGGGCCCCAATCCCTTCTAGCTTGTAGGGTTTTGGCTGAGAAATCTGCTGTTAATCTGATAGGTTTCCCTTTATAGATTACCTGGTGCTTTTGCCTCACAGCTCTTAAGATTCTTTCCTTCATCTTAACTTTAGATAACCTGATGACAATGTGTCTAAGTAATGATCTTTTTGCAATGAATTTCCCAGGTGTTCTTTGAGCCTCTTGTATTTGGATGTCTAGGGCTCTAGCAAGGCTGGGGGAGTTTTCCTTGATTATTCCCCCGAATATGTTTTCCAAACTTTTAGATTTCTCTTCTTCCTCAGGAATGCCAATTATTCTTAGGTTTGGCCATTTAATATAATCCCAGACTTATTGGAGGCTTTGTTCATATTTTCTTATAATTTTTCCTTTGTCTTTTTTGGATTGGGTTCATTCTAAAACCTTGTCTTTGAGCTCTGAAGTTCTTTCTTCAGCGTGTTCAATTCTATTGCTGAGAGTTTCCAGAGCCTTTTGCATTTCTATAACTGTGTCCATTGTTTCCTGAAGTTTTGATTGTTTTTTATTTATGCTATCTATTTCATTGAAAATCTCTCCCTTCACCTGTTGTATCATTTTTTTGATTTCCTTAAGTTGGACTTTGCCTTTCACTGGTGCCTTCCTGATTAGCTTAATAACTAACCTTCTGAATTCTTTTTCAGGTGAAACAGGGATTTCTTCTTGGTTTGCATCCATTGCTGGTGACCTAGTGTGATTTTTTGGGGGGTATTAAGGAACCTTGTTTTGTCATATTACTAGAGTTGGGTTTCTGGTTCCTCCTCATTTGTGTAGTGTCTGTCAGATGGAAGGCCTAGGGCTCGAGGCTGTTGTTCAGATTCTTTTGTCCCATGGGGTGTTCCCTTGATGTATTACTCTCCCCCTTTTCCTAGGGATGTGGCTTCCTGAGAGCCGAGCTGTAGTGATTGTTATCTCTCTTCTGGATCTAGCCACCCAGGATGTCTACCAGGTTCCAGGCTGGTACTGGGGGTTGTCTGTACAGAGTCCTGTGATGCAAACCATCTGTGGGTTTCTCAGCCACAGATACCAGCACAGTATTTGAGGTGTCTCCCAGGTCCTGCAGGAGCAATCCACTTCCTTCAGAGGGTCTGTGGGTTCTCTTGGCTCTCCTAATTTATTCCTGCAGTCGTTATGCCCCTCCAGGGCCTCTCCGTACTCTTCCTGACATGTGGTGGTGGTGGTGGTGGCCCCTGCAGTTTTGCTGCCCTGTCTTCAGCTCTCAGTTTAATAATCTTTTTTAAATACCTATTTAGATTTTCTATTTCTACTTGAGTCAGTTTTTGTAGTTTGTGTCTTTCTAAGAATTTGTCCATTTCATTTGTAATTTAATTTGTTGGCATATCAATTGGCTTGTTGTATTCCTCTATACTTTTTGTATCTATGAGGTTGGTAGTAATGTTCTCTCATTCTTTCCTGATTATGGTAATTTAAGTATTCTTTTTTTCTTGGTCAGTTTAGCTAAAAGCTTGTCACTTTTGCTCATCTTTTGAAATAACCAGCTGGGTGTGGTGGCTCAGCATTTTGAGAGGCTGAGGCAGGAGGATCGCTTGAGCCTAGGAATTTGAGACCAGCCTGGGCAACATAGGGAAACCTCATCTCTACAAAAAATTGAAAACATTAGCTGGACATGGTGGTGCACTCCTGTGGTTCCAGCTACTCGAGAGTCTGAGGTAGGAGGATCACTTAAGTCCAGGAGATCGAGGCTGCAGTGAGCTGTGATTGCACCACTGCACTCCAGCCTGAGTGACAGAGCTAGACCTTGTCTCAAAAGAAACAAGAAAGAAAGAAAGAAAGAAAGAAAAAGAGAGAGAGAGAGAAAGAAAGAAAGAGAAAGAAAGAAAACAAGAACCACTTTTTGGTTTCAGTGATATTCTCTATTGTTTTTCTGTCCTCAATTTCATTAATTTCCACTTTCATTATTGTCTTCCTTCTGCTTGCTTTAGGATTAGTTTGCTGCTTTTCCCCTAGCGTCTTAAGATAGAAGTCTAGCTTATTGATATGAGATGTTTTTTCTTTTTTTAAAAAAATTTTACTCTAAGTTTGGGGATACATGTGCAGAATGTGCAGGTTTGTTACACAGGTATACATGTGCCATGGTGGTTTGCTGCACCTATCAACCTGTCATCTAGGTTTTAAACCCCATATGCATGAGGTATTTGTCCTAATGCTCTCCCTCCACTTGCCCCCCACCCTCCGACAGGCCCCGGTGTGTGATGTTCCCCTCCCTGTGTCCATGTGTACTCATTGTTCAACTCCCACTTATGAGTGAGAATATGTGGTGTTTGTTTATCTGTTCCTGTGTCAGTTTGCTGAGAATGATGGCTTCCAGCTTCATCTATGTCCCTGCAAAGGACATAAACTCATTCTTTTTTATGGCTGCATAGTATTCCATGGTGTATATGTGCCACATTTTCTTTGTCCAGTCTATCATTGATGGGCATTTGGGTTGGTTCCAAGTCTTTGCCATTGGAAATAGTGCCTCAATAAATATATGTATGCATGTGTCTTTATAGTAGAATGATTTATAATCCTTTGGGTGTATACCCAGTAATGGGATTGCTGGGTCAAATGGTATTTCTGGTTCTAGATCCTTGAGGAATCGCCATATTGTCTTCCACAGTGGTTGAACTAATTTACAGTCCCACCAACAGTGTAACTTTCTCCATTTTTAATGTAGGTATGTGGAGCTATAAATTTCCCTCTAAGCATTGCTTTAGCTATATTGCATAAATTTTTATATGTTGTGTCTTAATTTTCATTCATCTCAAAGTATTTTCTCATTTATTTTGTGATTTCTTCTTCAACCAATTGGTTACTTATGGGTATGTTAATTTCTATATAGTTGTGAGTTTCCAAAAGTTCTTTCTAATTTTATTCTTTGTGGCCAAGGAACAGATTGTGTATAATTTCAGTCCTTTTAAATTATCGAAGCTTGTTTTGTGGCCTAGCATATGGTCTATTCTACAGAATGTTTGATGTGTACTTAAGAAGAATATGTGGGCCAGGCATGTGGCTTGTGCCTATAATCCCAGCACTTTGGGAAGCTGAGGCCCATGTATCACCTGAGCCTGGGAAGTTGAGGCTGCAGTGAGCCATGATCACACCACTGCACTCTAGCCTGGGCAACAGAGTAAGATCCTGTTGAAGAAGAAGAAGAAGGAGAAGGAGAAAGAGAAGAAGGAAGAAGAAGAAGGGGAAGGGGAAGGGGAAGGGGAGGAGGAGGAGAAGTAGGAGGAGGAAGACTTCTGTTGTTGGGTGGATTATTCTATAGATATCCATTAGGCCTAGTTGGTGTATAGCTTTGTTAAAATATTCTATTTTCTTGTTGATCTTATGTCTAGTTGTTCTATCCATTATTGAAAGTGAGGTATTGAAGTTTCTAAATATTGCTGAGCTGCCTATTTATTTATCCCTTCAACTTTGTCAGTTTTTGTTTTATGTATTTTGAGATTCTATTTTTAGGAGCATATTTGTTTATAATTGTGGTATCTTCCTGATATTTTGATACTTTTATTATTATAAAATGTCCCTTTCTATCTGTATTAACATTTTTGTTTTAAAATCCATTTTGTCTAACATTGAAATAGCTACTCCAGGTTTATCTCTTCTTTTTTTAAGAACAATATTTTTTTAACCTTCATTGAACTTTGTAGTGAGGGTAAAAGTAATAGAAACATCAAATGAATACACAGACTAGATAATCTGTAAAAATAACTAGTTCTTTATGTTTACACAGAAGTCTGTCACACAGATTTCAGAATTACATAGCTTAAAGAGTTCTAATTATATAAAAACATTCTTAATTCTGAAATATTTCCAACTTCCTACTCATTTTTCTTAGAAATCTACAGGCAACATTTCATAGTTTTACCAGGTAAAGTTTAATGTCTTTTCATATGATCATCAGGAAGTTTTCTAAACTTCTCACCTGCATTCTTAATTCTTAGTCTGTGTAAGACAGAGTACAAAAACCAGTTCTCCTGGGCATCAGGTATCTCCTGACTTATAAGTAAGGGTCTCTGGCAGGATGCAAACATTTTAGGTCAAGGCCACTTCTTGGAATTTGTTTCAGGTTTAGGTACACTCCTCTAGTCCTTCATTACATTTAATGCCAATCTCTTTGTTTCACATTGCTCATTATCACTTGGAAGAAGCTACCTGTATGCATACCAAAATTTAATTTGTCCCTTCCTCCCACCTTTTGTGAGTTAATTATACTCACTTCTTCGAGTCAACCATGAAAACAAATGCACTTCTTGAGGATTTTAAAGAAATTTGGGTGTGTTGAGAAAGAAAAGACCTTCTAAAACTGCAGGACGTTTTCCTCTTTTTGCAAAGCATGAATTATTCTTCTAGGAATAAAGCTTGCTTTCCTGTGAATGGATTGAAATCTGGAGCTAGCTAACCTTCTTGAGCAGCTGTAATAGTTTTCTAAACTGTGTAACAACTAACATACCTTTATGATGTGACAGTTTCTGTGGGTCAGAAGAATGGACACGGTTCAGCTGTGTCCTTTTCCCCAGGTCTCACAAGACTGCAATCAAGGTGTTGGCTGGTCTGTATTTTACTTGTCAGGCTCAACTTGGGGAGAATCTAGTTCCAGCCTTACTCAGGATGTTGGCAGAATTCATTTCCTGTATGTGTAGAACCAAGGACGTCTGTTTCTTGCTGGGTGTTTGCTGGATGCCAGTCTCAGCACCTGGGCTTCCCACAGCTCCTTGCCACGTGGAAGTCTTCATCATGGTTACATACTTTGTCAAGTCAGCAAGGAGAATCTCTAGCATGAATCTTCCATCATAAAGGAGCCACATGATGTAATGTAATCACAGGAGTAACGTCCCACCACCTCCGCCATATTCCACTGGTTAGAAGCAAGTCACAGATCTCATCTACCTTCAAGTGGAGGTTATTACATAAAGGTGTAAATACCAGAAGGCAGAGCTGATTGGCAATTAATTTAGGGTCTGTCCACTAGTCGTGTTGGAGTACTCCTTAAAAGATATGCCCCAAAGTTACTTTCAGATTTTCTAAAAAGGAAACTGGAACCAGGAATGTGGTACCCCGCTAAATGATGCCTGGAAGTGCACCTGTTTTCTTTGGTGGTATGGTGGCTGCAATATGTGAAAACTGCCTTTCCCCATCCTTCAGCACTAAGCCAGCACATTGGAAGATGTGACAAAGACCATTACATTGAAATAGAGGCCACTTCTCTAATAAGGCAACTTTCCTTTAAAGTTAAATTGAGAAACTAAGTGACTGGATGATATCCTTTTAATGGCTGCTGAGCGTAAATGCATTTTGAGAGCAAATGCTCCTTCAGGAATGATCATTTCTAATGTTCTTTCAAGTCGTCAATTTGGAGGGTGAAGAGGAATGTGATTAGAAGACCAAACTAACAAAGAATTTTGAGACCAGCAAAAATGTTGACTGCACGGACGTATAATTTAAACTGCCAAAGTGCTAGCACATTTTTCATGCAAAATATACTTAATCAGTAATAATCCTGTTCCTCAAGAAGGCTTCTAATATGTTTTATTGCCTTTTTAGATTTTTCCCCCTTCATTTTCTAAAATATAATCATAGTTCAGCAACTCCATCTGTGAACGATCCAGCGATGAATTCTGGGTGGTAATGATGTACAACGAGTGAATAACAATTCCTTAATCACGCTGTTTCCTCTGTTGTCGCCTCATTTGAATTCCTGGTTTTCAGAAAATTCAATTATAGTTGCAATTTCATCAAGAAATTACTCAGACAAATAACTGACAGAGAGTAACAGTTCGCTTCTTTGTCAGGATAAAGGCAGAGGGAGCAGGGTGGGGAGAGAAGTGGCAAAAGACAGATTTGATTAAAAGTGTCGTAAAGAAGTTTTGCTTTCCTGAGAGGCAAAGGAGAAGGGTGACAATTTTACAGCCATGGATGTCAGCTTGGCCTGAAGATGGGAAGTGACAGGAGCCCCTAAATGAAACTTCCTCATCCATCAAGGCTGGCCTAACATCCCTCTCTGGACCCATCACCAGCTTTTGTTGACATTTATGAGGCCCCAGCCCTCATTCCAGGCAGAAATTTACAATGGGCAATCAGAGGTGCCCATGGCTACCTTCATCATCTGAGTTTCATATTGAATTCTGTAGCCATGCACACTAGGCGCTTTCCGGTTGCTAAGGAGAAGCCCTATCTTGACTTCAACGTTGCCAATAAAGATTCTCTGAGTTTTCGAAGAAGGAGATTAATCATCCTCCTCAACTAACATCTGTTGGCATTCTGTCTCCATTGGGTGATTCAGCCCATTACCCAACCACTGTCAGAGGTGATGCAAGCACCACACAGTGCGTCTCTAATCCACACTCAAAGCCTGAATTTTGTTCTGTTCTCAGTCCCCAATGCCACCAACCACGTTTCCCTCTGGGTCTTTCCATGGGAAGCAGGCCTGAGGAATGGAGACGGAGTCACAGGGGTGTCCATGGATTGGAGTGATATCAGCAGGACTTATGAGGATGGCCTTACAGTTACCACTCCATGACAATAGCCACCAGCCCAGGCCTGGGCAGGGCAGCTCCTGGGATAGAGAGTGTCTGCTCCATGCTGCATGCTCTTACCTCTCTGGAAGCAGATGTAATCATCCAGTGATAACATTCTTTTTCTCAAGGAATATTAGCTGATCTCTTTCCAGATGAGACATGCCCAGTCACGGACACCCAGGACAGCAAAGCTTGCATCTTCCCCCTGCAAACACACACACACACACACACACACACACACACACACACACACACACAATGCAGGAGAAGCTGAAGCAACTGTCCGGAAAACATATAGTATGTACAAAGTTGTCTACTCCAGCTGATGCTCCCTATCAGAAATACATTTCTCACTATCAATTAGCTTGCAGAAATTGTTTAATTAGGTATTTTTTTTTTTTTGCAAGTTCAGGTTTCTGGGAAATGGGTGGTGTCAATGCCCTTTAGCCAAAGACCAGGAACACACCTGCAGTTGAACGGAGCTGGGTTTATTGGCTCATTGCAGCAAGGAGATTGTGCACTGTGGGGAACAGTGAGGGGTCTTTGTGAGAGGGTGTTACGAAGAACTTACAAAAGGATGGGGGCTTGTGTTAAGTGACTAGGGAGGGTTCAATTGGATGCCATCAGGCAGTAGGAATCATTCTATAATTGGGTACCTATAATCTTATCTATAAGGTAGAAGGACTAGTGCAGGGCCAACATTATAAACATTGGTAAACAGTTACTCCCATTAGCCCAAAAAAGCGGGATGTCTGGTCATTTTTGTGGTTTAGACAATGTTCTTGTTTTATCTGCGTTTAGACATGACTACGAAGTGCTCTCGATTTTGTCTTGCTCCAACACAGTCAGAATAGCCTTGTCTGATGTCAATGTTCTGTGAAATTGTTCAACAGGAGACAAACTGTGAGGACCAGGCCAGCTCCCGTCAGTTGGGGCTGCTTGCCTCTTTCTCAGCAACAAACTTTTTCAAGGTTGTGATCCCCTTCTTCATATCCATGCTCTCGGTAATCGCACACACTCTTCTAAATACTAAGCACCTTCTCTATGGCAAGTGTCAGGTGATGGGACTGGAGCACTGAACGTGTCAGCCACAGTCCCACCCTCTCAAAGCCCCTGGCCTTGCAGGGGAGATAATCACGATGGGGTGTGATGAGCGCTCAGCTTGCGATCCGCAGGATTTTATCAGCCTCAAAATGGAAGGGATCCTGCGTGGCCAGGGGAGACATTCTGAAAACCGATAGAAGTTGGCCAGAGAAAGAGAAGGGGGAAACTGTTTCTGGGGATCGGGGCGGAGGTGGTCGGAGCAACTGGGTCAAATCTTTAATTCTTGAGATGTGAGAGCTACAAGGGGTTTACAGGGGCAGGAATGAGGGGTGTGGGTGGATAGCAGGCAGGAGCTAGAACACAGGAGGCCTTGCAAGCCCTTCAGAGGAGTCTGGGCGGAATTTAGCCTATGGTGAGTAATAGGGAGCCACGGAAGGGTTTTCAGCTAGGGAATGCTGTGGTCTGATTTACATTTTCAGGATACACCTACAGAGTGACTGTGAGAAAGGAAGACAGACAGGGGTGGGTGGCGGAACTGAACATCTTGATTTGTGAGTAGATGCGGGGTCCAACCCGCAGACCCTGGCTGAGTGATGGATGAAAAAATGTATGCAGACACAGATTTTTTGCCTGGCTGCACGGCTAAGGGACTGGGCCACTCACAGGCACCGAGGAGGGTGCTGTAAAGAGTCAGCAGCTGCAGCCTTGACAAGCTGGTGCTGTGGGCATATATTCAGTACAGATTTAATGACAAAGGCTTTGAGTCAACACACTTGTGGGTAATTAACATGGTGGCAGGGGGTGGGGTGAGGGTGGGGTGGGGGGTCGGGCGATCCTTTCCCCCAAGAGAGCAGTCCTGAGCATGGATGATTAAAGGCCATGTTTCAAGGCCTAAGTAAACTAACTTATCTAGATTAATTCCCTTACACTTCCTTGTTATTTACTCTGAGAAAATTCAGCTGCCTTCAGCCAAATCCTTTCCCAAAACTTTTGCAAAACCTCCCGGCCTTCCAAGAAGGTTTGAGTCTTTCTATAATTTTTATAATTTTTCCTACCACCCTGACTGAACTCCTACAAGTAGAGACCCCAGGCCCTATATGACTGCTTCTAGTTATCAAAGCAGGAGAAGGAACTGCAAAGGAGGGTGGGGTCTGAGGGTAGAGTGGAATTAGCTGACCCATTGCTCAGGAGTACCTGGCAATGCTGCTACTTCTAATCCCAACTGGTGTCCACTCAGCATTTAACATACACCGCCGGCACTGTTCTGTTCTAAGTTCCTTATGTGGATTATTGTATTGTATCAGCACAATAGCTGTATGGAGTAGGTGCTTCTAATTTTTAGCCCTAGGTTATAGGTGAGGAAACTGAAGCACAGAGAGGCTGAGCAATTTGCACATCATCCAGCTGCTAAGTGGGGCAGGAGTTCAACCTACAGCAGCCTGATTCAGGACCTGCCCGATTTTCCTCTGGACTCCTTGGAGCCCTGGAAGTGCCAGGCTCTGCCCTGCACATTGTGCTCATCTGGGCCTCAGAAAACTGTGGTCCAAGGGTGTGTGGAGCTCAGGGAATGTCAGTGCCCGAAGCACAGTTTGGAAGTTGAGGGCTACTTTTCAGGAGTTGGGACAAAGAGCTTAGAAGCTCAGCAATTATGAGGAAGCTCCTGTAACTTAGCAAGTTGCTATCTTTGAGTCTGAAGTGTCCAGTACGGGGCTTGCTGGTTTTGCCCTAGAAGTTTGAGTGTAATAAATGTGTATGAATGAACAAATGGAGAATGAATGAATGAACCAACTCACTACCTCTCTTCTAAATAGATGGCAATAGGATATTGTGCAGATGAGACAGGAGAGGGCTAGTGTCTCATTTCCAAGGACACTTTCTTATGGAGGCACTGGAATTGCCACTGTGATGATGTTAACCCACAAGGAGAATTCGCTTCCTTGAATTAAGCATGAAGTAGAGTGCTGCATGTGCTTCCCAGCTGCGTAGCCCTAGACGGGTCCCTTACACTCCCTGAGCCTCAGTGTTCTCATCTGTAATACGGGAACAATTACCTTGTAGGGTTGTTTTCATAATTATAGAGTATATTTTAAGTGTCTGTTAGGCATTTGGTACATAATGGGTGCTGGGTAGATGAAAGAAGATATGGAAACGAGTCATTTTTGAACAGTTATAAATCACTGAAAAGTATGGCTTTATTCACTACAACCAGAGGGAAAGAGGGGTGGGAAACAGGCCTTGTTGGGTCCAGACCAGCTCATACACTATTATTTGTTTGCAATGCCTTTTCACTTGTGGCTTTTTATCTTGCCCATTCTTGAAAATTGCTAAAGAAATGGGCCTTCTCTGGTAATTGTTCCTTTTGGTGGTCAGTATTCCTCAGGCAAGTCTCTCCATTAGCATCACCATGGCAACCTGCCCACTCAAGGGGCTTGCAGCCCACACTTCCCCCAGGGAGTAAGCAGCCACTCCTCCAAGCCCCCAGGGCCTCCATGGCTGGTCAGAGAAAAGGGAGCACAGCAATGTGAGCACTTCTACCTGCAGGATCTGGGATGTGGGCGTAAGAGGACACGGGGCCTGGCGTACAGCAGATGTACAAGACATGCTGGTAGAAGTGAAATGAGGCAACTCTATTTTGGGGTTTCCTGGAACAGGGCAATTGCCCTGAGTCCAAAAACTGAAGCTGCTCCATGCTGCCAGGCAGTGATAGTGGGGGATCACTCTGGCCTAAGAGAGTTCAATCCATCCACTCATTCAACAATATCAATAGGCTGGGCAACTATACTAACTACTACTAACAATGATGAAATAGATGCACTTCTGTCCTCATGCAGCTCACAGAATAGTGAGGAAACACAGAAATAAACAGTAAAATCCAGGGTCAGGATGCTACTAAGAGGAACATGCAGGGTGGTGTGGGAGCCCAGATTTGGGGTGATCTGGGAGGGCTTCTCAGGGGAAGAGTCTTCAAGCCTGACCCTTGGATGACTGGGTAGGAGTCATCCAGTCACAAAAAGAGGGTGAATGCCTGCTCCAGGTGAGAGAAATGACATGTGCAAAGGCCTCAAGGTGAAAGGGAATAGGATGACTTCAACTGGAAACTCAAGACAACTTGTCTCAGTCAAGGTCTCATTTGTAAGCAACAAACACGGAGTCTGGCTCCTCCAAGCAGAAAAGGGATCGATTAAGTGACATTCGTTGGCCCACTGAAATCTCTGAGAAACTAAAATAAATTCAGAGGCTACGGGCCAGGAGCAACCCTTGAAATAACATGACGAAACTGGCCCTGTGAAGACACCCCCGTCTTGGCTGCTGGCACTGATTTGGTGGCTTGCATGACCAACATCCCTGAGGCTGAATTCTGGATGCTGCCCCTGGGAGCTAGAGGCCACGCACCTTGTGCCACCCCCTTCACAAACGGGGTCCTGTGTGGTTCCTAATTCTTCAAGTCAGAACTTCCCATTCAAACTCTAGGGCAGAAGGGTTTGATTGACTGAGTCTAGCTCATTTAGGCTCACCATAGCTGCAAGAGAGGCTGGAATGGAGGGAACGTGGCATTTCCAGCTTTATGATGAGAGGTAGGGTCTGCTTCATAAAGAAAACAGGAAGATTCCTGAACATAACTTGAACATGTGAGTGCCCGTGGTCCTGTTATTTGACCCAAATTCAGTCATTTGGGGCAATAAATGCCCCCCTCCCAATTCTTCCCCTTAGTCCCCTTTGTGGTTTGCCTCTCTCTTGCAGTAGGAGCTTTCCCAGCTGGCATACAGCAGATGTACAAGACATGCAGTAGGAGCTTTCCCAGCTCCTACTGGGATGTTTTTGAATTCCTACTCTATGAGTGAGGCGTGATGCCAGGCATGAGGAATATTCAGATGAATAAGAAGATGGAGATTCACCTGAGCTTCAAGGGGGTGAAACATCAAATGGGAGAGATATCTGAAGAATGAAAATAAACCTAAATTAAGCCATTGCTTAATGCAGGAACACCTATTACTCTTTCGGCATGTAGAGAGAGGAAATTTGGTTCAGTCAGGACCTGGAGCAGGTTCACAAGTCTTTTCACAGGATCCCCAGGGAGGGACGTGAGGGCCCAGTTAAGCCATTTAGTAGAGTGCTGGGGACAGATGGAGATTTGGACATGTGGCAGGTCCTGCCTCACCTAGAACTGGGGAGAAGATAGAAGTGGGAGAAGTTGAGGCTGGGTGCAGTGCCTCATGCCTGTAATCCCAGCATTTTGGGAGGCCGAGGCAGGAGGATTGCTTGAGCCCAGGAGTTCCAGATCAGGATGGACAGCAAAATAAATAAATAAAAATAGCTGGGCATACTAGTACACCTGTAGTCCCACCTACTCGTGAGGCTGAGGTGGGAGGATTGTTTGAGGCAGAAGTTCAAGGCTGCAGTGAGCTATGATTGCACCAATGTACTTTAGCCTGGGCAACAGAGCAAGACCCTGTATCTAAAAAAGAAGTAGGGGAGGTGGAGTGTCAGGAGCTGTACCCAGCACTGTGATTTTTTTTTTTTTTGTCAGCAAGGTCAAAGGTTAGTACACAAATAACTCAAAGCAAGACTTGAGCTCAGACTTCTCAAAGAGAAGATGCAATTTGCCCACGTTCACATAGCCTATGTAAGAGTCCAATACCTTCAAACCCAGTCTCACTGCACTACTCAATAGCAGCAACCTTCAGAAATGGATTTTTCTAGGCGCAGAGTTTTCCAAGTCTCACCACACAAAATAAAAGGGGAGAACATATCCCGTTCTCTGTCCCGTGCTGCCAGTGAGGGTAATGACTGACGGCCGAGCTACAGGGAGACTTCCTGGGCGACTGTATCGGCCAGCTACTGCTTAGAGAGTGCTCAAGGGTAGGAAAGAGAGGGACAGGAGCTGCTCCATGCATTTTACACTGTCAGTTTCTCCAGGTCAGGCTGCATGCTTATGAAGGACTGAATGAAACAGAGAGCCATGTGGCAATTTCCCTTGTCTTAGCACAAACTTTCTGGATACTGGGCAAATCAAACTGTCTTCACCCAGGGAAGGGAGCAGAGTGTGCAGTGATGAATTAGGATTAAAGAGTTAGGATTGAAGGAACAATGTTGCCCAATGCAGCCCTTTCACCTTCTTTAACCTCGGTAGTATGGCCTGGCTTTAGGCCCTGATAATTTAGATCCAAGGAGATCTCTACAGATGGAAAGGGAGCGGGGGATAGTGAGAAGGGAGAGGTTAATTGTTGCCGGATGAAATTCGGGAAGGCTGACTATGTGCCTGTGAGGGAAGGAGGCGAGCTGCTCTCTCCTCAGCGAGCATTCAGGTTCACATCCAAGCTCTGACACTTACTAGCCATGTGGTCTTCAGCAAGTTTTATCCCAGTACCTCAGTTTCTTCATTTGCAAAGTGAGAATGATAACAGGAGGAAACTTGGAAGGGAACTGCGTGGCCTAATAAATACCAGCAAAGTGCTTTGTAAACAGTAGCTGCCACCCCAGGAATCCACCTCGGGATCCGCAGTCCTCTCACTCGCAGCCATGGTGGCAGGCACTGTCCAAGTCTTCTCTTGGCTTGCCCTCTGCTTTTCCAGTTGGCCTGATACAGTCATTGACTCTCCGATCAGCAAGGACCATCTATTCATTCATTCATTCAACGAATGAGCATCCACATGCATCTGAGGCAATTGGAGACAACAGTGAAGGAGGCAGGCCAGGCCCTGCCCCCTTAACGGGGCTCTGTACCGGATGTGTAGGTGCTCATGTGATTATAAAACCCTGGGCCCCACAGGAAGGAAAGTTCCCGCCTGCAGTGACAGAGCTGGCCAGTGACGGCCAGGCACATGTACCTTGTTCATCACCCTTGTGTTTCCAACCTCACTGGCACAGGGTAGCTGCTCAATCAATACTTGCTGAATTGAAAAAATGGATTAATAATGCCTAGCTGAGTGCTCTTTCATGACTTCCATCAAAATAATTGGAAAGCGAGGGTTTGTGTGGACTGAGGATTAGTGCTTCCCACCGTGTGGCCCCAACTCAATTCTCCCTCTGCAAAGGGTGGGCTGAGGCAGCTGGAGGGGGTTTTATTTCTGCTCTCAGGCCACTGCATCTGGAGCCAAAGTAATGCAACAATGTCAATCAGAAATGCCATTCTGTCCAGATAATCACATAACTATCCTTGCCCGCAGATCTTCTCAGGTACTTAGTCCTGAGGTCTAAAGGAAACCAGACTTGGGGAAGAAGGTTTTTTTTTTTTTTTAAAAAAAGAAAAAATATAATTTGTAGACACTGGTAGCATTTTATTCAGAATTCAACAAATTATATGCCTCACTTTTGTAGGGGTTGGGACAAGAATCCAAATGGAAGCTGTGGTAGGCAAAACAGTGGCCCTCTAAAGACATCCGCATCCTCATCCCTATGCCTGTGAGTATGTTACCTTGCATGGCAGAGGGTCACAGAGGTTGTGGATGGGATTAAGGTTGTCAATCAGCTGGCTTTAAAGTGGGAAGATTACCCCGGGTTATCTGGGTAGGCCTGTGGAATCCTCTGGGTCTTGACAAATGACATAGGGAGGCACGAGAGAGAGAACAGAGGTAGCAGCCTGAGAAAGACTCGGCCCAACACTGCTGGCTTTGAAGACGGAGGAAGAGGCCATGAGCCAAAGAATGGGGTCAGCCTCTAGACACTGGAAAAGGCAAGGAAACAGGCTTCCCCCAGGACCCCAGAAGGAACGCAGCTCTGCCAACACCCGGATCCAGCCCAGGGAGAGTCATTTTGGATTTCTGACCCCCAGAAATGTCAGATAATAAAGGTGTGTTGTTTGAAGCCACGAAGTTTCTGGTCATTTGTTCCAGTGGCAATAGGAAGCTAATACTGAGGTCCACTTACCACATCTGCATACTTAAAGTTATGAATCAAGTCAATTACTGGTTAAATACAAAATGTTCTACATTAACAGATATATCTTCTTAACCATTTGGGTTTGCAAATTTACACCCACCTGGGAGGTCCTCACCAGAACCTGGCAGTGTGGAGAAAGCAGACCCCAGCCCCCACCCCTGCCCTGGGCCTGACTCCCTTTCTCTTCCTTCCACTTCCTGCCCATTTCTGGAGGGGCACATGCCTGTGGGCACCCCCCGCCTGCTGCCCAAGCCCCTCCATGGCTCCTGCAAGCAGCTGCTTCATTTGCATCATGAGATGTCCTCAACAGCACCTTCTAGGGTGCAGATCTTTTTGCTGCTGTGAAAGAGGGGCTTATGCAGAATGACATTGTCAGTCTAGACATGTTTCACACAGAGGAGAACTCAGGACGAGGACAGGAGTGGTGGCAGGAACTCAATCTATTACAACAAGTTTTCTGATGTAGTTATGCTCCAGGGATGTAGAATCCTGTGCCTTTGTGTGTAAGGAATCCTTTCTACAAAACCCCTAAGAAATAATCATTCTACCTGTTCTTGCATATGCCTTCCACAGGAGGCTCACTACTTTACATGGCCATCTCTCTAATAGTGAAAAGGTTGAGGCCAGCCCTGCTTTCTTCCCACTTCCATGAATTGGTTTTGACCTTGGCCTCTGCACCTCCTTTTCCCAAGGTTGATTTGGTTTCCAAGCCCTCCCCATGCATTGGAACTGTGGGGTGTTCACCGAACGTGTAATAAATAGCAGGCTTTTGTTCAGTAGGGTTGCCTCTCTCAGTAAATAGTCACTTCAGGGCCGGGGGGTGGGGAATGAGCCATTTTTATGTGGCAGCAAAACACAGCTGCTCATCAACTTATCACTCAGCTGTGCCTCGGTGGTGATCCAAGCCACCTTTGGGTCTGGACAAGAGGGGTGCCTACCATGGAACCCCTGCTTTAGACCCTCTCTGACCCTCCACTAGCTGAGCCCCTCCCCACAGGATGAGGGAAGGGAAAGGGCCAAGGTGGGTTTGCCCACCCAGAGCCCACTCCCTCCTTCTGTCTAGACCAGGCTCTGGGTACGAGGACCCCAGAATCCCCTATCCAAATAGGCCTGGGGCTGATTCCAGGACCTGTCCAGGCCTGTTTTCTGGGATTGTCTTTAATCCCAGAAATCCTGAAGGCACAGGATTCTACATCCCTGATGCATAACCACATCAGAAAACTTGTTCTAATAGATCGAGTTCCTGCCTCCATTCCTGTCCCCTGTCCTGAGTTCTCCTCTGTGTGAAACATGTCTACACTGACAATATCATTCTGCATAAGCCCCTCTCTCACAGCAGCAAAAAGATCTGCACTCTAGAAGGTGCTGTTGAGGACATCTCATGACTCAAGTGGGGTGATGTCTTCTCCAGATTGTCTTGGCAGAAATGGGAAACTCCTGAGTGTAGTGACCTAGTGTCTTGAGAGTCCTGCGTGGTCCCCAGAGCCAGACAGGGCAGGGCGGAGCTAGAAGGCCTTTCCCTGGAGAAACTCATCCTGAACGCAGAACGAGGCCCTGTCTCTCCTTAACCTGACATGAAGGCCCAGGGTCAGGGTGGATCCTAGATGGTTTGGTCCAGAGCCCTTTGCAGACAAGAAAACTGAAGCTCAGAATAGGACAGCGACTTGGACAAAGTCACATAATTAATGCCACCATTTCTAGGTACAAGACCAGATTCCTTTCCAGGGCCACTGGGCCCCTGAGGATCTGGCCCCGATGACCTCTCCAGTTTCACAAAGGCTCCCAGCTATGTGGCCTTTTCTCTGATCTCTGAAAGGCCTCTGCTTACTCGGCCCCTGGGGTCTTTGCAACGCTGTCTCCTCAAGGGCCTCAGAGCTCATGTGGGGCCAAGCTGGGATTTGACTCCAGGGTGCACCGTCTTAAGTACTGCACATGTCAGTGGGTGAGGATGCTTCATAAAGGTTTGGGACGGACAAAAGCTTGAGAACAATCTTGGCTGGGGCACTGAGTGGTGGCTTCCTCTTCCTGGATAGAGTATCAGCTATGCTTATTGTAGTAAACAGTAGTCAGCAGTTGTTCATTCTTTTTTTTTTTTTTTTTTTTTTTTGAGATGGAGTCTCGCTCTGTCACCCAGGCTGGAGTGCAGTGGCACGATCTTGGCTCACTGCAAGCTCGGCCTCCTGGGTTCACGCCATTCTCCTGCCTCAGCCTCCCGAGTAGCTAGGACTACAGGTGCCCGCCACCATGCCCAGCTAGTTTTTTTGTATTTTTAGTACAGACGGGGCTTCACTGTGTTGGCCAGGATGGTCTCCATCTTCTGACCTCGTGACCTCCCAAAGTGCTGGGATTACAGGCGTGAGCCACGGCGCCCGGCCCACTTGTTCATTCTTTAAGACTACATTTTCTCTCAAAAGCCAAGCCCTGGGATGGTTCTGGATATACGGCCCTCAAGGAAAATCTGCAGTGGGCTCTAGGGCTGCAGGTGCCTCTTGCCTCCTGGGCTTCTCAGTCTCGCACCTGAGTCCCTGGCTGAGATAGAAACACCATTGATCGCCTGCCACACAGAGGTACAAAGTGCACAAAGATACAAACCCTGCACGTGGGCACATGGGCACCAGAGGCTCACAGATGGGCCCCCCACCCCTCCCCAGCACCAGAGGTACAAATGCTCTGAGGTGTCTGTGCCCTCAGGGGTCTCGTTTGTTCCACACTCCCTGGAGCTAGCCCTGTTATCTGAATCACAAAGCCTCTCTACAAAGCACCAAGTTCTCACTGCTTCCTACTAGTTAGATTTTAGACAGATCTGTGTGTAACTGTGCACACACGGTTGCATGAAAGGGGCTTTGAGTTCTGATCCCATCCCTGCCAGGGCAGAGGCCCTGCTGGGCTGGGAGGGCAGCTGGAGGAAGATCAGTGCAAACTGAAAATAAAGTTTAGTTATAGGAACTAAAGGAAGCCATGTTTCTTACACACCTGAGCATGCAGAGACTAAAATTCATGCCTGTTACCCATGGTCACGTCTGATCACTGACAAAGGGCGACGGCAGACCGAGGGAAGGAAGCAAGAACAGAGACATGGAAGGGAGGAGCTCAGACGGCAATGGGAACCAGGGCATTGGGCCAGGGGGAGAGAACACCTGTGAGCCAGCAGCCCAGCCTGACTCCTGGGTCCTCCATGCTGTCCAGAGCGGAAGCTTCATCCAAGGACATACCCTCCACTTTTCCATTGCCTTACAGCTTACAGGTTTGTACATCGTGATCTCAGTTAACCCCCAACTCTCCCTGGAGGTAGGTGCTATAAATTTCTGCACTTCAGAGATAAGCAGATGAGGCCCAAGTTTCCACCATGAATCTGTGGTAGGGGCATGATGGGAACTCCAGATCTCTGTGTTCTAATTCTGTCAAGAGGGATCCTGTGTCATACTCGCCTGGCTTCTACCCCTTCACTCAGCCATGAAACACCCTCCATCTGTAGTCCTGTAGTCTCAGCATCCTCATGCTCCTGGAAACCCTCTGACTCTCCCCTAGGAGGGGGTCAGGCAAGGGCCCTCCCCTGGGAATCAATTTCCTTCAGTTCCGTGTTTCCTCCAAGTTGTTGTGTGGCCTTGGGGAGGCCCCCTTCCTCAGCATCCTCAGTTTTGTGATCTGTGAAATAACTGAGACCCTGCTCTGGGATCTGGGACCCCCGCTGTGTATTTGTGGTTTAAATGGCCTTATCACACTTTTCTGTTTAGGTATCTGGGCCCTTGTGTATTGGTTTGCTCAGGCTGATATAATAAGGTGCCACAGACTGGGCGGCTTAAACAAAAATTCATTTTCTTCCAGTGCTGGAGCCCGGAAGTCTGAGATGAAGGTGTCAGCAGGTTGGTTTCCCCTGAGGCCTCTCTCCTTGGTTTGCAGACGCCGCCTTCTCCGTGTCTTCACGTGGTCTTACCTTTGTGTGTGTGTCTATGTCTTATTCTCTTCGCATGAAGATACAAGTCACATGGGATGAGGGCCCAACCTAATGACCTCACTTTAATGTAGTTACCCCTTTAAAGGCCCTGTCTCCAAGAACAGTCCCATTGCAAGGTCCTGCCTTCAGCACGTGAGTTTGGGGAAGACAGAACTCAGCCTGTGGCACGGGGATGGCCGCCTGTGGACAGCCAGCCATACCCCGGTTGTATGAAGGAAGGGATGGGCCTCTCCTCCAGGATCTAATCCCCCTCAAGGCTGCAAGCCCACTTCTTCTCAGCAGACTGCCCCAGGCCCACAAGAAAGGAGCCCACCTGGTGTCCCATGACTGAGTTGTGGGCTGGCACTGCCAAGCCTGGGGAAGGGGAATGTTGCTGGAAGCCTTAGGGACTTGCCAGGCCTGCTCCTGCAGCTCGACCCAGGAGTACTGAGGCTGAGGGTTCCTCAGGCTAGCGCGCCCCTCACAGCAGCCTGCCACTGCTCCCAAGGCTTGCGTAGATGAGCCCCACTAAGTGGTCAGGCTGGATTCCGCCTTCTGCCCCAGCAGGCATCCAGCCTCCTACGTGTGGAGTGGCAGCTGAGACCACCAGGTGGTGCCAAGCTCCGCACCCCCCCGCCCCCGTCCCCCACATTGTGCCAGGCTCTCCTGACACATTGCAGGAGAGAGCTGCAGTGGCCTGTGTCGAGGGGACCTGCCTGGAAGGCAGCCCAGCCCGGGGCCCTTGTTCCTCACTTGTGCCTGCCTGCCTGCCAGGTTGCCTGCTGAGCTTCATAAATGCTTCAATTTGTGGAATTAAAGTTTCCTTCTTATTTGCATCTGGTGGCATGGGGTCAGGGAACGGGGGATGGGAGGTGAAAGCTGAAGGCTTCTGATTGATTCCTGGGCCTCCACAGCAGCCCTAACCCCATTCAGTTCACCCGGTTTATTAAGTGGGTATAGAAGCCCTTATTCCCAGCTGTTCAGTCTTCCCCAGGCATGTGAGTACAACTGATTGTTTTTTTCTCCTGTGAATCTGTCCATTGTCAGTTGATTTGTAGCCCTCCACCCTACCACTAGGATCTAAGTTGATAGAGAGGGAATATTTTCTTCCCAACAGATTCTTAGAAGCAAAAACACACAGAAGCCAGGGGAAGAGTGCTCAGAAATGGTGAAAGGTACCCGAGGGGTCTGGGTGGCGTATGGACAGGCCCACATGCAGTGTCCAGGCACAGAGGAGTACAACAAGGATGTTTCCAGCACCACAGTGTGCCGCTCGGTACAGGGTGCTCCAGATGCTGGGCAGTCCTTGGAGGGGGAATGGGGCATCAGGGAGGGCTTCCTGGAGGAAGAAACATGTCGAAGTCAGATACAGGGAGTGTTCTAGACCAAGGGAGCAGGCTGTGCAATGGCTTGGGGGTGAGAAAGAGCACGGGCTGACTTTAGAGCTTCGTGTAGCCCTCCCACCCCCACCCAAGAGTGGGGAAGTCTATGGGAGTGTGGTGAGGCTGGTGGGCTGGGCGAGTGGCTTGGGGCCTTGGCAGCCAGGATGGAGAGGAGCTTGGGTTTCATGCTGGGGTCAAGAGCAGCCTTGCAAAGGCTTTAAGCTGGGCAGGTCCGTGGGCAATTTTTAAATTTTATTTTAGAAAGCTCCCTCAGATGAGGAATTGATTTCAGGGGAGTGGCGAGGAGGCCAGGGCTGCCTCTGGGCCAGCTCCTCAGCCTAGGACAGGAGACCCTCCTCACCTCTCCAGTGTGCCCTGCTGTCCCCACACGAGGTATTTTCAAGCCCAGAGTGGGCCCTGCTCTGAGCTCAAGCCAGAGTTTGAACACTAGAGCCTTGTCTGCAGTGACCCAAGGGGCTGACAGGAAAAGCTCAGTACTGGTCTGGGGTCCAGGCTGAGGGAGAAGGGGTGGCACAGCCTGTGTGGGAAGGAGAAGCCACTAACAAGGCTGGGCAAGGTTTGGGGCCTGAGTAACATCTGGAGGGACGGAGAGAGCCAAATTCCACTGGGGTCAGAGAGCCTTCCAGAGCCTCTCGATAAAGCCAGTCCTCCAAGCCTTGAGTCTCTGCATGTGTTTCTGGAAATACTGAGGCTGGTGCCAGGAAGCACAGCGGGGAGCAAACAGGGGGCTCTGTGGAGGGACCAAGGCTAGGAATGGTAAAATGGTGTGAAATCGGGGGATTGGCCTCAGAGCCAACTCCGGGGAAGGAGCTTGGTGGCCCAAGGTTTGTTCGGTCATGTGCTGATGGCCCAGGAGATCACCTCAGGGCTGCTCTGAAGGCTGTGCAAAGGCCCAGAGGTAGGGGAAACCTGGATGGTTTGGGATCTTCTTGCAGTTCCATCTGAGAGAGGGAAGAGGTCAGAGGAAGCATGGCGGGCTGGAGGATTGCCTTCCTCTGTGGACCCTGTCCAGAGTGGCTGCTCAGGGCTCAAGGGCAGAGTCCCGCTTTGAAGGGGAGGGTCCGTTCTGCTCCGGCCGGTCCACCTCCTGTCTCTGAGCCTGCTGAGGAAGATACCTGTGCTGCACTGGATTTCAAGCCCTTGCTCACTGGCCCAACAGCCCTGGTTCAAATCTTGGCTCTGCTCCCTTGGGAAGGTTGCTTCATGTCTCTTGGCTCATCTCTGGTCTCTCAAATGGGGGTGAGCAGAGATTTGAAGGTTTGTTTGGAGGATCTCACAAGTCAATACACATTCATGGCCGTTGAGTGACTGGCCTGCAGACAGCCATGGTTGTGAGGGAGTTCAGGACACACTGTCCCAGATCTGCCACCTTGGCATTTGAGAAAACCACAGAAGAAGGAAGGTCGCTCTCTGACCTTCTCCTGCCCTTCTCCCCTGAAGCAGGCCATAAAAGAATTTCCTGAATTTATTCTCAAGTGGGTCATGAAACCTTCATTTAAGAGGTGCCTTCCCTAGACCCACAGGGAAGGAAAGTCCTTCTCTATGAAGATGCAGAGACGCAGAGAAGAATCTGAAGAAACAGGCCTTCCAAATGCCACTTAGGTCATTACCATCAAATCATACCCCCATTTTCCGATTATACTTCTCCACAATTATCTGCTTCTTCATCAAACTTGGCAAAAAATCACATAGATGTCCCTGTTTCTTTGGGTCTTCATTTCTCAAGGCTCCCATGTCACACAAAACTTAAATTACTTGGTTGCTTTTCTCTTGTGAGTCTGTCTTTTGTTACAGGTGCCTCAGCCATGAACCTAGTGATGGATGAGGAAAGAAATCTTTTCTCCCCTACAGATGCACTTTTAAAACAAACTTATGGGGCTGTTATGGGGCCTGGAAACAAGGGCCATGAGAGGGCTTGTGGGCTCTAAACAGCTGGGCATGTATTAGTATTCTTCTAGGTCTAGACTGGGCCTCTGGTCAAGAATGGGACCCCAATCAGGAAGTCTGAGCTAAAACACTGCAGAAAGCAGAAAACAGGGGAACACACACATGCACGGGCACAGACACAAGTACACATGCATGCATGCATGCACACACCTGCGCTGCAACACCTGGGAACTTGTCGAAATGCAATTTCTCTGGCCTCATCTCAGATTTACTGAGGTCAGCTCTAGGGGCGGAGCCAGCTCTCGGGGTTTCCGTGTTCCCTCCTGGGGATTCCAGTGCTGACCCAAGACTGAGAACCACTGAGCCGGATGGGCGATCGCCTTCATTCTGGCCTCAGTCCTGGCAGCTGTGCCCTGTGACCCAGTGGGAGGCCTGTCATCCTTTAAAGCTGGTCCCTGAGACCTTTCTGCTCACCAGGCGGAGCAGGAACAGGCCCTGCAGGGTAGCCTCCTGACTGCCTAATATTGTGGGCATTCTTTACCCAGCGTCTACAGTCTCTCCTGCAAATTAATAACCTCGAATGGCCGGAATTTGCATAATGGCTCTCCTGTCCCCATCATGGGCCTTCATTAATTGTTTTAGAATACTATCTCATTGCCTAGAGCAGTGGCTCTTTGATTCTGTGGGCCTCAGAACCCCCTGGAGAACTTATGGAAAGGTAAATGCTCAGCCCCACATCTTCTCGGCTCCACAGTCCTGTAGGGTGGATTGAAGACGCATGTGTACTTTACAGAGGATTGGGACGAGGCCAGGGTCTTGGTCAATGAAGGGCTTTGGGCATGGTGGGCAGGAATGTGGGTGTCTGATTGAGATCGAGGGGGCAGTGCTGCAGCAATTTGCAGGCCCTGGCTTAAGAAGGGAGTGGTCTGGCTCAGGTAGTGGTGGCCTCCCTGCGCATGAAAACAAGAAGATGATGTAGGAAAGGGAGAGAAATTCCAGGTACCTGTCCTTGAAAGAAGGTCCTCTGGGTGGTCTCCCCAAGATGTAACCTGAAAAACAATAGCATTGTTTCCTGAGCACCTTGCTGGGCTCCGTGCACGTGGTCCCTCACTTACTTCTCCTGTAACCCTGTGGGGTACGGATTTTATCCATCACTCCAAGGGTCAGTGAAGGCTTGTCCATAATCACATAACAAGGCAGGAATAAGCATGGCCCTGTCCTCTTCCAGAGCCTGTGCCTTCAGCATCATCTTATGCCTTCTCCTCCTGGGAGAGAATGGCAAGGGGAAATAGCTCACTTGGCCCCGGTGAGCTTGCAAAAAAGCCCCAAAAACCATCCTGTCCAGCCCCGCTCTCCAGATGAGGAGGCGGAAACTCGGGGGTGTTGGGGGTGCGCTGTCTGCACCTACAGGCGCTGGGGCCCTCTGCCCTGGAACACAAGCTCAAAGTCCCGTTTCTGGTTTGCAGTGAACCTCTGAAATATGCTAACAGAGTCCAGAAAGACCTCAGAAGCTGGGGATGAGGCAGGGTGTCTGTGATAATGTCCGGGACTTCTCCGGCCTGCAAAGAAGTACAGGGGAGACACCGAACCCAAGAGGCTACACGTTGTAGCAAAATTTCACCTAGAAAAAGCCAGCCTGTGGCCTGTGCTGCCCTCTGCTGGGCACCAGGTGGTACTGGCTGCAACTGGCCAGGGCCGGCTCCCTGGGTTGGGTGGGCCTCAGGCCAGGCTACCAGGAGGAAATTGTCTGAGGACCTGACGCTGGCCCCTTCTGCCCCAGCCCAGACAGGCTCACATCAGTGGCGTCCAAGGCCGTGGGCTGGCAGCTGACTGAGAGCTGGGCGTTCCCTTCCATCCTGTATTTTACTGATAGATGGATTGAGATGGAGTCTCGCTCTGTCGCCCAGGCTGGAGTTCAGTGGCACGACCTTGGCTCACTGCAACCTCCCCTTCCTGGGTTCAAGTGATTCTCCTGCCTCAGCCTCCCGAGTAGCTGGGATTACAGGCTCGTGCCACCACGCCCGGCTGATTTTTGTATTTTAAGTAGAGATGGGGTTTCACCATGTTGACCAGGCTGGTCTCAAACTCCTGACCTCAACTGATCCATCCGCCTCGGCCTCCCAAAGTGCTGGGATTACAGACATGAGCCAGCGCACCAGGCCCCATCTTGTTTTTAGAGGAGGTGTGATAGTCATCTCACCCCACCCACCGACCCGTCCCCCAGTCAACCCAGGTCCCTGGCTGCTGCTCCTAGTCTGCAGAGACCAGGAAAGACAGCAGCTTCCTGCCTGAGCTTCCCTGGTGCACATCCTACCTCCAACCTGAGTGCTCTTACAATTCCCTATCCTGATCTCCTGGGGAGAGGTATGATGATACCCTATCCAGGATGCCACCCGATTGGGGGCTGGAAAGCAAACACCCCAGGAGGCCTCTCACTCCAGCCCATAGGATAATATTAACAATACTTGACATTAACTGAACACTGGCTATATTTCATGCTCTATTCTAAATGTGTGTGTATATATATATGCTTACATACATACTTAATCTTGTATGTATATGCGTACATGCGTAATTCTCACTTAATATGAATCTTAACACATACATACTTAATCTTCATAAGAAACTTATGAGGGAGGTACTGATATTATTCCCATGTTATAGAAAACAAAAAATTGAGGCTCAAAGAAGTTCCACAGATAGTTTGGGGCCCGATAGCCAGTAAGCAGCATTTGAACCTAGATAGCTTGGTTCAGCTTTGGTCACTTTTCTTAAGCGTGATGAGAAAAGTGGGCACAAATCTACAAAACTCTTTTTGAGGTCAGAACAAAGAAATGCGGCCCAATCAAGGCAGTCAGGCTGGGAAATGGGAGCTAAAGTGAGCAGGAGGCCCCTCTGCATGGAGACAGGAAAGAGTGTGGTCTCTACAGCCAGGTGGGCCTGGAAGAGGGTCCCCCACTGCCCCGATGAGCTGTGAAATCCTGGGTAAATTGGTGCCTTGTTCTGAGCCTCAACGTCCTCATTTGTAAAATAATAAGGGTTTCGGTAAACGTTAAATGAAACAGTGAAGAATTTAGCATAGTGCGTGACATACAGCAAGCCCTCAACAGAGGCAGATTTCCTTTATTCCTTTGACATTGGACTTGGCTACCAAATGATCTGGAGGAGGCAGATGTAGTGGTGATGACAAGGATGCTGATGATCTACCTGCTCATTATCACTGAGCATCTCCTCTATTTACTTAATAGCTATTAATGGCTATTGTTTGGCTAGAGTATATGAGCTTTGGATTTACTTTTTGTTTCATTTCAGTGGTTCAACCATAAAGCTTTTAAAAACATTGGTACCAGCCAGGTACAGTGGCTCATGCCTATAATCCCAGCACTTTGGGGTGCCGAGGCGGGCGGATCATCTGAGGTCAGGGGTCCGAGACCAGCCTGACCAACATGGTGAAATCCCATCTCTACTAAAAATAGAATAATTAGCCAGGTGTGATGTTGGGCGCCTGTAATCCCAGCTACTCAGGAGACTGAGGCAGGAGAATCGCCCGAACCCAGGAGGCAGGGGTTGCAGTGAGCCAAGATTGTGCCACTGTACTCCAGCCTGGGTGACAGAGCGAGACTCCATCTCAAAAAATAGTAATAAATAAAATAAAAAGAAACAAAAACATCGGCACCTGGGTTCTACTGATTTAATTAGACTGGGACTGTATCAGGTCACGATACTTTCTTTGTGTTTGTGAACCTCAGGTGGTTCAAATTGTGTGTCTGGATTGAGAGCCATGGAGAAGATTTCCCTCCTGCCCAGTCTCCTCCTATTTAACACTCATCTAATCCTTTAGACCTCAGCTTAAATGTCACTTCTTTAAAGAGACATTCCCTGATCGCTTAGACCAGGCCCCACTTCCTTTGTTTTACACCATTGTAAATCCCTATTCCTTTCCTTCAGAGAGAATTTATCTCATTTATATTTATTCTTCTGGTCATGTCAATACTATCTGTCACCCTCACTAGACAGTTTATGCATCTGTAAAATGGGGATATTAATTTCCACCTCAGAAGGTTGTAGCGAGGATATAATAACAAAATGTAGGGAAAGAGCCCGGTTCAAGGTAGTCTTTGTGAATGGCTGCTCACTGCATCTTGTCCCAGGAGTCTCTTGGGATAACACATCATCACTTTCTGATTTCCAAAAATGAACACTTGCCAGCTTCAGAGCGTTAGGCTGGCTTTAGTTTCTCTGAATTTAGGCTACCAAGTGGTTCTCATTTCCCATCTGAACTTCTCTGATTATATGGGCTCGTATCATAGCCCCCACCTCCAAGCCATGAATATTCTACCGAACCCTCAAGTGCCAGCTCTGAGCTAGCATTCTTATTGTGTCCAGCTGGCCTGTCTTTTTAATAATCAAGATGATTTGCTCAATAAATATTAATTAACTAAGGATTAGGTTAGGTGCCAGGCACCATTCCCAATACATATATTATCTCATTTAAGCAGTTTTGCTGTTTAAATAAAGCTAATCCTCTTGTTTCTAGTTAAAACCTACAATACGTGTCTGCAGGGGCAGGGGTTGATATAAATGAGTGCAGGAAGGGATTTTTTTGTGGGGTGATAAGTCCTTTGGCTGCTGGGAGCTCAGGCTTTATCAGAAGCCCCTGTTTTTAGCTCTACCGAATTGTTTTTACACAAGCCCAGAACTGCCAGATTGCCCTACTTTTAAAGAGAAACCAGCAACTTGCTTTTTTATATGAAAACCTCAGCTGTAAGAAGATGGCTCAATGTGAAAAAAAAAAAAAGAGAAAGAGAGAGACACAGAGAGAGAGAGAGATAAAATGCCATTGAGGCCAAACAGCTCAACCATGAGATGGAATCTGCCCACCAGCAACCCCTCAGGCCTGAGCCTTAGAGAAGAGAGTGGAATGTCCTGGGGGACAGCAGAGGCAGGTGTCAGTGGAGAGGCAGAGACAGAAGGAAGTCTGGAGGGAAAAGGCCAAAACCAGACCCATCTCCTCAAGTCCAGAAAGGTGCTGAGCTCATGGGTCCTGCTGGGTAGGTGGCAGAGCCTTGGCGGGAATGCCTGGCCCCCTTGCACCAGGTCTGGGGAGCTCAGCCCGTGTAGACCCTGGATGCCCCGGCAACCTCTGTCTTCCAGGGCCCCCGTGGGCTTGGCTGAGAAGGAAATGAGGAGGCCTTCTCTCTGGTTGGATCCATTTGGGAGATCTTGTTACTTCTTGCCACCACCCTTTCCCACCAGGTGACAGCTTGAAGTGTTAAGTTCCTCCATTGAACCCAGGTAATTTCCTGGAAATTTCTCAGCTGCGTGGGGATCCCAGCTGTAAGCAGAGGTCAACGAATGTGATTTCTTTCCCCATTTTCTCACCACCACCTAAAATCCCCCAGATTCTCACATAAGGCTAGAGAAGGGGAAAGCCTATCAGGAGAGAGATGATCCTGTGCCCTCCAGCAGCCTGATCCTTGGTTTTAAGAAGACGAATGAATGGACATTTCTTCCACCATCAGCCATGGAGGGCAGGATTCGTGCCGACTCCTCACTCACTCCACACAATTGTTGAGTAACTGGAGAAGATGTCTCCTGACAGGCAGTGGCAGCAAGGCCTTCTGGCTCCTCCGCCAGCCTAGCTTGTAAACTTTAATGCCCGCTTCAATTCACAACCCAATTGCTTGTAAAATGAAGCCACTTTCCGCAAGTCCCTTAATTGGAATCTGTTTCTCTGCCTCAGAGGCGAGGGCTGGAATGTGCTTTGCCAGCATCTGCAGATGGAGTGAGGCAGGATGATCTGTCCTGCAGGAGGGGAGGGCCTGGAGGGATGGCACTCTTTGTCTTCCCCTCCTACGAGTGGGACCAGATCCTGCCTGAATGTTCCCAGCCATGACAGGAAGTCGTGGACAGTGAGCAAATTCTGGGATCCAGGAGGCAGGCTGGCCGCTCATCTATGAGACTAGTGAAGGGGTCACTTAAGAGAAGGGCTGAGATCAGTAATAACACAGTAATAGTAGGGGCAACAATCAACGCTGCAGCTACCATTCGTGGGTCACCTCTGTGACCCAGGAACTGCGTATGACCTCACATAGTCCCCATGCCCATGACAACTCTTTCCCAGCTCTGTCCTTCACTGGTTCCTGATGAGGGGCTGAGTCTTTGGTTTAGCAAGCACTTCCTAAATGATGGGAAATGAGGACGTTCCCATCCTTGAGGACAGATGAACGTTTGGGAATGTCACCAAGCACCAAGCAATGTTAAGTGCTACACTAGCCATACCGGGTATGATAGGAGCCAAGGAAGTAGCAATGTCATCTCCTTCAGCTGGAATCATTGTCAGGGAGAGGACCCATGAGCTGGGCTTTGAAGGGTGTGTAGGAGTTTGACAGCTGGAGAAGGTGGAAGAGAATGCTGGGCAAGTAGAACAATTTGAACAAAACATAGAAGTGTCAGGGGCATTGGCTTATCAAAAATTGGAGAAGACAGTGTTACAAGAAGAACCTGAGACAGTAAATGTAAATCATGTGGCCCCGACCATAAATGGAATGGGGGCCTTCAGCATGCACTGGCATGGTCAGAGGTTTGGGGCTGGAACCATGAAAAGCCCCTATTGGGTCCTACCTTCCGCCCACCACACCATCCAGACCAACAGATGCTTACTGTCCACAGGCTTAACTGATGATTCCTGTCACCTGATTTTCCAAGGTGAGCAGGGTCGCTGAAGTATCTCAGGTGACTATCCTCTAGAGGAGGGTGACTTTGGAGTAGAGTGTGTGGGACAAGAGGAATAAGTGGTGAAATCTGTGGGGACATCAGTGGGAGTCTTTGGTCTGTGGTCTAATAAGTAAACCTGAGATCAAGGTCAGGATCTGAAATACCTGGGTCTACCTCATGGATTTGTGTATTGCATCTGCTTCATGTCCAGCATTAGACATGATCATATTTCCTGTAGGTTACATTTCACAAAGGTTTGTTAGTTTTGTGTAGGCAAATACAAAGGGGGTGTATGTATATATATAAGCATTTAAAATTCTGTGAGGCGTCTTTTGCAGCAACTGGAATGAAACTGGAATTCATTATCTTAAGTGAAACAAGCCAGGTGAAGAAAGTCAAATATCACATGTTCCCACCCATAAATGGGAGATAAATAACCTGTATACATGGATGTAGAGAGTGGGATAATAGACAATGGAGGCTTGGAAGGGTGAGGGTGTGGGGGAGGAGTGGATGATGAGAAATTAGTTGATGGGTACAATATACGTCATTGTGGGGACGGATACCCTAAAAGCCCTGACTTCACTACTACAAAATCTATGCATGTGACAAAACTGCAGATGTCCCCCATAAATTTGTACAACAAGAATTTGAAAAACAAAAAGTGTCAGGGGAATAAAAAGCATTTCAGTTGCTTCACCTACAGTATGAGAATATATATATATATACATATATATGTAGGGGAAGAATAAGGAAGAGAGACTAGGCTGAAGTAGGACTGTGGTGAGCCTCCAATGCCGTGAAGCTTGGATTTTATCCTGTAGACACTGGGGACTCAGTGAGGGGTTTAGCAGAGACAACGGCATGCCCAGTCTAGCCCTGTGTTTTAAGATGTTCCCTCTGGTGGCTGATGTGGAGAACAGGGTTGCTGAAGGAAGATGCAGGAGGCAGGACTGGGTCAAAGAGAAGTTACCAGGAAAGCACCTTGGGCTCAGTGGGAGAAAGTCAATTTTGTTTGTTGTTTTTTGAGACAGAGTCTCAGTCTGTTGCCCAGGCTGCAGTGCAGTGGCGCGATCTCGGCTCACCGCAACCTCTGCCTCCCGGGTTCAAGTGATTTAATGGGAAAAGTTCTGAACACTTCAGGCTATCATACGATGGGAAAGGGTGGTATCCAGAAGCAGCAAGTTCTCCCTCAGCAGAGGAGTACAAGCAGAGGGCAGACCTCTCACGCCCTTTTTATTTAGCCCTCACAGCAGACTGTCAAACCCCAGATACCTTCTTTCCTAGCACCACCCGCAGCTGGGCAGGGACATAGAACCAGGCTTTGATCAAAGGGGCATTGAGAAGGGAAAGGTGGGTCACTTGGCAAATATTTTCCTCCCCCATAAAGGGTGGGAAGGTGAAGGTGACACACACCTTTCTTCCTATTGGCTTTAGTGTAGGTGGTTTCGTGAGGCTATGATGTCTGTAGCAGACACAGCCACCCCGTGAGTACTGATGGGACAGCAGACAGAATCCCAGAAACCGCCCAGAGCCTGGACATAACGGAGCTGCTCTAAAGTTCTCAACACCCTGATCTCTTGCTATATAAGATGATAAATATCAAGGCTTAGGCTATGTTTGTGTCAGATATTATGTTCCTTGTTGTTAAATTCCATCAGCCTGGAATATTGTTTTAATAAAAAAAAAAAAAGACAGCATTAAGCCCAAATCTAGCTCCAAAGCATGGGTGAGTAATGTGTACTTTGACTGTGGTTTTCATGGAGAGACTGAAGAGGACCTTGTATCCTATCTTTCGCACTGTGGCAAAGCCCCTTAAGCATAGCTGCTCTGGCTGTCACGTTCCTTACCCTCAGGTGGCTGCCACGACATCCCCACAAGTCCTTCCACCAACCCTGCGTTTCCCAGCCTCCTCCCGTTTCCAGTTTACCTCCTTATTCTTTTTTCTTATGTAGAGCAAATTTAGGCTTCTCTCAACTTCACTGAGGAACACAGATGTTGTCCCTGGGACACACCCACATTAGAAGGGGAGGAGTGGAAGGAAACAGGTGGGCAGGGAATAGTTGAGCATGGTTTTGAAGTATGAATAGGAGCTCACCACGTGGAGGAGAGAGGAAGGCATTCTGGAAAGGGGAAATCACACTTGTACATCTAACAACACTATTTTCTTTCTACCATATGCTGAAAATACTAAATGTGAAGTTAACCCATAGGCCTCCTCTGGGAGGCTCTGGGCAGCTTGCCAGCTCTGGAGTTGGGGGTTGGACTCAGATGCTGCAGGAAGTGTGATGGGAAGAGTTGTCTCTGGGCCATCTGGCTCCAGCTGCCTGGCAGCACACTTTCCTTTGAGATGAAGGCGAAGGGGTGGGAGCAGCTTCTCAAAAGGAAGTGGAGGAGGTGGCAGACCCCACAGGTGCAGCCTGGGAGCAGTCCTGGGGCCCAGCAGCAGGCCGGCAAGGTGGAGACCTGGTACAGGGGACCAGTGGAGACTGGTCACGTCCCTGTTTGCATTGGCTGGGAACCCCTGGGTGAGGATACAGTGGTTCTCAGCTGGGGATGAATTCTCTTCCCCATGGCAGGCTGTGCTTTTCAGGGCCTAGTCCTACCACTTACTGGCAATGTGAACCTGGGAAGTCGCTTCCCCTTTCTGTGCCTATCTCAAAACTGGGGAAATAAGAATGCCCGCCTCATAGGGCAGCAGTGAGGATTAGATGAGATGGTTGTAGCTATAATGCTCCTGTCCAGACACAAGAAAAGAGTGGCCATAAGCTGCCAGAACCTGGCCCAGAGTCTTACACCTTACGCCTTTCTCTCCTGGTCGTTGGAGGCCGCAGGAGGGGCTGGGAATGCAGGGGTTCTGGTCGATAGTCCTAATGCACCAGAAACAGCTGGCTTGGGTCTAACTAGTGACTCTCAGCACCTCTTTAAGGCTGTGACTTGCAGAGGAGGATGCTATTATTTCCATTTGGCAGGTGAACCTGCAGAGGCTCTGGGAGGCCATGACTCTCCCCTACCCTGTGTTGTAGCAGAAAGCAGGGAACCTGCAGCCCCTGCTCCAGCCCTCCTTGGGCTGAGTCAGAAAAGGTCTGTCTTGCCCTCAGCTCCCCACCCCTGAAAGGAGGCCTCTTCCCTCTCCCTGTGGAGCTGGTCCTGCGGCCGCGCCTCTTCCCTCTCCCTGTGGAGCTGGTCCTGTGGCCACGCAAAGGCTGCACATGGGGTGGTTTTTATCTGGGTTTCTCCTCCCTGAGGCCAAAACATGGCTTTCTTTCTGCAGGCTGGTAGGGGAGGCGGGCTCTCAGCTCCACCCTCTACGAACCCCTCTTGGGAGTTGGGTGGAAGCAGATGCTTTCCCAGAAGTTCTTTCTTGGCTGCTGCAGTGAAAATCTGGGTGGAGTGTGAACTGTTCCTTCAGGTAAATCAGACAATGCTGACAGCAATTGCCATTTACCAAGCACCTGCAAGCTCAGGCACTGTGTTAAGCCTCTGTGTGCAGACTGCCCTCCATGCTCACAGCGCCCCTAGTGCTAGATGCGGCTGATAGCTCCATTTTGCAGACTGGTAAAACTGAGTCCCAGTGGCAACTAATCTGCTTAGTGTCATGTAGACAGTAACTGCTGGATCTAGGATTTATCCCTGTGACTTTGTGACTCAAGCCTTCGCCCTTCAGTATGTCCCAGTATTAACTCTCAGTAGGAGGCAAAGCAAGACAAGGTCAGGCTTCCAAATTGAGCTGGAAAATGAAACAAAGAGGATAAGAATGTTATTAACAGGGTTTGTCTGGAACAGAGCAGCTGCCTCAGGGGGCTGATATGACTGATAATATTAAAAACTGTGTGTGTGTGTTTGTGTGTGTGTGTGTGTGTGTGTGTGATTCCTTTTGAGTCACAAAGCATTAGCAAACATTTTCCCAAGCATGCTGGGCCTGAGGATACAGGGGCCTAAGAGAACCAGTCCCTACCATGGAGGAGCTCTGCATCAGTCAGTGGTTCGAGGAAGAAGGGACTTACTGCAAGGAACCAGCCGCTTCCAAATCACTGGAAGGGCTGGAGAAGCGGCCACCAGGCTGGGCCTCCAGGAATAATCCCCAGCACACTGCCAAACTGACCTGCCCGGGGCCACTACCTCAAAAGCTGCTGAGAAAATGCCTGAGTCCTAGAGCATGCCACGGACCAGTGCTGCAATTCAGGAACCAGGAAGCTGTCCCCATGGCTGCCACCAATGCAACATTTTCTGTCACCAGGAAGCAGTAGGATGGTCAATGGCCACAGACAACCTTATATTTCCAGGACCTTGCCTGCCTGCAGGAAGGTGGCTCCTGCCTTCCAGATCTTGCTAGGGCGTAGGGGACTGACACCCAGAGCCCTCACCTGGAGAGGTCTGGTGGTCTTCTTCATGGCACAGAGGCTTCCGTGGCAGAGGAAGAGGCACTTGCAGGAGGGAGGGTGGAGTTGCAGCCAATTCAAGAACTGTGCCCAAGTCTCTCTCCAGCCAAAATGGGGTGTCAGAAGCTTTGGTGGCAACAGAAGGATGTCTTGTGTTCTGTGTATCCTTTAGACTCAGCTTTGCAGAGTTGGGGGCATGGATCCAAGGGATCCTCCTTCCTATGAATACAGGGAACCCCAAAGGGCCTCCTAGCTTTTCTCCAGCAGCTCTCTGCCTCCCCCCATGACTGCCATCACCTGCATGGCCAGGCCACCTGGAGAAAGACTCCTGCATGGGGCCTGAGCCTGGAGGTAAGAATTGGTTTTCAGAATCAAATTGTCTCTTTCAAGGGGCCAGGTCAGGGTTCACCCAACTTGGATGCAGGGGAAAAGAATGAGACAAGTTAATTCATTTATTTAAGTAATAGTTATTGAACACTTACTACATTACAGTCAGCATTCTAGGGCTGGGGAAGCAGTGGAGAACCGCCCAGATATCTGTCATGGAGCTTACATTATAGTGGGATAGGAAAATAGCAAATAAGAAATAGAGACAGTGTTCAGTGCTGTAAAGTAAATGAAACAGAGCTATGGTGTGGAGCGTGTGCAGGGGAGGGCTGTTTTCAATCCAGGGTACAGGGAGGGCCTTTCTGAGGAAGTGACTTGGAGCTGAGGTCTGAATGACAGGTTGAAGCTAGTCATGGGAAGGGTCTGAGGAGGATGGTTCCAGCATGTGCAAAGGCCCTTAGGTAGGCATGAGCTTATTGTGTCTGAAGACCAGAAAGAAGCCAAGACGCCCAGATAAAGGAGTGGGGTAGGAACGAATGAGCAAATGTTGGCAGGGGCCATATCATAAAAGGCCTTGAGGGCCATGGTGGGAGGTTGGGCTTTATTCTAAGAGTGGTGGGATGCCATTGGAGGCTTTTGAGCAGGAGAATGACATAATCTGACTTCTACTTTTAAAAGATCGCTCAGGCTACTGGGTGAATGATGGATTGAGATGGGCAAGAATGGAGGCAGGGGAGTCAGGAGGCTGACACAGTGAACAGGGGAGAGACGATGGGGATTTGGACTAGGAAAAGGAGTCCAAATCCTTTGGATCAGTATCTACCCTGCCCCACCCCTAGCCCCAGCCGAAAGGATTCTGCAGTTTTCTGAGTCTTGGTCTGGTCTTCACTGCTCTCATCATTGCTAAAAGGCCTGAGGTGTGTGGAGCCTCGGGGTGGGATGCACCCTTTGTTCTCGGGCAGCCTTGTGTGAGTTGCCAAGGCTCAGACACACCTGAGTTCACATACAGGCTGTATTCCCTACTCTGGGGGCAGCTCACTTCATTTCCATAGGCCTCAGCATCCCTATCTATAAAATGGGAACAGTAATGCCTCCTTGTGGGAAGGATGAAATGTGACAATGCCAGCCCAATGGGACATGTGCAAAGTAGGCCTTCGATAAATGGCAGCTTCGTGCCTGCTCTTCATTCCTCATCCCTCCCTCAGTCTCCTGCTACCCCGCACTTGGGTAAGGACAGGGAACCCAAGAGCATGTCTGAGAAGCTCCCTAGTAATGGAAATGTCAGCAGCAGAAGAAAAAGAGCCAGTGCTGCTTTGACGGCAGTGATGGCGATGAATGATTTATGTCCAGCCTAATGGTTACATAAGCAGCTGTTACATTTTAAAATCATCATGCAAACAATATGAAACATTTATTTAAGTGGTTCTACACTATGGGGAATTTGATTTAATCAGCCTTTATTTCTGTTCTCATTAGAATGAAGTCTGGCAACTCTAGTAGACAGCGCTACCTCCGTTTGGTAGCTTCCAGCTACTGAAAGCAAATATTTTTACTGAGCCACAATTAAACATTTATACAGCACCCGGCTCCCCATCTGGCCTGTGGAGGGGAGGGGGTGAGGCAGTGAATTCATCCAAAAATTCCACACAGAATAAAGCCAGACGCACCCCCGCATCTAACAGAATTAATAAACCATCTGAAGAGCCCATTTGAGAATGAAAAAGTTCACCGATTCATAAAATTTTTCCAATATGCTGTGAGCTGCAGGTAGCCAAGCTGGGGATCCTCGAGGCTGGCTTTTAATCTTTGCTCTTCTGGGCCAAGTGGGGTTTTTGGTTTTGTTTTGAAACAACTTAGACATCATGGGAGATGCTAAGAAGATCCTCTAAAGACAATATGACTTATTTGAAATTCCACCAGAATTTTCATGTATTATATCTCCAAATTCAGGATATGGGTTCCCTTGGGGAGACAAATGGAGAGAGGTACACAAGGGGGTTTTATTGTGTTGGTGATGTTTTATTTCTTACACTAGGTGGTGGTGCATGGATATCTTGTATTAGTCTTTTTATCTGTTTGTGTGTCTTAAATAGTGTATAATAGGAATTGAAAAAAAAAAAACAAGAAAGAAAAAGAAATTCACTGGGTATTAGAGTCAAAAGACCAAAAATCCAATCTTGGCTCTGCCACTATCTTTGTGAAATTTGGACTTGCCTCTTAGCTTTTCAGTTTCCCTATCTATAAAAAGTCAGGACTAGAGCAGTGAGGGTTCTGTGAGGTTTTTGTTTGTTTTTAAGAGCCAGTCACTGAAGTTCGTTTGTTTGAGACAGGGTTGTGCTCTGTCGTCCAGGCTGGAGTGGAGTGGTGTGAACATAGCTCACTGCAGCTTCCACCTCCTGGGCTCAAGCAGTCCTCCCACCTCAACCTCCTGAGCAGCTGGGACTACAGGCACATGCCACCATGCTCAGCTGAGTTTTGGATTTTTGGTAGAGGTAGGGTTTCGTCATGTTGCCCAGGCTAGACTCTAAGTCCTGGACTCAAGCAATCCGCCTGCCCCAGGATAACAGGTGTTCACAGTTAAATTTAAGTCTGGGAAATGCTGCATACTCTTTGTCCTTTGGGAAAATCATAAAATGTTAAAGGTACTGAGAAGTCTTGTGGCAAAGAAGTCTGTTTTGTTATATATCTATTAATATCATGAGGTACTAACATTCTGTAAAATAATCTCTGGGACCTGTTATTCTGTATTATGTCAAAGACCCCTTTAGATTCTAGGTTCTTTAAGGCAACAATTTTTGCCTATTAACGGGGCAATCTTTAACCATCCCTGAAACAGATAAACCAGACACTCCAGCCAATCACTTTCCTCTAGGTTAGCCAGCTGAGCACCTTTCCTTCCTGTTCCAAGTCCCGGCTTCTTGCCCCTGGGCTCATGCTGGCCCCCTCACTGCTGAGTAATTCTTCCTGAGCCAGTCACTGAAGTCCTTGGGTATCTATCTTTCTTTTCTTCTTGTCTCCCCATTCTAGAAGCATAAATTGTCCAGACTGTCTCTTGCTCAGTATGAGACGATAAAGTTGAAGACCTGAGAAGCAGTGTGACAGAGACATAGTCACGCAGCTGTGGGTGGCAGAGTTGAGACCAGAACCAAGTTCCTTTCTCATTGCCCTCAAATGCTTGGTTTTACATCCAGTTTACATTCTGCCCGGTGCATGTACATCCTTGATGCTGTTTTCTTGCTGTTTGTCTATGATGGTTTTGCATGTCTCTCCTGGGAAGACTGTATTCTCCTTCAAGGCACAAGTCACATCTGTGTTTATATAAATTCTAACACTATTCTGAGGACAGCATGGTGCTGAAAACACTCTCAATGCCAAGTTATTGAATGTCCCAGTGGATTCTTCTCCCTGCCAAGTCATCTCAGCTCCAAACACTGCTTCCTGGAGAGATGCAGACACATCATTTTATTCACACAAAGTTGTGTTTAAAACTCCCCTTCAAATGTGGGAGTGATTCAGAAGTCCAGAATAACATTGACCCTAATCAAGTGTTCTTAATTAATTATTCACATTGGAAAAATACGTCTTGGTTCACTGAAACTCTGGAATAACCACACCTACCCAATTTGAGTGAGGAAGACACAACTTGGCAGATGCTATGGTCTCAATGTTTCTATCCTCTCCCAAATTCATATATTGAAATCTAATCATGAAGATGATGGTGTTGGGAGGTGGGGACTTTGGGAAATGATTAGTTCATGAGGCTGGAACCATGGCAAATAGGTCTAGTGCCCTTAGAAAAGAGGCTGCAGAGAGCTGCCTTGTCCCTACCCCTCGGTGAAGACACAGCAAGAAGACGCCATCAGTGAACCAGAAAGCAGGCTCCCACCAGACACCAACTCTTAATCATGGATTTCCCAGCCTTCAGAAATGTGAGAAATACATTTCTATGGTATATAAGGCCAGCTTATGATATTTTGTTATAGCAGCCATAATGGGCCAAGACAGAAGAAAGGTTTTTACTGTGAATTAAAAGAGAGACCACATGATTTCTGGGGAGAAGCCCTTCACACAACCACATGGCGAAACTGGGTGTGAAAGAAACTCCTGCTTTTTAAAGAGCTGCTTTAAATATGCCTTCTGAAAAAGAGTTACCATTTTCTGCTAAATCCTTTTGCAACCAGGAAACAAGAGTGCACCACGGCCAAGGTTTGCCGACATCATAAGTGACTTGAGTTTGCTCCATGGCTGTACATCTTCTCTGGGGACATCCTCAGCAACAACACCCCCTCCAACCCCAAGCTCTTTCCGGGGAGCTGATCCTGAGGCCCACTGTGCTATTGTCCCTGATGCTGATACTTTCCTTCGAGGTGGTTTTTCAAGCAAGGAACATCTGTCCACCAGATGGCAGTGTACCAACAACCCAATCAAATGGCTCCTGCTCAGATCAGGGCTAGACCTCGCTGTCCGGCTGGCAGACCCCAGCCATACGTGGCTATTGAGTCCTTAGAGTGTGAGTAATCTGAATTGAGATATGCTGTAAGGTTAAAATACCCACTGACTTCGAAGACTGAATACAAAGAAGTGGGGTTGGGGGGGAGAAGAAGAAGACGCAGTATTTCATGAATGACTATTTCCTATTGATTACATTTTGAATACTATTTTGAATATACAGTTGACCCTGAACGATGTGGGAGTTAGGAGTGCCAACCACCATGCCGTCAAAATCCTGTGTATAACCTTTGATTCCCCAGAAACTTAACTCCTAATAGCCTGCTGTTGACTGGAAGACTTACCCATAACATAGACAGTTGATTAACACATATTTTATATGTTACATGCATTATACGCTGTATTCTTTTTATTTTTTTTTTTTTTGAGTTGGAGTTTCGCTCTTGTTGCCCAGGCTGGAGTGCAATGGTGCGATTTTGGCTCACTGCAAACTCGGCCTCCCAGGTTCAAGTGATTCTCCTGCCTCAGCTTCCTGAGTAGCTGGGAATATGCTGTATTCTTACAGTAAATGAGGCTAGAGAAAAGAAAATGTTATTACGAGAAATCATAAAGAAGAGAACATATATTTGCTATTTATTAAGTGAAAGTGGATCATCAAAAAGATCATCATCCTCTTTGTTTTCATGTAGAGTGGGCTGAGGAGGAGGCGGAAGAGGAGGGGCTGGCCCTGCTGTCTCAGGGGTGGCAGAGACTGAACAAAAGCCATGTGTAAGCGGACCCACACAGTTCAAACCTGTGTTGTTCAAGCCTCAACTGTATTGGGTTAAATAAAATATCATATTAAAATGGATTTTACCTGGTTCCTTTTTCTTTTCAATGTGGCTATGAAAAAATGTAATGTTACATATGTGGTCTCATTGTGTTTCCGTTGGCCAGAGAAGAGAAACAGTGGGCGGGGAAGGGTCGCACTGGGAAGCTGGGTAGAGCCAGCGGTCACAGTCCCATGCAAAGTGAAAAGAGCATGGCCTTTGGTAAATGACCACCTGGGCTTGAACTGCAGCTCTGTCATTTATTTTGGACTTGTGACTTAATCACTTTAAGTGTTGGTTTCCCCAGCTGTCAGGGGGCATAAACATGCTGCCTTCTCCCATGGATACTGTGAGGGTCAGATGTAGGACAGCCACAAATCATGGCCTGCTCAGGCCTGCGTCCCAATGCAATTATTAACAGCACCTTCTTCAGTTGCAGAATTTTGTCAGTTAAAGCAATGAATTATACAGTTTCCCTGGTGAAATGAGATCACGTATATTAAGCACTTGGTACATCGTAAGTGCACAATTTTATGTCTAAAATGATCATACGACTCAGAGATGGAAGATGGTGACTTTCTCTTCTATAATTTCACATAATTTCTGACTCCAAGCTCCATTTCTGGTTGAAGCAGAAAACTCAGCCTAGTCATTTTCAGATAAATTTGGTTATTTTAGAATTATATTCAAATCCAGAGTTCTATCTTCTTCCTTCTTCCATGGGTAGAGTCTAGACTGGGGGAGTGGTGGCTTATGCAGGTCACAGCATTGGACCGGGAGGGAATATTTGGTGTTTACTTGACTTCCCTTGGCTTCCTTCCTCCACCTCTCTGATTACTTCCTCCCCTGCTGATGGCATCGGGGTCCTGCTGTGGTCCACAGCTCCTCCTCTGCTGTGGAACCCCCAAACCTCACTGGGGTCTTGGCCTCTGCAGCCTCCTAAGGACTGGCCATGTTTTTCCATTTCAGAGGTCAGCACTGGACACTGACTCTGTCTGTCCCCTCTATCTCAGCTCACTTCTTCCATTCACCTGGACAACGACGTTTACACGTTAGGAAGATCTGTTAAATTCACTAACCACGTAGACTTTGCACCTGTTCTGTCCCTTGTTTTTTGCTAAGTTCATGGGATACAGAGACATATAAGAAAGGTTACTGCCCTCAAAGAAAATATCGTCTTAGCGAGGACACTCACTCAAATGGCACGTGAAAAATGATAGCTTCCAGAAAAGAAATGTAAATAGAGGGCTATATGACTGGGGAGGATGAACTGGTTACTTGAGGGCAAGAAAGCCAGGGTTGAGGAACTTGTATGGATAGCTGCTGCTGAGTAGTCTTGAGGGACACCTGGAAATGTGGAGGGATGGTGATCCAGCAGAGAACCCAGTGTGAACAAAGGCTAGGAGGTGGGACGGGCTTTTTGTAGGTACAATGGATCAGTTTGATTGGAGGGAAGGGTGTTAGTGGTGAGGAGGAGACCTCAGGCTGAAAAGTACTCTTAAAGCTCTGAATGGAATGTTGCAGAGTTTGGTTTTGATCCCATGGGCACAGTTTTGAGTAGGGGACTGGATAGGATCTGAATTGTATTTTAAGAACCTTTACCCAGAAGTCACACATAACAGACTGAGGGGGAAGCAGGGAGCCAAGGGAACCCAGTCAGGAGGACTTGAGGAGGCAAGGGCTGGAGAAATGATGGGAAGAGGGTATTTGTTTTGTTTTTTTGAGACAGAGTCTCACTTTGTAGCCCAGGCTGGAGCGCAGTGGTGCAGTCTCAGCTCTGCAACCTCCACCTCCTGGGTTCAAGCAATTTTCCTGCCTCAGCCTCCCCAGTAGCTGGGATTACAGGTGCATGCCACCCTGCCCAGCTAAATTTTGTATTTTTAGTAGAGATGGGGTTTCTCCATGTTGGTCAGGCTGGTCTTGAACTCCTGACCTCAAGTGATCCACCCACCTTGGCCTCCCCAAATGCTGGGATTACAGGCATGAGCCACTGCGCCCAGCCGGGAAGGGGTTATTTGAAGGAAACATTACTGAGGTTGATTTCAGAAGTTTTGGGCACTGATGAGATGTAAAAAATTAAAGGAGGGGTGGAGAAAGGTGATTTTCAGGTTTGGAGTGGGTGGAAAGTGAAAGAGTGGTGCTCATGGAAGAGAGAATTTAACGTGGCAGCACAAAATAAGACTCCTGTGGTGGGCATCAGGAGGCTTATAAGCTGTGTGGTTGCCCAAACGAAGACGTCTAGTGGGCAAGACTGGGTATAAGGAGAGAAGGCCAAGGTGGACAGGTGAATTGGAGAGTCATTTTATTTTAGGAAGTTAGGACTTAGGAAAAGAAGAGAGAGCAAATCAGGTAAATGTATTCGTTGGATTCTCAACAGGAAGCAGATGCTACTCTATGTTCAGGTGATTTGACTCATGATCAAGGTGTCAGTGGCGTATAGAGAAAACACCAGGGGGCATTTAAAACCAGGGCCAGGGCAGCAGAGCTTTTACTATCTGTATACCCACAAAAAAAACAGGGAATGGGGAGTTTACCAGAACCCAGACGACAAGAGGGTTTTGCAGGGTCAGATGCCTTGGGAGGGGCAGTGACTTCTGCCAAGGTGGCCTCACGCAGAAGGGACCAGGTGAATATAGACCCCGTCTCCCATTGGCAGAGAGTGGAGCATTTGGGACAAATGGAAGGTTCCAGCAAAGCAGCCATAGCGTCTACTCTCAGGGAGGAAGAGGCTCACTAATTCCCCAGAAGAGACAGATTTCTGGCTGCTTATTCTTTTACTCAATAACTTTTATTGAGTTTCTTTCTTATTATAAATGTAGTACATGTTCATTGTAGAAAAATTAGAGACTATAGACACGTGAAAATAAGAAATTAAAAGTCAATAGAAATCCCAGTCCTCAGACAAAATGACTGCTTACAAAAATGTGATTATTCTGGACTTTTCTGTTAAAATATATGATTTAGATGTCTTTTTATGTTGGTACATACAAACAGATGTCATTTTGAACAGCTACATTTATATGGAGGCATCACAGTTTATTTAAATAACCCCTCTTAGTGGAGATTCTCATTGAGTTCCACATACTAAATAATACTGCATCCTTCTAACTAAATATTTATACCTCCTTAGGCTCAGTTCCTAGTGGTAGAATTGCTGGGGCAAAAGATACACTCAATTAAAAAGATATTGCACCATATTCTAGCATTAATTTTAAAAAGAGGATATTATTTAAGAGTTAAAGGGTGGATTTCTTTGTTAAACATATCTTAGAAATTTTAGTGAATCTGGGAAAATTACTAAACTTCACTGCCTCAGTTTCCCCATCTGTAAAATGGGGATGATAATAAAACTATGCACCTTACAGGGTTGTTGTTAAGATTAACTTATTTCCTGTTTGCCCCAAGAAATGAGTGCTGGCAGTGAGCTGCACTTTTTTTTTTTCTAGGCAGGAAATGGGTAAAATGAGTTACGGTAAGTATTAAAAAAAATTAGCTGTTACTATTGCCAAATGTCTTCTTACACCGGAGATACTGAGTGGCCTGATCTTCTCCATTTTAAATGCAGAAATGTAGCTTTTTCGTCAAAGACCTTCAACACCAGCTCTGTCGTAGCATTGAGGTGGAAGGGAAGGCCCCTGTGACAAGGCTGAGTTAACAAACCCCTGACCTCCAGCATGGTTTGACCAGGAATGACGAGTCTCTTCAGTGATCATTCCTCCGCATCATTTCTTTAAGCTGACTTCCGGGAGGAGCCGGAAGTGGAGGATCCAGGCCTTCCCTGACTGAGCCTGGAATTTGTGGTTTCTGATTGAGGGCCCGCCCATGAGGGTTAGAGGGGTGGGCTGAGCACTGAGCTGCCCTCATAGCGTTGCCTCCTTGATGGAAGGACTCTCTCCCACCCTGAGATATGACTTGGGGGCCACACCAGCTCTGGCTTCAGCCTCAGGAGTTCAGACCAGATTTAGGAATCCTCCCCAGCCTTCCCAGAGTGAGGCTGGGCGACAAGGAGAGAGGAGAGTGAGAGTGGGCCAGGGGTGGACCTTGGGACATCTGGGAGGTTTCCAGAGGGCTTGTTGTCACTCCTGGAACTGAGTTTGCACCCCTCACTGTGGCCTCCTGACTAGCTTTTCTGGCTCTTGGAGCACCCTTCTCCAATCCCGCTCCCCTCTCCTCCCCAGCAGCCTTCCACAAGGCAAACCTGTTCCTGCCTGAGAGCTGTGCGGTGACTGTGCCCTCTGCCTGGAGTGTTCTTCCTCATGACTTCCCAGGGCTGGCAATTTCATGGCATGGAGACGTCACTCCACAGGGAGGCTCCCCCAGTCACCTCGTCCTCACCTTTATCCACTGGAGAACCTATTGAGTGCCAGGGACTTCTGGGCCCCAGGGATAGAGAGATAATCAAAATAGAAAAAACTCCTGTGGCGCTCATAGCCCAGGGGAGAGGGGCAGACAGCAAACGAGAGAGACACCAGGGAATGATCAGAGAGCTCCTTGGAGACATGAGCCTGGAGGGTTGATAGGACGGTGGGCCTGACACTGGTGTGGACCATGAAGTCAGAAGACTTGTTGCAGACTTGATGTTCCTTCTGAAACTGTTCAGAAAGAAGGAACCAGCCATGTTCCCCGGGGAGGCTAAGCAGTGGTTCTCACCTGGGTGGTGTGTCTTGAGACATTTTTAGTTGTCACGGCTGGGGGTGGGGGGTGCCTCTGGTATCCAGTAGGTAGAGGCCAGGGATATTGCTAAATGTCACAGCACACAGGAGAGTCCCCCCACAGCAAAGAATTATCCCATCCAAAATGTCAGTAGTACCGTTGTAGAAAGTCCTGGGCTGTAGGATTAGGGATCCAAGGATAGGAACACACTGAGGGAAATGTGAGGGACAGGCAGACGGCAAACACAAACACAAAAGCAGGAAGAAATCAGCAGGCAAACCCCTCCCCGGCTTCCTCTATCAGCCCCATCCCCTCACTCAGAAAGAATGAAACAACGTCCTCGTGGGTTATCCCGATTGATTATCATGGCGTCTACTCACAGAAAAAGAGAGAAAAATATATATGACAGGAGATAAAATACTACATTTAAACTTAGCTAAGGTAACAGCATTTATGAATCATGAAAAGTTATGCAGAAACTGAGGTCATCATTGAAAATTCATTCAACAAACATTTGCTGAGCACCTACTACATGCTGGGCATTGGAAGCCTTCCCAACACCTGGAAGAATCTCCTCCCCATTTCCACAGCTTCCTTTTCGCATCACACATAGAAACAAGAAGCCACAGAGTGGGAAAAGCCCAGGTAGATTCAGCACATTTATTTATACCCCAAAGAATACGCATTGAATTTTTAGTTGAAAAGCTCAAGTAGATTTTGATAGAGAAGGGATAGCAAGTAATGATTTCCTTCTTTCAAACACACACACATTTTGTAAGTTCCTGAAACTTGGATCCATTCAATAGTCAACATCTAGCATTAATAGAGTGATAAAAGAAAAACTTCAGCAGAATTAAATTTGAAAGAGTTTAATTGAGCAATGAATGATTTTGAATTGGGCAGCCTCCTGAGCCAGAGTAGACTCAGAGACTCCAGCGCAGCCACGTGGTGGAAAAAGATTTATGGACAGAAAAAGGAAAGTGATGCACAGAGAACAGAAGTGAGGGACAGAAACAGCTGGGTTGGTTATAGCTCAGCATTTGCCCTGTTTGAACATGGTTCAAACAGTTGGCCACATTTGATTGGCCAAAACTCATTGATCGGCACAAGTGTAGGCTACAGTCTGTTTACATCTCTACTTGCTATAGTTCACGATGTGCAGAGAAACCTTTAGGCTGACCTTAAAATATGTAAGGAGGCAGCTTTACGTTAAACTTGATGTAACAATAGACTTTTTCCTAAAAAGCTTCATCGGGTTGATTGCATGTCTCACAGCAGAGGGTACCTTAGATATAAGGGAGAATATTAGATATGACATACAGACCATAGTTTCTTCTCCCTTGCCTGAGGCAGACATTGCTAACTGATTGCAACACTCTTGATTGGATTTACAGAATTCTGGAGCCAGTCTCAGAGTTCTTCCTAAGGCAGGGCTCCTGACACTCCATGCCCATTAATCTTAGTCACTGCGAGGATGAGACATATCTGCCTTCTACATTGACTCTTTGTCACCTTAGGTCACCTCTTTCCCATCTTCAACTTGCTCTGCCTTTTTTTTTTTTTTTTTTTAACTTCCACTCAGGAATGGTAGCAGATACAGTTGGACAAGACCAGGGGAACATGCAGGATTCATAAATGGTTGTGGTTTGCTGATTTCCCCATGTAAGAGAGAAGTGAGTGGCTTCTGAGTGGGTCAATGGCTCCTTCTCACTGTGACAAGGGGAGGCTGGGCTGGTGGAGGAGACCAGTCTGTGCTGAGAGGGAGGCCCTGCCCTCATTCCATGTGGCAGGCCAGGAAGCCAAGGACGCAGTCAGGAGACCATTTTTACATATTTATGTGTAAAAGTCATGTCCAATGTGTGATGCTTTGCAGCTTCCAAAAATCTCTCGCCGTGCTTAATTCCTCGGCCTTCACAACAGTCTGTGACACAGCTACTGGTACCATTCCCATCTTGCAGATGAAGAAACTGAAGCTCAGAGAAGTGCAAGGTCACACCCAGGAGAGAGATGGCTTGATATTTGGGATTTGAGTCCATCTCTTCTGACTCAAGACCTAGTGTTCTTTCTAGTACCACACAGCTGCAGCATTTGCACTGTGACATTTTAATTTTGTGTAGCTATGTTTAGAAAGGTGTCATTATGACCAGAAATGAGCCCACCGAGTGCCAAGGCCAGGCACGATGAGTTTGAAAGTGTCCACTGCAGCTGTGCCTCCTGGCCCCAGCCAGAGGGCCCTGAAAGACCCAGGCCAGGCTTCATCTACCAAGACCCCGCAGTCCTCCGCAATGCAGGTCGGCACAGGAACCAAGGACCTGCCTTGGTCTGCTCTCTGGTGCTCAAGCTAATGTCCTGTGTAGGCCACACACTCGCCGATTTACCCACCATCATTCCTTCCTCCCTTCCTTCATTCACTCATTCAACAGATCTTCACTGAGCACTTACTACGCCCAGCGCTGCTTTAGCACTGAGGATACTGCCTGTGTGCAAAACAGACAACAATCGCCACTGCAGTTTCCATTCCAGAGGGACAGGAGATACACAAATAAAATGAAGGGTATGTCAGATAGTCACGAGGCTGGGTGCCTGGGGCGGCAGGTGTGTGGTGTAAATGAGGGGGTGGGGCTACAGAAGAAAATTTGAATAGGGTGATCAGGGAAGGTCTTGCTGAGAAGGGGGCATTTCAGCAAAGATAAGGATTGAGCCATGTGACCTGGCAGGGAAAAGCATTTCAGGCAGAGGGAACATCTGGTGCAGAGGCCCTGAGGTGAGAGGCAGCAGAGAAAAAGCAAGCTCCCTCACTCTGCACTGCACCCCTGGAGAAAGCTGCATTCTAGTTTTCTCCACCCAAGACAGCACTGCAAGGACCTCCAGGAGGCATTTTGCTGGTTTTTGTTTGTTTTTGTTTCTTCACACTTGTTCCACGATCTTGGGGCAAATCTCCAGAAGTCACATTTCTGGATGAAAGGGTTTGCACGTTTTAAATAGCAGGAGTCACTTCCTGAAACCCTCTCCTATAGCATTTTTCCTCTTTCCCCCTTGGAGGGCCAGATCAATCTCCCCAAATCATTTACCTCTTGCTACTTGAATGTCCAGAGGCCTCAATGGCTGCCTCCTGCCTGCAGGAAAAAAGCTAACATGTTGGACTCACATTCAAGGCTTCCTCCTTCTGTCACCCAAGGCTTCTCCCATCTTTTCTCCTGCTTTTCCCCTATAGAGTCTACTTGCTTCTCCCACAGATGTGCCTGCATGACCTAAAAAAAAATGGAAAGCCAAGGAAGGTCATCTGACTGGTGGGGCCACAAGTCAACTAAACTGTATTGGTGGGCTGGGTAGAGGCTCAGTGGTCACACATCCCTGCAACCCACAGTCCGTTTGTTATGCCTCATCTCTCAACCGTTTGTCCTTTCTTTTCATTGGGTCCAACATTTATTCATTCAGCCAGCATGCACCGTCACTTGCTATGGGCAGGCCCTCTGCTAAGCATGGGGGAACTAGTACTGCCAAACACTAGGCCCCAGCCCTCAAAGTGCACCCTTTCTGGAATCTTCCATAACCCCTCCAACCTCTCTCTCTCCATCTACCCTGGGAGCCTTCCTTGACCAACCCAGAGCCCAGACTGCCCCCTCTTCTGACCTCCACTCACCTACTCACTGACTTTTATTTGGCGCTCGGCATTGGTTTATTGACACTGTTACTTATTATCTTCTAAATAAATCTGTGTTTCATCTCTCCAGCTAGACTGAAGCTAGGAAAGGGCAGAGACTACATCTTATATTAAGTGTCTGCAACCCTCTCTGCACCTAGAAGATTGTCTGGCACCTTGGAGTTGCTTATTAAATATAGATTTGTTGGGGGGATATAATCATGTCTGAATTCTGCTCAAAAAAGAAAAAAAATGTTGATAAAATCCAAATTCCTTAGTGTAGCATTTAAGACCTTTCCTTTAGGATTCCACTAGACATCACCACCTCCAAGAAGCCTTCCAGGTTGACACAGAGCCACTGCCATACACATGTGCACACATGTACACACACAATCTCTCTCTTTCTCTCACTCTCTGTCCCCTGCCTGTCCTCTGTCAGAACATTTGTCTGCACAGTGGATGAGAACTTGGTCTTTGAAGGTACGAACCCCTGGGTTTGAACCATGACTCTGCCACATATTGGCTGTGAGGAAGTCCCCTCATATCTTTGAACCTCAGCTTCCTTATCTGTAAAATGGGCATCATAATGACATTTGCCCCCTAGCGGGGAGAGGAGGTACCATGAAATAAAAGTGAGCAAGTGCTACCAAGGAGCTGTAGCACCTGGCCAGGTCCATGCAAGGCTGCAATCAATTAGCATCGCTTGGATGCAATCATCTTGGCCACATGATATGTCTGGGTGCTCCTTGAGGGCAACATAGAGCTGGCTCTGTTTCCCTCTAAACCTCCAGTACCTGGGAGGGTCTGCAACAGGGAAGGTGCTAAAATCACATTCACTGGGTGGGTGACCATCTATATTTACTTTGATAGAAAATCTGACAAATACAATCATCTCTCATCTCAGAATAGCACTGAATTCCACAGGTGGGGCATGGCTAACAGTAAAAGGCAGGACTCTGGAGTTTCACCTGCGTCTGTGTGGGGCCCTGTTCCACCATCCTCCTAGGCATCTTTGTGCACCTACACTGAGCCAACCTCACAACTCTTCTGACAGATTCACTGAGATTCATTCAGACACCACTGATTTCTTCCTTTTTATCCTGATCCAAATAATTTATATTTTCCCATTATAATTTAATTTTCTCCCTTCCTCCCAAACCAGAGCACATTGCCCACAGAGACATGGGCCATTGTTTGTATTTATAGCTTCCTTATTAATCCTGCCCTGACCTCTGGTGCAGAGCTCAGCCTGGGGAAACAACTTCAGTTCCCTTTCCACAGGGCCTATTTAAAATGCCTTTATTTTAATTGGTCCAAAACAGAAGATGAGCTAAAAAAGAAAAAAAAAAAAGCCAGCCTTCCTATTCCATTTCAGGGTGCAAGAACAACATGCAGGTGCCCCTGCACTATGTCTGCGATCCCCTGTGTGGGGGACCCGGTGCACCCATGCTGTGTCTGCAATACCCTGCATGGGGGACCCAGGTGCACCTGCACTGTGTCTGCGATCTCCTGAGTGGGGGACCTGGTACACCTTCACTGTGTCTGCGATCTCCTGAGTGGGGGACCTGGTACACCTTCACTGTGTCTGCGATCCCCTGTGTGGGGGACCCAGGTGCACCCATGCTATGTCTGCAATCCCCTGAGTGGGGGACCCAGGAGGCCCTGCACTGTGTCTGTGATCCCCTGAGTGGGGGACTCAGGAGGCCCTGCACAGGGCAGGCTGATGAGACGGGATGGCTGGCAGGGGCTCACAGCACTCTGATGGCTTTGCCCAGGATTCCTGATAGTTACACTGGATCTTAGAACAAAATCATATAAAACTGGAAAACACTATGGATTCAGATTTGGCCTTTAGCAAAACACACTTAAAAATGCCAGTCAAATGCTAACAGCTAGCCTCTTAGATATTTACTACTTGTTTTTGAGTATTTACCAGACTTTAGGCACTGATCTAAGTTCTTTCTGGGTATTAACCCCTTGAATGCTCATGACAACCCAGAGGAGAAATACATTATGTTGCCCATTTTACAGGGAAAGACACTGAGGCACACTGAGGGTATGTAACTCAACCAAATTCCTCAGCTCTTAGCAGCACACAGGGCCAGGCCTCGCCCATGTGAATACTTTGTAGAACTGGCATAAGACACCCTGCTGTCGGTGGAATTCCAGGGACCATGGCTTAGTAGAGTGGCACAGGCTGGGCCCCCCTTGTCATCTTGGCCTGGAGCTCTGGAACGGGCCATAAGCCACACAACCCTACATGGCGATCCTGGTGGCAGGGGTGGATTGGAACCCAGACTGCCTCAAGAGCCTGTGCGTGTCACTACTGCACAACCCTGCCTCTGTGAACTTATTCATGGGGTACTGTTTGTTCCCAAGTTACAAGAGCAAAGCCGTGGGATGGAGAAGTGACTTGAACTTGTTGGCTTGCTGAGAGCAACTGGACACATGAGTTCACACCCACATTGCACACATTGTGACCCCAGGTCTAATCCCTGAGGGCAACTTTTTGAGGCCTCAAGACCCTGAAGGCAGGTGGTCCCAGGGGAGTGTCCTGATGGATTTTTGTAAATTATGAACCCACTCCCAGCCAAGGAGGACAGTGGTGACACAGCCAAGTTTGAGATTTCAACTTCAGGAGATGGCATGAGGGCAGAGGAATGGCACAGTCTTGAGCATCAGCCAGACCAGTGTTCACATCCTGGATCTGCCTCTTAGGTCTGTGTGAGCTCGGGTGCATCAGTAATCAGGCTGAGTCTGGAGATGAACAGTCACTGATTGTTGGGTCCCTAGAATAGAGCCTCTCCCCGTACTGCCCCTCCCGCCTCTGCAGCCCTGAGGGTTGCTCACTGGCAAACCCCACCTGCTTGCCCACTTTGCAGTGCCTGGGGAGTGTGTGCTATTGATGGCACCTTTAGAGACCAGGTGTTCCAGGACTGAAATGTTTCCAGAGCAGCCTGACTTTCCCTCCAGCACCTTCCTTCTTCCTTCAAATACCCACGCAAAAAGACCCACCGCCTGACTGAGCCTTCACTCTGCTGCTCTTTTTCTGTGCATTCTTTTTTCTTTTCAGCTAAGGTTTTTTTGACAAGGGCCGCAGTGACAGCAGAGAAAGCGTTCTTCAAGAAGCCAGGGGGTATTTAAAATACAAGTTTTCCTTTATGCCAATAAGAAATACCAAATACCCCAAACCACCACCTTCATTTCACTCAAACTATGCCAATTACTTTCTCTCATCGCCCGAGAAGGATAGGAATGCATTTGGAATTGGACAATTTCCTCTCTGTCTGACACATGGAAAGCAGCTAGGGACAAGTGTGCTTCTGCGAGGTGTTTTTCCCCCTCCTAGTTTGGGGTGCAGGATGATTCTGCTCACGCTCTTGGAAATCACAGACACCTGGCTCCTATTAAATTACATGACAATGAGCTCATTCAGTCAGCCCGTGGTGAGAGCAGATTACAGACCAGGATCTGGCTGAGCCATGGAGATTCCCTGAGGATTAACAGCTTGCATTCAAGCAACTGGTCTCCCTCCAATGGCCCTGCTCTATCTAACTGAGGCTCTTACGAGCCAAGAACTCTTCCATAAACAGTTCTCTGCCAGTCAATAATTTGAATCTCCTTCTATCATCTAGTAACCATCTTTTATCTAACAATTCCCTCCTCCAATTAATGCCATCCACTATTGACTACTGTGGGATTTCAAGATAACATTAACAGCCAAATGACAACAGCTAGCATTTGAGTTTTATCTCATGAGCTACTCTAAATGGTCCACTCATATTACCACCCTTAATCTGTTCTAGAAGCTAAAAACTATTATCCTGCCCAGGTTACAGGTGGGAAAGTTGAGGCTGAGAGAGATTAAGCTATTTGACTTAAGTCACACAGCAGAGTAAGTTGTGCTTCAACAAAGCCCATGCTTTTTGAGGGACACCCCTATAGCTAAGATGCCACCATAGTTTGAAGGTCACTGTCACTACGCCACTGAAGATGAGGTAGTGTTTTGAGCAAACAGTATAATTTACACCCATAAATCCGCTATGACATGTTTGGAACCTGAGCAGGAATGTGACACATTTTCAGATTGGGCACTTGTTCTGTCAATAATGTCCAAGTTTGCCCTGCCCTCAGGAAGCGTGTTGGGTGGTTGGAAGTCAAGACTAGCAAATGTAAAATGATGACAGAAACAACACAAGGCAGATCCTAAAATGTGTTCTGAAATTTATAAATACTGTAGGGCAATGCTTTCCAAAGTGCATTCTATAGAAATGCAGTTCCCTGTAGTATTAACATGTCTTTAAAAAATATTCAACAGTCACAAATATGATAATAGTCTTTGTGTTCAAGGATTGGGATTGTTGGTAAAAATTTCAAACCTCCCTATCTTTACATAGCATTTAAAAAAATTTTTTTGTTACACTTATGGATAGAAGGAAATAAAAGTATCAGCCAAGGCAGACAGTACCCTTACCTTTCTAAATTCCTGCCCATCCTTAGATCTATAAATGTTTCTCCCATTCCCAGCAGCTGCACCCACCTTAGTTGTGGGAAAGCACCTGCAATCCTTGTCTTTCTTGTTACGCAACATGATGGGGCACAGACCCAGCCCTGGGGTCCTTAACCATGGCACGTGCAGCTTCCCCCGCTAGCAGTAGCATGCTGTCACTCTTAACTCGTCTATGGTTAGCTGGTCCGTGGTGTGGACAGGCAAGGGCTGCTGCCCACCATGCGCACCACAGACCCTAGGCTGTTTCCCAGTGTCAGTTCCTCAAAATCACCCCCAAGGCTCCATGCTGCTCTGAGGACTCCATTAGCTGAGGATTTCATAGGCTGAGTATCTTGCGAGCAAGAGAACAGTATGGACTTCTTGGTCTTGAAAGCTGCTGAATGGTGCTGGGTTGAGTCTGAGGAAGCTGATGCCCCCACATCTCTTGGGGTTTTTATTTGGGGTCTCCAGCTTTGGGATCTTCTGTTGACACTCATGGCACAGATTTGGGCCCATGGCCTTGCCTCCTGCCTGGCCTTGGACCTCATGAATGCGGAAGGCCTGGGGTTCTCCAAGCTCTAGGCAGGAAGCAGATTCCTCTCTGTGCAAAGACCCTCCAGGCCTCGGAATGAGGAAGGAGCCTAAGAGGGAGAGGGTGTGAACCTTCTGGGGCCGACATAGGAAGAAGAGAGGGATGCTGATGTGGGAGGAGAAATAAACCGCTTTCCTGGGTATGAGGGCTAGTAAGCTTACTGGCCCCTGCTGAAGGTCTTCCAGGCCATGCTGCCTTGAACAGGCCACTCACCTCTTGTGCCTGAGCCACTTTTTAAATTCAGTAGGTGTAATTATTGCTACCTGCCATTTCTTGTCAAAATCCTTATAATAACCCTGTATGGGTTATTATGTCCATTTTAGAGATGGAAAAACCAAGGCACAGAGCAGTCAAGTAACTTGGCCACATTTACACGACCAATAATGGGTAGGTGATTTGAGGCTGAGTGTGTTGAACTCCAGAGCCCTTGCCCTCAAATGCTATACACACAAGCTCTCCAGCTTACTCTTCATTTATTTGCTCAAAGGGCCAGTCCTCTTTTAACTTCCAGACCCACGGATCCGTGATTTTCCATAAACGTACCCCCAATCTCTCTCCCACCAACTCACTGCTCATGGTGATCCCAATTTCCCTTATATTAGAGCCAAATATTTTTAGAAAATCTTCAATGAAGCTTGTTATCTAGGAGGAAAACATAGTAACTATAAATGCAATTATCAGTTAGCTGGTGTTTTAGACAAACAAGGAACTGAGGAAGTAAAAGAGGAGACAGATAAGTTTTGAGGAAGTGGAAGAGGTGTCTGGCTGAAATGTCAAGCCCGGAGAAACGGGCAGGGGAGAGGTATTCTAGCCCCTAGTCTCTATCTGGATGTGGGACAAATCTTGGTGTTGCCAATCACACAAGGTTTCCATGAGAATCACATGGAAACATGATTGAGCAGGGGCTGGTAACACAGCTGTGGAAAGGGACTGTGAGAGCCAGCCTGGGATGGGAGCTCGTCTGTGATACCACCTGCTCCCCAGCTCAGGGTGCAGGTGTTACCATCACTGGTCCAGGAGACTCCTCATCCAGTCTCACATGGACAAGAAGATCACAGGGGCCTGAACCAATCGTTATGTACCACAGAACTGACTGTCAGAGAACAATGACCACAGACACTAATACTTTTGCCCAAGGAAGGGTCTGCCCAGTTGTGCTTCATTCCAGCTTCCTGGCATGAGGCACCAGGAAAACAAAATGAATCAAGAGAAGCCAGGAGGCCCTGCAAGGATGCCTGAGTCCAGGCTGCTGCTGAGAATCCCTCTTCTCAGCTGGGCACAACGGCTCAGGCTGATAATCCCAGCACTTTGGGAGGCCAAGGTGAGCAGATCACCTGAGGTCAAGAATTCAAGACCAGCCTGGCTAACCTGGCGAAACCCTGTCTCTACTAAAAAATTAAAATATACTAATAATTAACTGGGCATGGTGGTGGTGCCTGCAGTCCCAGCTACTTGGGAGGCTGAGGTAGGAGAATCGCTTGATACCTGGAGGCGGAGGTTACAGTATGCCGAGATTGCACCACTGCACTCCACCCTGGGCAACAGAGCAAGACTTCATCTCAAAAAAAAAAGAAAAGAAAATCCCTTTTCTCTCTGTGGCTGGAGGTAAAGCAGCATAATTTTGCAGGGCAATTTGGCATATGTATTATTTAATCCATATTTCTTTCATTTATCAGAATATCAAAAACCATTTATGCCTGGTTGAATCCACTTCTGGGAGTCTATCCCAAGGAAACAATCAAAATTACAGAAATACCTGTCTGCATCAAGATGTTCCATGCAGCTTTATTTATGTGCTGGAGAACCGGAAGTCATCTTTATGTTTAATAATTGGGAGATGCTTAAGTAAACTGTAGTCTGTCTACTATCCAAATAATGTCATGAATCCTTTGTATTAGTAAGGAAAAAATCATAATGCGATAATAAATTAAAAATGGAAAGGTAAAAAACTTCACGCAGTCCTGATAGATTGCAAAAATGGCCACAATATTTTGTAGTTCCTCCATCAAGAAATAAACTTTCTTTACCCCACTGAGTCTGGGCTAGCCTCATGATCTGCTTGGACCAATCAAATGCTTGTAAGTGACAGTGTGAGTTTCAAGCTTGGACCTCTAGAGGACTTGCAGCTTCTGCTTTCCCTACTGCTTCTGCATCTTGTCACCATGAGAACAGGCTCGTCTAGCCTGCTGAGAAACACATGGCATAGTCACTAGCCTGTCACCCATGATAGCCAGGCAACCACCTGACACAAGGGAGGCCCCTGGGACCGACTGACTGCAAGTACATGAGTGATCCTAGCTGAGATCAGCCTAGCCCAGCCCAGAAGAACCACTCAGCAGAATCCTGAGCATCTGGTGCCACTACATTTTGAGGCTGCTTGTTACACAGCAATGGATAACCAATACAACAGCCTATGATGATAACTATGTACAGAAAAACCATTTACAAAGGGAAAAAAAAATCTTGGAAAAAAATTTATAAATGCACATAGTACATTTATTAAATGGTAGAATTATAGATGATTTTTTATTAGTTTCCAATTTTTAAGACTGTGCTTAAGCTATTTACACTGATAAATAAATGCACATTTTAAAAACTAAAACCTGAAGCTTAATTTTCCTCTCTGGAGAGTTCTAATTCAAACCTCTCTGGCATGTTTGTGTTCAGAGTTAGGACCTCATTATAATCCCCTGCCTCCTGCCCACAAGAGATGCAGGAGGAGACTTAAGCCATGTGCTCTAGTGCAGGACCAAGACAGTGGTTTCTGGAGGGCGGTCCTCAGCCCCACTCTGCTTCTTCCCCACAGGCTCTGAAGTGGGAAGCTTAGGAGCTGTTTTCTACTACAATATGCAGCTCCCCTCTGTGAATCCCTCTGGTATGCAGTGCAGGTGGCTCCACACCAGGAGTCACTCTTTAATTGCTTCACTGTGTTCAAAGAGCTCCTCAACCAAAGCCGGCGTAGTAGGAGGAATCTGGCATTTGGAGTGTAAAGGCCTGAGCTCAAACTATAGTTCGGTTCTTCCTGGCTTCTGCATTCATTTCTTGGGCACCTGCTATGCATTAGGGCCTGAGCTATGCCTGAACATTCAGAGATAAGCTGACCACGGCTTCCATCCCAGAGGAGCACTTGGCCTTGGGAAGGAGACCTATACACTCAAAAGCCACTGTCCTCCAAAGTTAGGATGGCCACTTCATTTACTCAAACTAGGGCACATTTGAGAGTAAAAGGAGATGACAGGAGTAAACAGGGCCTTTCCATGGCTGATGGGGACCTGTGGTCATGCTGCCTACAGCCCCATCCCTCTGTATGGGGTCATAGTCAAGATGTACAGTCTAGCACACAAAAGGACTTTAAACAAATTCAGAAGAAAGTCACTGCTTTTCCATAAACACATAAAAGAAGATCATGTTCACAATTCTCAGTTATGTTTCTCGTATTTTTCCTCTGCTCTTGAATCTTTCCTAACTGAATCTGCTCCAAAATCCCATACATGTCAAACTAGGAAAACTTTTCTAGGACATCTGGCCCACGTGGAGTTTCTTTCTATCTTTCTGTCACCCCCTCCCTTTCTGGCTCTTATCTCTGGTACCTCTCTGCCTCCTGCCTTTCCAGCTCTAGCTCTCTCTACCCATTCTCCAAAGGGACAAATGAGAGAGGGAGGAGAACTGAGAGCCAAAGTACAATTTGGGAGGTGGTGTAAATCAGTCTTACCAATCATGTTCCTGGCACGCATATAGATAAATCATATAGTGGGTTAAATCCAAAGATGGAACAGGCGTACGTGAACGAGGGGCACCTAATTCAGCACCCCTTAATAAATAATAATTGAACTGTGACTTAAATGCTCTGTGACAGTGAAATCACCTAACTTTCCTGAGCCTCAAAGTTCTCTTCTGAAAAATGAGTGAAATAATGAATTACATGAATGAAGAATAAGTAAATGAATGACACTGTGGCAGCCGTGGCCAGCTGACCAACAAGGTGTGGTGCTTTCCCCCTGCCTCCATCCCAAGAGTGTGATACTCATGCTGAGAAGCCACTGAGCCTTCAGGGGCTACATTTCCCAGACTCCCTTGCAGCTGGGCAGACCACATGACTAGTCCTCACCAATGGGATGTAAGGATCAGTAACGTATGTCACTTCCAGGCCAATGTGTCTGTGTATCAGATGTTCAATGATTCACATGCTCTCTCTGCCTCTCCTGCTCCCAGTCTACCTGCTGGATAACTCCAGGGGGACCTCAAGGCCACAGGATGGTGCAGCCACAGATGGAAGAAGCCTGGTTCCCCCAGCAACCACCTAGAGGACAGCCTCCCAAGCAGGAACATCCATATTGGACTTCCCACGAGTTAGAAATGCCCTGTTATTGTATAATACCATTAAAACCTTGGGGTGGTTGCGGCAGTTAGTCCATCGTGGCTAATTCACCTCCCTCTCAGAGTTGTTATATAGATTGAATAAGATGAGTATAGTGACTTGAATGGGGTCCCCACAAAAGATATGTCCATGTCCAAATTTCTGGTACCTTGAATATGATCTTATTAGGAAAAAAAGAGTCTTTGTAGACATTATTAAACAAAGGATCTTGAGCTCTTCTTTGATTACCTGGGTGGGCCCTAAATCCAACAGTAAGTATCTTTATCAGAGACAGGAGAGAAGAAGCCACTGACAGAGCAGGAGAAGGCCACATGAAGACAGAGGCAGAGCCTGGAGTGCTGCAGCCACAAGCCAAGGAGTGCCTGCCACTACCAGAAGCTGGAAAAGGCAAGGAAGGATTTTCCCCTTAGAGCCTTTGGAGGGAGCACGGGCCTGCTGACAGCTTGATTTTGAACTTCTGGCCTCCAGAGCTGTGAGGAAATACATTTCTGTTGCTTTAAACCACCCACCCAGTTTGTAGTGATTTGTGTCACAGCAACTCTATGAAAGTACCGTAGGGAGCCATGTGCCAGGCCTAGTGCAGGGCCTGGCATGAAGAAGGCACTCAGTAAATTATGAGGGATTTTTTTTTTTTTTTTGACAGAGTCTCAACGTCACTCAAGCTAAAGTGCAGTGGCGAAATCACGGCTTACTGCAGCCTTGACTTCCTGGGCTCAAGCCATCCTCCCACCTCAGCCTCTCAAGTAGCTGGGACCACAGGCATGCGCCACCATGCCTGGCTCATTAAAAGAAATTGTAGAGATGGGGTCTCACTATGTTGCCCAGGCTGGTCTAGAACTCCTGGGCTCAAGCAATCTTCTCGTCTTGGCTTCCCAAACTGCTGGGATTATAGACATGAGCCACCGTGCCCAGATTAAATGCTGATTTTTAAAAAATCAGTCCTTTTATGCTCCTTCACTTCCCTCCTTAGAGACAGAGTCTTCTGGGAGATGGTGCTCTGCTGAGAACTCCCAGAGAAGATTCTAGTGAAGTTCATAATAATATTCACTCTGAGTGTAAATGTAGACCTTGAGCTTTGCAGGAGCAATCTTATTATTTATGGATTACAGACATACATTTTCATTAATGTGTAACAAAAGGGGATTAAAAAGCCTCTCTCTGCAGTGTGTCTTTGTAAATGCCCACAGGAAGTAGCTCCTGGGACTGCCAGCCCTGTAGGCAGCTGAAGAATCTGTCTCAGGCACAAGGTCCTGGCTCAGAGAGAGTCTCTGGCTCAGGATTAGCAAGGCGTGTTAGGAGGGCTATTCTGAGTCCCACCCCAGGCTGAGGTCCAAGGATGGTAGGGGAGCCCTCTTCAGAGCTGCCTGAGTCAGGCTATGATGGAGGGAACAGGGAAACTTAAGGCTCCAGAGATACCTATCCAATATCACTAGTTACATGTGGCTATTTCCATTTACATTAATTAAGGTTAAAAGTTTAGTTCTCCACTTACACTGTTCACATTTAAGTGCTCAACAGCCATAGGTAGCTAGTGGCTATTGTATCGAATGGCTTAAAGTTATAGAACATTTCCACCACCACAGAAAGTTCTGTTTGGACCACACTGCTCAGACAAGAAGGAATGGGGGTTTCGGCTCTAAGGTACTAACATCATGACCTTGGACAAGAAATGCTGTGTTTCCACCTCAGTGTCCCCATCTATAAAATTAGGATAACCACAGTAACCACTTCAAAGGGTCAGGATCAAATGAGATACTGCAGTTCAAGTACTTAGCACAGTTCTTGGCACATGTTGGTGATCAGTAATTGAGAGTTCTCACTAGTGGAGAAATATTCTACAAAGAGGAATGATATGGCTAGGCTCTGTGTCCCCACCCAAATCTCATCTTGAATTGTAATACCCAGGTGTTGAGGGAGGGACCTGGTGGGGGGTGATTGGATCATGGGGGAAGTCTCCCCCATGCTGTTCTCATGATAGTAAGGGAGTTCTCATGAGATCTGATGGTCTTATAAATGGTAATTTCCCCTGGGCTTCTCTCTCTTTTTCCTGCCACCTTGTGAAGAGGTGCCTGCTTCCCCTTCTCCTTCCTCCGTGATTGTAAGTTTCCTGAGGCCTCCCTAGCCATGCAGAACTGTGAGTCAATTAAACCTCTGGTGCTTATAAATTACCCAGTCTTGGGTAGTATCTTTATAGCAGTGTGAAAACGGACTAATGCAAGGAATAAGGCAAGAATATGGCATAGGAGTCAGGAAGCATGGACTCCTGGCTGGGTTCTGGCACTCACGAGAGGCTGTCGAGACAGGCCTGAATTCCAATCCCTGGTCTAACAAAGCTATGTGGCTTTGGGCAAATCACTGCACCTGTCTGAGCTCACATGGCTCACCAACAGAACAGAGGTGTGTATTTTATCAGATCCTATGCTTCCAGAAAAAGAGAAGAGGCAGAGGCTTTTAATGGCTAATATTCTTTGGCTCTGATCATGCTTTTAGGAACCTGTTGGAAGGAAATAATCAGAGAGGTGAGCAAAGATGACATGAACAGATCATCACTGGAGAGTAGTTTATAATAGCAAAACCTGGAAAATAGCTTAAATGTCTCAGAAGAGGAAATAGTAAAACATTTTATGACATATCTATATGATGGACTATTATAGGGCCATGAAGTACTGGTATTTTGAAAAGCAATATTACATAAATGGGGAAAGTGTTTCTATTTAAAATAAGAACACATTTTAAATTGTATAGTATATTCCTAAGTTTGTTTTTAGAAAGGATTTGTATCAATCTTTAGAACATAATCCACTAATATTTTGACTGTGGTTTCCTCAGGATATTGAATCTTGATTGATTTTTATTTTCCCCCTTTTTTACTTTTCTGTATTATCAAGTTCTCTATGACTTACCTCTATTACTTTGTAAATAGAAAACATTACTCAAGGACAAAGTGGTCATGTAGGCCTGTTATAGAAACCCCTGTTTACCAGGCCTCTGGTTTAATAAAATGCGACTAGAGTGACTCCATATTGAAGTGAGCAGGCAGGCATTCACAAAGCGTGTTTAAGGTTAATGCTAATGGTCTGAAAATAGCCAAATTCTAAGCTGACCACCACTTATAATTATGTAATATTTATGGCCATACAGAGCATCTCCCAGCAAGCCTGTACAATGTCCGGATATCTTAAGAGTACAGCCAATTTTACTTAAAGATAACATCGGTTAGCAGGCTTAGGGTAAAAGATTCATGGTCATTGATAACACCAATAGCCCTTACCTTTGGTAAGCACATCTACACATTCCAAGTGTAGAGCTCCTTCTAATTTCTTGCAAGTAGACACACTCACAAAGGATGGCATGCTCCTCCTCCTGCTGAGGATGCCCTACTCTGTAACAAAGTAGTTTCCAATAAACTTGCTTCTTTCGCTGTCCTCTGTGACTCTCCTTGAATTATTTCCTGCGTGAGATCCAAGAATCCACTCTAGGTGTCTGGATCAGGACCCTCTTTTCCAGCAACAAGCCTAGATGACCTCTAAGGGCCCTTAGAGGGCTGACATTCTATGGCTCAGCAAAGAAAGTTTACAGAATAACCTGTTTATAATCTCAAAACCCCCTGCCCATGCTGAGAGGCTGGGAGGGATTGGGGTGGGGCATTCAGCCCCTGGAGCCGGTCCTGACCTGAACCACTTAGAGCAGCTGATGAAGATTGGGCCTCTGAATCTTGCCAGAGAAAAAGGACAGTTAGAATGGTCTAAAACAGGGGCTTCTTATTTATTCCTGATCACAATTTGGGACAAATAAAATATTTCACTTCCAATGAACATATAAAGGACTGTACAATCTTGCTAGTAATCTAAAGAAAGCAAATTTAAAAACAGATGAAAGAGTTTTCACCTAGCCAAAAGACACATATTTCCAAATTTAAGAGTGTTAAGAATTGGTGATTATGTGTGAAATTAACCAGTCTCCTCTACCAGCAGTGAGTACAAGAATTGGTATCGGTATTCTGGTAAAAGGTGTGAAATATATACCAAAATCTTAAAAATGTAGAAACCTTTTGCCCTAGAATTTTGGCTTGGAGGTCCAGTCTTTATTCTAGGGAAATAACAAAAAGTGTGCAAACATTCGTAAACCAAAAATAAAATTTTAAGGTCCTCCCAACCATCTGAATGGATCCCTTCTCTCACCAGGGCATTCCAAAAGTAACCTGAAAAACTGGTTCAGGTCATGATGGAAAGAGGGGTCCAGATATGCCTCATTATGCCCTCCTCCCTTTTGGATTTCAGGAAAAGCTGACCAGCATTTAACGTCAACACAAACCTTAAGTCTGATAAGAAACATCTACAATCTATTCTCTCTGAAGCCTGCTTCCTGGAGGCTTCATCTGCATCATAAAACTTCAGTCTCCACAACCTCTTATTATAACCCCAACATCCCTTTCTATAGATTATAACTCTTTCAACCAATTGCCAATCAGAAAATGTTTAAATCTACCTATAACCTGGCAGCCCCCTCTTCAAGTTGTCCCACCTTTCTGGACTGAACCAAGCCATCTCTTAAATGTATTTGATTGATGTCTCCCAAAAATGTATAAAACCAAGATGTGCCCTGACCACCTTGGGCACATATTCTCAAGGTCTCCTGAGGGCTGCATCATGGGCCATTGGTCACTCATATTTGGCTTAGAATAAATATCTTCAAATATTTTACAGAGTTTGACTCTTTTCATCAACCTATTTTATGCAAAGAATATTTAATGAGGCACTGTTTATGGAACCTGAGTTTCCTGAGCTCTTACCAGCCTGGGGCTCCAAATTAGCCACATAAAATTTGACTTACAAATGTTTAGAGTCCCTACCTACATACCTTTCAGACCCCTACAAATATTTCTGGGGGATTTGCAGGGAGTCCCCATGTGCTCAAGCCCTCTTTTTTTGCTCTTACCTAGTTTTCCTGTCCCAAAGCCACATACACAGGGAGATGGACTGATATCTATGTAAGCCCCTCCTGACCCCTCCTCACTCTCTAGCTGGCTCTGCCCTGGAAACTGATCACTGGGGACTGCAGCAACAAGCTCTTTGTCTGTCTACCAGTTGGATTCAACCAAAGGAGATCAGGTGTCTGCAGAAGGGTCTGTACGCCAAAAATAGAATGCTAAGCCGCTTGATTGACTGAATGGATCCCACCTCTTGGCCAAGGGGATTTCAAAGAAACCTGAAAAACTAGTTCAGGCCATAATGGGGAGGGGATGTTGGACATGCCTCTTAATAAAATACCTTCCTCCCTTTGGTATTCAGGCACAACTTACCAGCATTAACATTAAAACAGAGGTCTTAAGATGACAAACAGACTCTTTGTAGTAATAAATACCAAATTCCAACCTGACTGTAGTATAGCATCACATGACAGATAGCAGGCTCTGAAAGAAACAAGTATTTTAACCCCAAACTATATTTATTTGACATATTTTGAAATAGTCCTGCAAAGTTGTCATTTGTGGGGAAAATCTACATTCTGCAGAGACTCCCCTTCCCTTTCTAAGTCTTTTTCTCATCCCAGAGAGATTTAACTAAGAGTCTAATCAGACCTTCTAAGGTCTGGTAAGAGACATTTATCATTTATTCTTTCTGAAGCCTGCTACCTGGAGGCTTCATCTATATAATAATAACCTTAGTTTCCATAACCCCCCTTCGTGGTTCTTTCTGTTGACTTCAACTCTTTAGGCAAAACTTAATTATTTCAACCAATTGCTATTCAGGAAATCTTTGAATCCACCTTTGAATCTTTGAATCCACCAGGAAATCTTTGAATCCATCCCCATTTGAGATGTCCTGCCTTTCTGGGCTGAACCAATGTAAATCTTATGTGTATTCATTGATGTCTGCCTGTAGCTTCTGTCTCCTTAACATTTATAAAATCAAGCTGTAATTCAACCACCATGGACACATGTTCTCAGAACTTTCTGAAGCCTTGTCACAGGTCATGGTCCTCACATTTGGCTCAGAACAAATCTCTTCAAATAATTTGCAGAGTTTGGCTTTTTCATCAACACATTCCAGGAGAGTGAGCATAGCAGTCCATTCCCCAGTTCCTTCCCTGAGGGTCTCCCCAGGCTGGGAGCATCCCCTCTCAAGAAGATTCTCCTGCTGATCCTGGACAGAGCTCCCTTCCCTCAGCCCTCAACCAACATTGCGAGCCCCTAGGTCACTGTTCCCTGTGGTTTCCTATAACCTGTCCACACCTTCATTCCTAATACCTCCTCAGGTTTCCCAGTTGAAGTGTATCCTCTAAAGTGGTGTGCTGGCAAAACAGCTCTCCAAAAAGACAAAAGCCCTGATGTGTATTGTTTGTAGATTTCCACAGTATAGCTACTCCCATCACTGTGGTGGATTTTCAGCTCCTGATGGTTGAACACTTGGCTTGCAAAGGCTCTCACGGTGCCAGTGTGAGCCAGCTGCAGCACACCTAGGGACACCGATTCACACAGGAGTCTACCTTTGCTGCAGCTATTTTAGATGATAATGATGGCCATTATCTGTCAGGGCCACTGCCCAAGGCCACAGCTAAGCAGAAGTGGAAACACCCTCTTCGTAGGTCCCAAAGTGGCATTTCTTGTGTTCTGAGTCCCACAAGCCCTAACAACAGCTTTCTCTCTCTTGCTCTCTCTCACTCACTAAGGCTCAAGTCAGGCCTGGGACAGGGTTGAGCAATTGCCAACCTGTCACCATCTCCCACTTCTATGATGTTGCCATCTCTATCCACCTGTTCTGGTCCCCAAACTTTGTGCTTATAGATACAGTCTCCCTTATACCTGTCCATTCATGAAAAATGACATCTGGGCATGGGTGTGGTTCAGGGGTAGAGAATAAAACAGGTCTGCCCATAGCAGAGGCGGACTCTGCCTTCCGCTAAACACAAACAAGCATGCAGGGAAGCAAGTACCCTTCTTAAATATCTGACAACATGGCTTTGATGAAATCTATCCCGACTTAGCCATAACCTAGAAAACTGTATAGCCTTTCTAGAAAAATGTTTTTGAAATGCTCAGCATCACTAATCATCAGAGAAATGCAAATTAAACCACAATGAGATGTCACCTCGTACCAGTCAGAATAGCTATTACTAAAAAGTAAAAAAATAACAGATGCTGGCAAGGCTGCAGAGAAAAGGGAATGCTTTTACACTGTTGGTGGAAATATAAATTAATTTAGCCCCTGTGGAAAGCACTTTGGAGATTTCTTAAATAACTAAAAATAGAACCATCATTTGACCCAGCAATCCCACTGCTGGATGCATACACAAAGGAAAATAAAGTATTCTACCATAAAGAGACCTGCACTTGTACATTTATTGCCGCACTATTCACAATAGCAAAGGTGTGGAAACAACCTTGGTGCCCAACAACAGCAGATTAGATAAAGACAGTGTGCTACGTATACACCTTGGAATATTACACAGCCATAACAAAGGATGAAATCATGTCCTTTACAGCAAGATGGATACAGCTGGAGGCCATTATGCTAAGCAAATTAATGCGGAAACAGAAAACCAAATATCACATGTTCTCACTTCTAAGTGGGAGCTAATCCCCGGGTAGACACAGACATAAAGACAGGAATAATAGATACTGGGGACTCCAAAAGGAAGGAGGGAGTGGGGCAAAGGCTGAAAATCTTCTTTTTGGGTACTATGTTCACTCTATCAGTGATGGGATCAATAGAAGCTCAAACGTCAGCATCACGCATTACACCCTCACAACAAACCTGCACGTGTATCCCCCGAATCTATAATTAAAATTCAAGAAAGAAAAGTGTTTTATGTACAACTGTGAAACTATAATATATCAATTTAAAGAAGAAAAATGTTTCATGGCATGGGAAAATGATTATAATATTCTGTTATGTAAAAAAGCGAGAGATTTTTTTTCCCGAAAACCAAAGCACGATGACAACAAAACCGCAAGATCTTTGTTTATTCCTCCTGGCGCTAGAGATGCGGCAGTGAATAAGAACGGTTCCAGTCCCTGATTTTAGAGAGCTTACCCTTGGGTTAGGAGACATGTTAATGGAGGATGCACATGAATAAATGTTAAATTACAGGCGGAGGAAGTGTTCTGCAGAAGAGGCATGCGGTGCTCCCAGCATGCGGAAGCAGAGCTTCCGCCTGGCCCAGGAGGCGCGGAGAGTGGCTAAGGGGCTGGGGGCGAGGGAAGGCCCCAGCGGGGAGTCCTGTGGAAGAGGAAGAGCTGGCCAGGAGGCAAGGACAGAGGAGACATGTGCCATGGAAGGAGAGGGCACATGCTTCCTTTATGTGTGTTGAAAAGGCCACCACCACTCTTACAGCAACTCTCTCTGAGCAGTGAGGCTAACACTGTACCTCATCTTCTCCCTGCACTTCCACATCATGCCACTTTCCCACAGAGCTGGGATGATTTGCACTAAGGAAAAAGCATTTTTTTAAAAAAACCAACCTTACCACACAGACAGACAGCAGGGCTGTTTATTTATTTATGCTCCTCTTTGTCTCAAAGAGGATTTTCAAGGTGCTTACAATTATGTTAACAGCATGGCAGGATAAAGGAAGAAAAATCAGGCCAAGGGAAAATATGGTGAAAAGAGTCAGAGGAAAAAGGAGTGAGTATCACCCTACACAGCAGGGAACAACTTTACCATGTTTTTTGTCGTGTCTTGTTGTGTGACCATTTAATTGTAATATCGGCATTTACTTTTGCTGTTGTTATACTTTGTCATCTCAACTCTACTAAAAAACCTCCCACCGTTATTTCCTCTGCCTTTTATTACTGTCTCTCATTTAAAACACATCTTTCACTTTCTGTTCTGTATTTTTGTAGTTGAGGAAATCTGGCATCGCTTTTCTGCAGTGAAGGGACCGTGTCTGAGTCACCTCGGCACAGTGGTGTATCCAGAGCCTCTGCATAGCAAGTGCTGGGATGTCTGTGAACGCACAGCTTCGCTAGGACTGAGAGTGACTAACACCCATCCCTGCAGCACTCAGAGAGGCACACACAGGGGCTCAAGACTCAGTTGCCAATTTGATTTATGGGACTTATTATCCCAAGTGTCAGCAGAGAGGAGATATTGATTCAGAAAGACTTAAATAAACAAGCAGGTGCATAATCCAGAGAGGGGTACAGACTGAGCTGAGGGTGTCTGGAAAGCAGTGGAAGCAGACATCATGAAGAAACCTGGGGTCTCTTGAAAACTGCTCCCAAGGGAGTCATGGGGTGACAGAGGGGCAGGGACGGGCTGTGGAGTCAGCGGGCACAGGTGCACTCCAGGCTCCATCACATCACACGCTAGGGGCGTGACCTTGGGAAAATCACTTTGCCTTGTGCTTTTACAGAAAGAACAAGGCCTTTTGTGGGGGATTGTGGAGAGGAATGTCCATGTGTATGTGTATGTGTATGTATTGCATATCTATGTGGTCATTCCCTGGTACATAGTAGGTGCTTCATAAACAAAAATACCCTCCCATATCACTGCCCTTCTATTCCATTTGTGCCATAGTGTGTGACCTAAGAGTAGATAAAGCACTTTTTTTGTTTGTTTGTTTTGGTTTAGATGGAGTCTCACTCTGTCGCCCAGGCTGGAGTACAGTGGCTCAATCTCAGCTCACTGCGACCTCCGCCTCCTGGATTCAAGTGATTTTCATGCCTCGGCTTCCCAGAATAGCTGGGATTATAGGCACCTGCCATCGTGCCCAGCTAATTTTTGTATTTTTAGTAGAAACGGGGTTTCGCCATGTTGGCCAGGCTGGTCTCGAACTACTGGCCTCAAATGAACCGCCTGCCTTGGTCTCGAAAAGTGCTAGGATTACAGGCATGAGCCACCATGCCCTACCTAGATAAAGCATTTCTAAACTCTCCTGTAACACTCCATATAGCAATCTCAGGTGTTTTAATTCTCACTGGTTTAATCCTACCACTATCACCAGCAACTGTAACAGTCCCCCTTTGAAATCACTTGCAAGTGTGTTCCAGTTACTATGACTGCATAACAAATTACCCCAAAACGCAGGGGCATGAAACATTAGTTTTTTTCTTCTCGTGGATTTTGTGGCTCTGGAATTCAGAGAGAGCACAGAGCAGGTGGGCTGTCTCTGCTCCACATTCTCTGAGGCCTCAGCTGGGAGGCTGGCAGGCTGGGGGCTGGAACTGTCTGCAGGCTTGTTCTCTCCCATGCCCGGTGAGATTTGCTAGCTGTTGGCTGAGATCTGAGCTGAGGCTGTCAGCTGGAGCACGGGGCCTCGGCTTCCTACAACATGGTGGCTGGTTCCCAGGTACATGTCCCGAGAGCGTGTGGGGGGAACTCGAGCCCCCGTCTATGACTTAGCCTTGAACATCGTGCTGTGTCCTTCTACCATATTCTACTATTGAGGCCCTTACGAAGCTCCACCCAGGGTGAAGGGGAAGAGACATCAATGCCCCTCTTGATGGTGGAGTGTTGATGCCACACTGTGAAAAGGGCACATGGAATGGGAAGTATTTGGTGTGACCATCTTTGGAAAGGACAATCTCCATACTATGTGTCAGGTAGCTTAGGTGATCTCTCATTCCTCAAAAACACTGAGGGGCTAGGTATAATTATCTCTATTTTAGAGACAGACAAACTGAAGCTTAGAGAGGCAAAGTAACTTGCTTGGGCAATTTATTTCACCTCTCTGAGGCTCAGTTACTCCCTCTATCAAATGGGTAGAAAAATCTCCACCTCAGTGGTCTATTGTGAGCCTATTGTGCTAGTACCTTAAGAAGCTGTTGGAAGAGTCAGAGAAGATATTTTGTGATCTCTGACACCCCGTACTAATGCAAACCGTCAATATTTATTGTTGCAGCATTGTTATTTTCTTGCCCTCCACCTGTAGCCATCTGTCACACACAACCCCGCAGCCAGCAAAGGACCTGGGTTTTCACCCACAAACCCTCGAGGACAGGGCTTGTCAATGCCTTTTGGTTGTGGCTCATTTAGGGGGAGCAGAAGACCCCACGGCCCCCCTTCCCTGTTTGTTCCCACCTTCCCTTGGGAAGAATGCTAAAGTTTGTTTATGATTTCCAAATAATATGTAGCCCTTAATAACTTATTCAGAGTATCACGAGCAAGGAGCCCTTCGGTTATACTCATAAATGGCAGCCTGTTGCACTGTGTATCTCTCCCCCAGGGAAGCAGGAGGGGGGCCTGGCATTTCTGGATTAGCCCCAGGAGGACTTTTCCTGCTTCTGAGTGGACAGAGGATCATCCTTGGAAAATTGCTCTTCTGAGATTGAATTCCAGATCCTACATCCCTCTGTCAATCTGCCTGCAAGGTCTGAAGCTGGTCTTAGACCCTCTGGTGCTATGGTGCCCATTAAACAGACACTGTAGTCTCCTGTTAATAAGATTCAATTAGGAAAGGGGTGGAGAAGGGCACTCACCGCCTGAGAGTGTGTCAGGGAGGCCTGAGTGGCTGCCTTCATTTCGCGCCTGCTGGAGGCAGGAGGGAGGAAGGTGGTGAGCTCGCTCAGCAGGGAAGGCCAGGCTGCACCCACCTCCCTGGGGGCTGGGGAAACTCAGGGTGACCTCCAGAGCCTCAGGTGGCAGCTTACTGTATGATCGAGGTGATTTTTAATGTCTCAGAGCAGCCCCAGGGTCATCAGAGACAGACCAAGCTGTGCCATCTGGAAGGGCCAGCTTCGAATCTAGTTCTGGCCCCTAGGGTTGCACCAGTGACTTCAAGCCTCCAAGTCTCAGTTTCAGGTTCTTTGATTCTTGGGTCAAGTGAAGGGTGGAGATAAGCTGCCTTCTACCACCACGCCTGATACTTAGGAAAGCCCCAATATCTGGGATTGTTTTTGTTGTTTTGTTGAAAATATATATATATATATATATATTTGTTTTTTTTTTTTGAGACGGGGTCTCGCTCTGTTCAGGCTAGAGTGCAGTGGCACAATCTTGACTCACTGCAACCTCCGCCTCCCAGGTTCAAGCGATTCTCCTGCCTCAGCCTCCCAAGTAGCTGGGACCACAGGCATGCACCACTATGCCCGACTAATTTTTGTATTTTTAGTAGAGATGGGGTTTCGCCATGTTGCCCAGGATGGTCTCAAACTCCTGGGCTTGAGCAATCCATCTACCTTGGCATCCCAAAGTGCTGGGATTATGGGCGTGGGCCACTGTGCCTGCCCTTTGTTGCTGATTTTTAATCCTTACTTCCACTTTACAGATGAAGAAGCAGAGATCTAAAAGCATGTTTTTTGCCTGCAAATGCTGACATTCACTTGTCTTATTGCTAGGAAGAAATCTCTGTACTTTCGCGGTCTCTGGGAGGGCCCCTGGTGAGCAGACTGTCCCTGGACCTGGTTGGAAGCAGTTGTGGAGCTCTCACTACTCCCAGCTTCAGCTCAGTTGGTCCTTAAAAAGTCAGTTCTCTCCCCTTGCCATAAATCCCCACCGTCTCTAACTCCCATCACTACCCTAAAGCAAAGTAGGTTTTAAAAATGCCAGTAACACAAGTGAGAAAACTGAGGTCATTTAACGATAAGTTTGGGAGTAAAACCAAAAACAAAAAAGGAAACTGAGGCCCAGAGAGGTGCCATAACTTGCTCAGGGTCACACAGCACGTAAGTGCCAAAGGCAGGGAGCTGTAGCTGCTCCAGCGTGGATATGCCAGGGACTAGTGACAAGCCCAACCCCTCCAGCCCAACTCCACCCTTCCTCATGCCAACAAAAGGAGAATCATTTCCTATTTCTGGCATCTTTGCCAGCCCACAGAGACAGAGAGAAGAAGAAATATTTCCAAATATACCAGGCTGATCTTTCGTAGTTTCTCAGTCTTGCTGTCTGTTGTTGTTTGAAATCTGTTTCCCACGAGACTCTGGGAAGATGGAGGTGCAGGGCTTGGGTAACAGCTGCCTTCCTCAGGGCTGGGTACCTGCTCTCCGAGTCTGTGTCTCCAGGCTGTGTGCTCAGACTTGACCATGTTTGGGCATGGAGGCTTGCCCCAGATGGGGACCAAAAGCTGCTTCCCTGGAGACGGGCGGGGAGGCCAAACTTCCTGCTGAAGCTCTGTGGCCTCTTTTGGGGTGGGGGCGGGGGTCCAGGCAGAAAGAAACTGTCTGCTGCTCAAGACCCACAGGACGCCGGGAAGACTGTGAGTACCGGGCCTGAAAGCACTTGGGAAGTGATTTCTCTGAAGACCGGGCTGGAGGGAGACAGGGGAAAGCAGCCTGCCACGGGGCAGGGAGGGAGGCAGGCAGGAGGACTCCCTTCCTCTCGGGGCTGTCCTTCTGGATGGAGGGCCCGTGGTCTGGTGGCCAGTGGGGAGGGTGGCACAGTGGCCAGGTTACTCTGGTAGTAAGCGCCCTGGCCCTCTAGGTCCCAGTTCTCAGAGTGGCCAGAAGGCTGCAGCCTGGAGATTAACACCAATGCTGGCACTTGTCACCGGTAGAGAGGTGGGACAAAAATAGATTCATCAAGAGGGGTCCAGACTTCTGCTCCAAACTTTCAGGGTTTCCTTCGTTAGTAGTAATAGCTAATATTTACTGGGGGCTGATTTGGGGCTAGGTGCTATGATACATGTCTGATACTCAATATGGCATTTGATCTTTAGCTGAACTCTCTGAGGCAGGTACCATGGTTCTCGTTTCACAGTCATGTGGTTGCTAAGTGTAAGTGGCAGAGCCAGGATTTGATTCCATGTCTGAGGACCTCAGAATCGCCCTGTCCACACCCCACCAAACTGTTCAACAATGTACTCTATTCCTTGTCCTTCTAAGGAAAAGGATGTCGACCCAGCTATCAGGTCACCCAGGACACTCCAAAGTCCTGCCTTCCTTTGTCCTTCTCCATCTTCTCTGAATCTATCCCAGATCTCAAGTGACCTTTCTAAATGGGAAGATATATCCTGGAACTTCAGAGATATTTAGAAATGCTCAAAACTGGGAAGTTCTTCTTACAGTCTAACTGAAATCCCTCCTATGATAGCTGAAACCCACTTCTTCCTTTTCTTTCTGTCCCTTGGGGGATATTGACAGTTCCCATCCTTCCTCCCGCCAAAGGTTCTCCCTTTGGATGCTGAATACTAACTTCTTGCTGAAGTCATATCTACACTGAACCCCACGCATGGTCTTAGGAGGATTTATCATGACTCTATAAACTCACTCAGTGCAGGCAACAATCTCATCAGACCATTAGAGACGGGTCAGACCTGAATAAGCCAAGTTTCCAGACTTCTCTGTGACAGGGAAGCCTCTCCTTTCCTTTCCTTCTGAGCTCCTAAAACTGGTAAAACCAGGTTCCTGCCTTCACCAGCCTCAGGAGTGCCCAGGGGCCTGAGAGGGCACTAGAAGCCAAATAGCAGAGGAGGCCATGGCCCTGGGCGCTGGGGGGGGCTGATTAGCCAGGAAGGAGCCACAGGAAGCCCCCACAGGTGCGATCCAGTTCCCCCAGGAGAGAAATGGCTTTGTTGTGGGCACTCAGCCCTAGGCTTCCAAGATGGGATTTCCCATTGGCTTCAAATGATTTATGTCTCACAGTATCTGGGGTGGGGCCAAGTGCCAGTGACCCTTGCAGGTCCTGGGGAAGCAGGCTGTTGGGGCTTTTAGCTTACCTCCAGGTGATTCTGTTGCTTTACCTGTGAATACATGGAGAGTCTTGTTCAACTGACGCCAGGTAGAAAAAGGCATGGGCTCTCCCATTCCCACAAGATCACAGAACAGGAGGAAAAGGATTGAATAAAAAGAGTTGAATAAAACATCTCTCTTTGTCGGGGGCAATTTCTGCTTGCTTGTGCTTTTATAATGTCTCCATTAGAATGCAGGAGAAACTCACCTCCTGGTGCCAAATAAAGGAGAAAAAGTTGTCATTGGATGTCACCTCTGCCGATCGATAGGGGAGGTGGACCAGCTCACTGGGAAGGTGTGATGGGTATCCGTGGTGCCTGACCCTGGTCTCTTCCCTTTAGCGGAGATGCCCGGGTATGAGGGCAGCCTGGCTAAGGGGAGGGAGTCAAGAATCTCTGAATATTTGAAACAGTCTAGTAGTTAAGAGACGCCTGAGCAGAAAATAGAGCACTTTGCAGAAAATCTCTTTGGACTAAGGCCTGTCACCCGGACACTGGCTAATTAAACAAACAAAAACCATAATATGTTTATTACTTTAGGGACCTGGCAAGGAGAATAAAGTCCCCCTGATATCTGGCTAAAATTTCCCCTAAATTCCCCTAAAATTTCCCCTAAAATGGAGGATTACATTGATAGCTTCCTGGTATTTTTGGTAGAAATGGACTCTGGTTACTTTAAACAAATAAAAACAACAGCAAATAAATTTACCAGAGGCTCTAGGACAGCTTGCGGAACCATGGGAAATCACGCGGGGACCATGGCTGGGCATCTCTGTGGCTCCAGGCGGCATAGATTGAGGGGCTGTTTCTTGAAGTCTTTGTCAAGACTCACACTCCTGGGGGAGCGATCAGGAGCCTAGCAGGGGAGGGTGGAATCTTTGCTTGCATTGGGGTGGAGTCAATGTCCAGGGGAAAAACAAGGAGTTGCTGCCTAAAGAAAGAGGAGAGAAGGAAAGCAACCACCAGCAGAATGTGCCCATTCTGCTTTGTCCCAGGTGGCTTCAAGCCCTGAAATAAGAAAGCAGTCGCTGAGGCCACCATGATGCCTTCTTTCTTCTTTCTTTGCTTGAAGTAGGGGAATGTTCCTTACAAAAAAAAAAAACACCGGAATATGGTAAACCTCCTGCCTCTCCTGACAACCTGCAGCTGCCTTCTGGGGCCCTCCTCTCCTTTCCCTGCCTGTGCCCGGCCCAGCTAGCCCTGCCACAGAACTGTTTCTGGGCAGAAATACTCCAAGTATCCCTGTGAGATAAGTGCCGTGGAAGGAGGTGCATGGATGATGCACATGTACTGCTCGCTCACCGCATGGGACCTATGACTGTTGTAGCAAATGATCATAAACCTGACGGCCTCAAACGACAGAAATTTCACCAGAAGTCCAAAATCACCAAGGTGTCTGCAGGCTGCACTCCCTGCAGTGGCCGTGGGGGATGAGCCATTGTTCCTTGCCCCCGCCAGCTTCTGACGCACTCCTTGGCCTGTGGTCACATCACTCTAATTGCTGTCTCCCTGGTCATATCACCTTAGCTTTCTCATCTGTTTAATCTCCCTTCACTTCCCTCTTATTAGGACCCTTGGGATTACATTTAGGAGCTACATGGATAATCCAATATTGTCTCCCCATTTCAAGAGCCTTTATCTTTTTTTGTTTTTTGTTTTTTTTTTTGACGGAGTCTTGCTTTGTTGCCCAGGCTGGAGTGCAGTGGCGCATCTCTGCTCACTGCAAGCTCCGCCTCCTGGGTTCATGCCATTCTCCTGCCTCAGCCTCCCCTGTAGCTGGGACTACTGGCTCCCACGACCACACCCGGCTAATTTTTTGTATTTTTTTTTTTTAGTAGAGATGGGGTTTCACCATGTTAGCCAGGATGGTCTTGATCTCCTGACCTCATGATCCGCCCACCTCGGTCTCCGAAAGTGCTGGGATTTCAGGCATGAGCCACCGCACCTGGCCTTCAAGAGCCTTTATCTTAATCATTTCTGCAAAGTCATTGCCACATAAAGTAACATTGATAGCTTCCAGAGACTAGAACATAGACATCTTGGGGGGCCATTACTGAGCCTATTACATACTGTGTGACCTAGGGCAAGTCACTTTACCTCTCTGAGCCGTAGGTCTTTTATCTGCAATTGCCTCTCAATTGCACAGGGAAGGCTTACATGGGGTCCAAAAAGCAAGACTTCTGGAAGTTGCAAAGCTCCAAATATAAACAAGAGTGATATTAATAGTTGAGTACCTTCCCCTCTCACCTGTCCTCTCTTTCTGTGGATCACCTGTGAACTGGGCTGATCTCACTTCTGTTTGCTTCTGTGGACCTAGAAATGATCACTGCCCCCAGTGAATATGGTGAAGAAGCTGGTGATGGCCCAGAAGCGGGGAGAGACACGAGCCCTTTGCCTGGGTGTAACCATGGTGGTGTGTGCCGTCATCACCTACTACATCCTGGTCACGACTGTGCTGCCCCTCTACCAGAAAAGGTACTGAGCTCTCCCGGCCTGCCCACCCCCCAACCCTCTCCTAAGGGTCTGGCATCTGTAAGGAACCCTGGCCTTCTACTCACCCCTCTCCTTGACCCTCATTCAAGGCAGCAGGGTCAAGACGATGCTCATTCTTAGGTTCTAGGGTTCAAGTGCAGGGAAGGTAGGATGAACTGAGCCCCACTGGTCTGAGATTCTAGGACCTGGTGGTAACAGACACATGATCTAGGACGTGGTGGTAACAGACACATGATGCCCTTCTCAGAAGAAATAGCAAAGAATCAGAGCAAAGGTTCCAGTGCAAGTTTGATCCCAGGAGGAATCAGAGAATTGCAGATGTTTACAGCTCAGCTGCATAATTCTCTCCCCTCTGAAGCCTCCCTGTCAGGTGGGCATCCAGCCTCCTGATGAATACCTCAAGAGACGGGGAGCTCCTTGCCTCACTGAACATACATTTCATGTTTGAGGTTTTCTGATGTGTCTGCATTGAGCCAGCATCTGCTTCCCTGAAGTTCTGCTCAGGAATCTCAGAGAATGGTCCATGCCCTTGCTCCATGACATATCAACCACTTGAGATTTTAAGGAAAAGCTGTGAATTCCTAATTCGTGTTCTATTTGGAACAAAGACACTCAGTTCCCCCAGCCTGTCCTTAGGATAAGTCTCAGACCTGTGCTCTGGGCACGTTCCAGCAGCTGACAGCCCCCTTCTGACTGGCAATGGGTCTCCCACAGGATACTTGGGAGTTGAAGCACAACTGATTTACTAATATGTTGATGAACCTGTTAGCCTCTCCCGGGCCTGCTGCAGCCTCACTCTTCACAACGCTGAAGCGATTCCAGGCTGGACTCTTAATCTGGTGAAGCACCATCTAGAGACTGTCCCCACCATCTTTCCCATCCTGGCTCAACTCAAACCCCTTCTACATCTGCTCCTTTTAGGGGAAAGAACACAGCTCTCCAACCCACTCAGACCTAGCTTCAGGTCCTGCAAGGTCTCAGCAAAGTCACTTGACCTTTCTGAGTTTCTCTTCTGCCTCTGCAAAATGAAGACGATATGGATAAGAAAGTCTCAGGTTTGGCTGCTCGTCAGAATCACATCAGGGAGCTTTGAAAAAACACCCAGGGCCTGGGCCAAACCACCCAAGAAGTTCTGATTCACTTGCTCTGGGGTGTAGCTTGGACACGGGAATCTTTTTAGAAGCTCCCCAGGTTGTTGCAAGAGTAGCCAAGGTTGAGAACCAGTCATATAGATAATGTCTAAGACCCCATCCAGCTTCTACAATTCCTCCCTGTGTCCGGGGACTGTGGGGTCATGTGCCTTTATTGCTGGATGCTGAAGACAAGATGAGGATCCCAGTCCTGGATCCCTCTAGAGGCTCCCAGGGGATAATGGGTTCAAATGGGTGTTCTGTGTGTCACCCAGTTCTGAGATGTGTATGTGTGCATGTGTGTGGTCTCCTCAGCGTGTGGACCCAGGAATCCAAGTGCCACCTGATTGAGACCAACATCAGGGACCAGGAGGAGCTGAAGGGCAAGAAGGTGCCCCAGTACCCATGCCTGTGGGTCAACGTGTCAGCTGCCGGCAGGTGGGCTGTGCTGTACCACACGGAGGACACTCGGGACCAGAACCAGCAGGTACTGAACTGGAGGGATGGGGACACATCCCTTTATCCCTGTCAGGTGTGTGAGCCTGTTCCTAACTGTCCCTGTCCCCGAGGCTGAGAAAGATCAACCCACTTGACCAGGTCTCACAGCTGGAATGAGACTGAGCCAGCCCTAGCTCTTCTGTGTTGGAGTCACACAGACCTGGGTTTGAATCTGCCGCTAACTGGCTGTGTAAACATAGGCAGGCCACTTAGCCTCTCACCTCCTCAGTTTCCACCCTTGTAAAGTGGAATGCTAATGCTGCACCTTGAAGAGCTGTTATCAAGTCAGAGACGCTGTATATAAAGTGCCACGCTTGATGCTGAGTGGATAGTGGGCACTCAAACAAAAGCAGTGATTAGTGTTAGTACTTTCATTCTACAACCTCAGTCAAATGAGGGACCAGGCCCAGGGCCAGATCCTCAAAGTGGAATCCCGGTGACTCCCCAGGAAACCAGGGACTCAGGGCTGGAGTAACCTCCATAAACAAACATTTAGATGGTTTTTCCATCCTTGCATCCCAACATCCCACCCTCCCCCTCCAAAACACAAAACTCACCACCATATCCTTTCCTAAAGCGATCAGTTGGCCCATATTCTGTCTCTCTTCCTTCCTTCTTTCTTTCCTTCTTTTTTCCCTTTCTTCCCTCCTTCTTTCTTTTCTTTTTTTTCCCCTCCCTCCTTCCCTCCCTCTCTCCCTCCCTTCCTTCCTTCCTTCCTTCCTTCCTTGTTTCCTTCTTTCCTCCTCTCATTTATTTATTCAACAGCCATTGAGCACCTCCTGTGTCAAGCCTGTAGGACTCAAGAGGAGAGAGCTCATGCATGAACAGTGCCTAGCAGGGAAGAATTGGCACCGGGGAGAAGAACAGAGGAAGTTACAGGGGTTAGAGGAGGGGGATGTTTTCCAGCTGACAATGATGGGGGTATCAGAAAGGCTCTTGGTGAGATTGCACCATTGCACTCCAGCCTGGCAACAAGAGTGAAACTCCATCTCAAAAAAAAAAAAAAAAAAAAGAAAGGCTCTTGGATTAGGCTTTTAACATCAGGCAGGCGCAGGATGCAAGGCATAGAGAATGAGGTGATATAGGAAGCGGGTATGCCTATAGGACGAGGCATGGCGGAGGGAAGGGCTAGGTGGAGACAGGGATCAGAGGGCTGACTACAGAAAATGACCCATGATGGGGTGTATGCAGCTGGAAAAGGCTGTCAGGGCAGACTAAGGTCTGTTCCCAGAGGCCTTTGATCACCACAATATGGAATTAAAATGTGAGTGTGTATGTCTCAAGATATGTCAACTTTGGCTATGCATTAGAACCCTGTAAGAGTCTTAAAAAACAAAACTAGGGTCCAACACTAGACATATCAAGGTGGAATCTCTGGTCAGAGATCCATTCATGGAGCTCCCAAGGTGATTCTAAGGTTGGAAATTATTGCTGTTGGCAATGGGAATCTTTAGGGCATGATCAGAGTTTCAGAGTTGGGCTGGGAAGATGGAGCCTACAGGTGTGTGGGTCCAGTTACTAGACAGAGGAGCCAAGGCCGCAGCAAGCACTCACGACCAAGATGTGGCCTGCAGCAGGGGAGATGCTGACAGTCCGGACTTGATGGCTGATGGGACGGGAAGGGGCAGGGTGCCTGGGATGGGGCGTGGAGGCTGGGGGATCTTGAGAGTGCTGAAGGTCAATGAGAAGTGGGTCTGGGCAGTGCAGGATGGTCAGGTGTTCTGTCATCGCTAGTATGACTCGGCCCCACCCGGTGGAGAGAGGTCTCAGGGCCCACTGGAGGCAGCTCCTACCCATGACCCCTGCCTCTGCGTTGGCATTCAGTAGCCCTTGATTTATCCCAATGCAAGAAACAAATTTTCAATAACTGGTAACATTCTCCGGGAGTGATATGGGCCAGAGCAGGCTGGTTTTCAGGCTGCCTCCCTGGTCCTGAGATTGCCAGCTCAGAGGAGCATCCCCTGAATGAACTGTCAGCAGGATGTGAAGGAAGGACATGCTGGAGCCACTGCTGTCCTCTCCCCTGCCGCCCAGGCTTGACCAGGTGTGGTGCTGATAGCAGGCTGCAGGAGCTGGGAGGAAGCAGTGGAAATGCCCTTCGTGTTTTTGCCAAGCAGCTGGGTTGTGGGCTAGCTGCTCCTTCCGCCTATGTCCATCATAGGGGTTCAAGTGGCTGGGGCTCCAGGCTAGCTGGGTGTCCTCTGGAATCACTGTGAAGGGCCAAGAAGACTCTCATCCCACCCTCCAACTCTGAAGGTAGGGGCCATAGTCTGCCCTCAGCTTTTCCTGTGAGTCTTAGCCTGGAGCAGGTGAGTTCTAAATTCCCTCCCATTGTCTGTCCTGGGGACCTTACACTGCAGGGCTTGGGAAAAAGCTGGTTGGTTTCAGATCATTCAGATAACTCAGGCTTAGCTGGACCCAGGACAGGAGAGAAAGGATGCATTCAGGCCCCGGCTTCTGGGTTTGGCCATGAAGAGTGAATTCCTGCCCAGTGTCTTGCCAAACAGGCCCAGCATAAAAGATCCAGAGGAACCCTGAGCAGGCAGAGGATACACTAGGCCCAGGATGGACAGAAGCCTCTACTTCAGAGCTCATCCATAGACCTCTTTTTAAGAAGGTAAAGAAGGAGCTGTTGTTGCAATTTCATAGATAAGTCAAAACATATTATTATTAATAATAGCATCTTCCACTTTTTTGAGTTCTTATCGTGTGCTGGGCTTCTGTGCTCAGTGCTTTACATGCATCATCTCATTTAATCCCCATGACAGTTCTCCTAGGCAGGTAGCCTCACAAACCCATTTTACAAGGCCCAGTGAGGTTGTGGCAGTTGCCAAGGTCACACAGCTCAGAACTCAGGCCTGTCTGACTCCATAGCCACACTGCTATTTAAGGAGCTAGGTTAGCCAAGGTCACAGTCAGAGGCATTGGAGAGACTCAGGCCAGGCCCCCTCACCGTCAGCTCAGGATGCTGGATTATATGCTACTGAGGACCTGGCAGTGTCCAACAGCTCTGAATGCCAGATTCCTGAGGAGCCAGCGTCTCCCCAGCCTCAGCTACTCCCTGGCTGGCTGGGGCCCTAGATCTGAGTGCAGCATCTGCATTTCCCAGGCTGTGAGAACTACAGTGCAACCCTCCTCTGTGTTGCTGGAGTGAATGCCCTCAGGGCAGGCAGCTTCCAGGGTGGCACCTCATATAAATCCAGGGAGTGGCCGAGGCCTGCAAGGAATCTGGCTCAACACCTGCCATTTGGGTCTCAGTTTTACACATTTTGATCTTGCACATGATTTCACTAGGGCAAAATTAAGTGCATGAAGGAATCACACATTCCTGGGTCTCGCCCTCAGTGATGCAGAGTGGGTAGGGACCTGGGCTATGGGGGCCCTGTAGGTATTCTGCTGCAGATGGGGGCACCACACTTGCAGCTCAGAACAGAGATAAAACCAGATAAAACTCCGCTTTATGACTGCTTTGCATCACTTTCCAGCTGGCCTCATCTGAACAGGGCAGAAAGTTCCTAATAACAATAATCAACGTCAGAATTAAATGTGTGTCATGCTCTGCTGGCACAAAACTCTTTTCAATGCATTCTTTCTTTCCTTTGGATCCCAGTGTCAAATACCCGCTTGCCAACATAGTTTGTTTGCTGTACACAGGTTGAAACTGCAAAGGTTTTCAATTTTAAATTTAGCTAATATTTTACTTTTTTTTTTTTTTTGAAATGGGATCTCGCTTTGTTGCCTTACCTGGAGTGTAGTTGCGAGATCATAGCTCACTGCAGCCTCCAACTCCTGGGCTCAGGTGATCCTCCCACCTCAGTCTCCTGTGTAGCTGGGACTACAGGTACACCACCATGCCCACCTGGATAATTTTTAACTTTTTTTGTAGAGATAAAGTCTTGCTATGTTGCCTAGGCTAGTCTCGAACTCCTGGGCTCAAGGGATCCTTCCCCTTCGGCTTCCCAAAGTGTTAGGATTACAGGTGTGATCTGGTTTCTAACTTCTCTTAAAGTGTTGGAGGTCTGGCTATTATAGATCTTCTGGATGGCCTGACATCCATTGCCTGGAGGGAGTGGTGACTGCCTGTCTGGAGGCAGCTGGCTCTCTCCCTATTGACAGGCCCTGCCACACCCTGGCAATTCTTCCTGGCACCAAGGCAAGAGTCAGTGGGCACCTGTCATCTCATTGCTTTGCCTGCTTCACCCTCTGACAATACCTTCATGAGCCCTGTAGGCAATTGAGCACATGATCTCGATTTCAAATACACAGCCCACTTGGCCTGTGTCCCTCCCTGGTTTCCTTAGATAGCTCTGTGTGAAGTCCTTCTTTCATAATATCCTTTGAAACCGATATTCACCCATTTAAGTGATGAAGCTTCAGGGCTCAGAAAGAGTGAGAAATTTGCCAAAAATTCTACAGCCAATCCAAGCAGAGCCAGGACTCCAAGGTAGGACCTGCGCCCAGGTGTGTAGCCTGTACCCCGAGCAGCTCCAGCACCGCCATCCACACACAAGACACAAATGAGAGCGTGCTCTCCAGACCTGTACAGCGCATGGCCTGCCAAGCTTTAGACCAAAGCCCCGACTCCAATCCAGGGGCCCGACTACAAAGCTGGTATTTTTCTTTACTCCATATCAAGCCCTTGGCTAAGAAATGGGGATTTCCAAGCCCACAGCTGCTCTTGTTTCTCCCCACAGTGCTCCTACATCCCAGGCAGCGTGGACAATTACCAGACGGCCCGGGCCGACGTGGAGAAGGTCAGAGCCAAATTCCAAGAGCAGCAGGTCTTCTACTGCTTCTCCGCACCTCGGGGGAACGAAACCAGCGTCCTATTCCAGCGCCTCTACGGGCCCCAGGCCCTCCTCTTCTCCCTCTTCTGGCCCACCTTCCTGCTGACCGGTGGCCTCCTCATTATCGCCATGGTGAAGAGCAACCAGTACCTGTCCATCCTGGCGGCCCAGAAGTAGAGCCATCCATCCATGCCATACCACTTGTCAGGGCACAGGGGACTGGCTGGGCCCCCAGGGCTGCTCCCCACTTGCAGCACAATGCCTTCTCCACCTGCCCTCCCACTCTTCCAGTCCAATCCACGCTGTCTTCTGTTGCAGGACTAACCTTTGAGAAATCCTTTTGTGAAGTCATTGCCTGCTCAAGAATGTACAGTGGCTCCCCAATGCCTTGGAGGCCATAAGGCCAGCCAGTTCTAGCTCTCTATTACCTGTCCCCACTCAACTGACTCATACCTGTTTCCGGCTGCATCACTATGTGCCCCACAGAGAACGATGATCGTCACCTCTGTGCCTGAGTTCTCCCTGTTGTCTCAAAGCGGTACCCATCCTCCCCCAGAAGCTGTCCCCAGCGAGCCTCCCTTCTTTGTTTGAATTCTCTAATAAGAGCAACAGCAGCTCCCATTTCTAGAACACATTTACAGTATTACTATTTTCTAGGATATAAAGTGCCATATATATTTTTAATTCCAATATTAATAAATGTATGCCAAACAACAATCAGCTGCAAGGAAACACATGAGAACTCATCAAAATTTTAGCGGTGGGATGGTGGTTAATTTCTGTTTTCTTCCTTATCCCCTTTTTATTTTTGCTGCTTTTCTAAATTTTTGATTATAGGAAGGGTGTGTTTCGTTTGCTTTTAATCAGAAAAGCCATGGTAGATGCCATTTTGGAAAAGTTGAAAGAGTGTGTCCCCCTCACAGAAAAAGATGGAAGTGGGTCTGGGGACGGAGTTGGGTTCCAGTCAGAGACAGGCCATTCAGAACACACAATCTTAAAAACCCCTCTGGGCCGGGCGCGGTGGCTCACTCCTGTAATCCCAGCACTTTGGGAGGCCGAGGCTGGTGGATCACGAGGTCAGGAGATCAAGACCATCCTGGCTAACATGGTGAAACCCCGTCTCTACTAAAAATACAAAAAATTAGCCAGGCGTGGTGGTGGGCACCTGTGGTCCCAGCTACTCAGGAGGCTGAGGCAGGAGAATGGCGTGAACCCGGGGTTCGGAGCTTGCAGTGAGCCGAGATTGTGCCACTGCACTCCAGCCTGGTGATAGAACAAGACTCCGTCTCAAAAAAAAAACAAAAAACAAAAAATGAAAAACAACCCTCTGGAGGAAAGGTCATGATATAGAGGAGGATTTGTTATTTAAATTGAGGGTATGGACTCTGGCACTGAGCCTGCTGGGGAAGCCTATCTCAGATTTGAAAAGGGCAAAATGGGAAGAAGCCATCACCTTTACCATTCCCACTCCAGGAAGTTTTCCTAGAACGATGACTGTCCAAGTGTGGTCCCTGGGCCAGCAGCATCAGGATCCTGTGGCAGCTTGTGAGAAATGCACACTCTCAGGCCCCTGTCCCAGCCCCACCACGCCAGAAGCCCTGCACGGGGTGGGGGTAGCAATGTTCTGTGTTCTAACAATGCGTAGGGGATTCTGTGGCACACCTCGAGCCAGAGAACTACCGGTGTAGGAAGTGAGCGTCCTGTCGCGAGGATTTTCAGAGCAGGTGAGTGACCATTCGGCAGGGCCAGTCCTGAGCTGGGTGTGAAGTTAGGCTGGTGTCTGAAGTTTCTTCCAGTGTTGTGAGTCCAAGATGCAGATCTTGGGTTTGAATCCTGTCTCTACTCTGCCCGATTTCATCTCTTTGATTCTTAGTTTTTTCATCTATAAAAGAAGGACTCTTTCTGGATAGTTGGGAGGGCTGAAGGAATGTTTGACACATCATAGGTGTTTAAAATGGCAACTATAGTTTTTTTTGTTTGTTTTGTGTGTGTGTTTTTTTCTTAACTTTCATTTTAAGTTGCAGGGTACACGTTCAGGTTTGTTACATAGGTACACTTGTGTCAAGGGAGTTTGTTGTGCAGATTATTTCATCACCCAGGTATTAAGTCTAGTACCCATTATTAAAGAAAATGTGGTACGTATACGTCATGGAATATTATGCAGCCATAAAAAGGAAGGAGATCATGTCCTTTGCAGGGACATGGATGGAGCTGGAGGCCAAATATTATCCTTAGCAAACTAACACAGGGACACAAAACTAAATACTGTATATTCTCACTTATAAGTGGGAGCTAAATGATGAAAACACATGGACACAAAGAGGGGAACAACACACACTGAGGCCTATTGGAGGGCGGGAGGTAGGAGGAGGGAGAGGATCAGGGAAAAAGAGCTATTGTTAGTAACAAGAAAAAGTCGGCCGGGCGTGGTGGCTCACACCTGTAATCCCAGCACTTTGGGAGGCCGAGGTGGGCAGATCACGAGGTCAGGAGATCGAGACCATCCTGGCTAACACGGTGAAACCCTGTCTCTACTAAAAAATAGAAAAAATCATAGCCGGGCGTGGTGGTAGCCGCCTGTAGTCCCAGCTGCTCAGGAGGCTGAGGCAGAAGAATGGCGTGAACCCGGGAGGCGGAGCTTGCAGTGAGCCGAGATCGCGCCACGGCACTCCAGCCTGGGTAACAGAGCAAGACTCTGTCTCAAAAAAAAAAAAAAAAAAAAAAAAAAAAGAATAAGTCATGAATACTCAGAAACTTCCAGAAGTTATACTGACAATGTTATCTGGCATGTATGGGTGCTTATTTATTCTGTGCCAGGCACTGTACTAATTAGTTTGCCTTGGAAAAAAAAATGAGATACTCCTGAACCTGCCTCACAGATGATGAGAAGCAACAGAGGACAGTGGCTAAGTATGTGGACTTGGGATGTGCACTGTTTGGGTTCAAATTCCAGCTGTGCTGTTCACAAGCTGGGTGACTTTGGACGAATAACCTTTCTGTGCCTGTTTCCTCGTTTGCAAAACGAAACTGATAATAGTATCTTTCCATAGAGTTTTGGCATGAAACAAATTTTTATGTAAATTTCCTAGGATAGTGACATATGGTAAGTGCTATCTAAGTTACTATGAAAAACTGAGGCTGTAAGAGGTAACTGGCCAAGGCCATCTGTAAAGTGAGGGGCTAGGACTCAAGCCTGGAGCTGTGTGTTCCAGTACCTGGCATCTCAACCACAGAACTCAGCAGAGCCAGCTGTGAAGGGCTGAGGGACAGAGCCAGCTGTGAAGGGCTGAGGGGCAGAGCCAGCTGTGAAGGGCTGAGGGGCAGAGCCAGCTGTGAAGGGCTGAGGGACACAGCCACTCAAAGCCACAGGGGCCAGGCAGGGAGCTGCGTTGCATCCCTGGAACCCAGGTGCCCTCATGCAGGTTGGAGTTCTGAGGGGAGGCCCTGGCATCTGCACCAGCATCTGCCAATTCCAGCCAGGGAGCCCAGAGGTATCCCTGTGGCCTCCAGTTTCTTACCTGGTGGACCTTCCTTCCAAAGGCAGGCAGCTCATCATTCCCTGGAATTTTTTCCTTCTGGGGTCAGGGAAGTCTCAAAGGTCCTCATGTGAGTCTTTTAAGAAAGTCTTAATTGTAATATTGTACTATAGTTTTGCAAAATATTAAATATTACCATTGGGGACATTAGGTAGAGGGGGCACGGAATGTCTCTGTATTATTTCGTAAAGCTTCATGTGAATCTACAATTATCTCAAAAATTTAAGTTAAAAAAGGAAGAAAAATAAGAAAGGAAGTCCCAACTTGGAGTCTGATTTAAAGGGTCTATTTTGTCAATGGTTTCCATGCACCTGAATTTGGGACTAAAATACACAGAAACTCAGAATACCCAAACAATCCCTGCAGGGGAAAAGGCCATGTTCCTCTAGAAAAATTAGTATGTGAGGATGCCTAACCCCCACTGTCCCATAAATTATTAATGATGACCTTCATTTGCTTGAGATAGATGTTCTCCTCCTGTCAATAAAGACTGGCCTTCTAGCAAATGCCACAACTGTCTGCTGCTCACAGAACTTTATGCACGGGATAAGCATGAAATAATGGGAATTTAGGCATGATGGAGTTAGACCCTGTGCCTACGTGTTTTTTTGCAATAATATCTGCCTGGGAGCAGAGAACCTTCATCAGTTCTTAATAAACCACTCTGCTAATGAGTGTCTAGTGCTTCCATCATTTATTATTGTCCTCTCATGGACTAGTGACTCATACCTGGAGAGGTGCACCTGGATGGTTCTCCCATGTGCCGTCCTCCAGAACTCAGACAAAGCGGTGGAATTCAGAGGCAAGGGGCCACCTGAGCTCCAGAACTGGGGTGGAAAGAACCCTGGGGGACATCCTAACAGTGCCAGGTCTCAGACAGAGCTTCAGCTCATCAGTCCAAGCTGCAACCAGAGGAGGAAAGAAATGAGGGTTTCTTCTATTTATGAAGATCTCAGAGGACTGGAATTTCACTTCACTTTTATGATGTATCTATTTGCTTGCCTGCAAGGAACTTGGTGTCTTCTTGCCATTCTCCCTCCCTACCCCTCACTAATCATTGTGAGGGGCTTCCTTCTTCACAGTGAAGACTCAGCATTATGCAGATTTAAAATAATGCAATATAAATATTAATATAATCTTATTTTCTGTGACTTACTGAAGTGATACCAGCTCCTCCTCTAAATCAACAACTCATCCAAAATTTATCTTAAACTCCTTGGGTCAGGGCATTGCAAACTGCATTTATTTTATTGTTCATTGGCAGCACAGGCTGTTATGTGAGAATATCCAGTATTCTTTGAATTGGTCTTGTGTTTGGGGGAGTTTGAATTCTATGAAATATTTAAGAAGACACTGTTTGAGCAAAGTGCCACCTTCCTGTACCTCACCAGCCATTGCCCTGTCACATGGAAGGGAAAGAAAATGACCAAAGAAAGATCAGAGAGACATGGAGAAATTCACTACAGTCCAGTGTAGCAGTTCTCAAAGTGGAGGCTTGCAAAGTCAAAACTCTGTTCATAATAATACTAAGACATTATTTGCCTTTTTCATTTTCATTCTCTTATGAGAGTGCAATGGAATGTTCCAGAGGTCATGTAACATGCATTGTTAAAACAGTCTGAATGCCGAGGTAGCAATGAGATTCTAGGTGCCTTTCTAAAGCTGGACATTAGAGATTTGTGAAAAATGTAAAACAATACCACTTCTCCCAATATACTTTTTGCCACGCATAATTGTTTTTCAAAAAAATATGTTATTTTTGTTAGCAACTAATGGATGTATTATTATTTTAAAATAAGTAAATTCAAATTAAATATTTTTACCATTCTTAGTTCTAATCTCTAAAATGGTAACTGTTAATAGATATAACCCATATACACCAAAGCTCTTAGGATCCTTAATATTTTTTAAGCATGTAAAAGGGTCCTGATGATGAAAAGCTTCAGAACTGCCAGCCTAGTGCATCCAGAGACAAGGCCTCCAGGCCCCTCCCACACCGTGCCCTGTAGAAATGTGAGGCTCTCCACCAGGCTCCATCAGATTCCCACTGGGGGCCAGGAGGAGGGCTTTAGTTTTCTCCATCACCTCTGGCTCCCAGATCCTGTCCCCCAGATGAGTCAGTTGATGGGTCATCCTCCTCTCCACAGTGCTTTCCTGGTTCTTTCTCATGTCACCTCTGATGCAGAACTCAGCTTCTTCCTAGCTTTGCACAACTCTCCCTCCCCACTTACATAAGTACATTTTCACCAGCCAACTTCCTCAAAGGATTTGGGAGATGAGAAAGGGAGGTATATGGAAGCAAAGCCAACAACTCTAAACTGAGTACTGGACCACGTTTGTGATTCCTTCCCAGGCCAGCTGCATCTCCCCCAGTTGCAGAGTCAAAAGTGGCTTAGATGGACTCTGTTCTCCCATAATCTCCATCATTCCATACCAACCTCCCCTATCCCCAGTACACATAAAACAAAAGCAGGGGCTTGAGAGGCACATGAAGCTTTGGGATGTGTCTTCTGTCCCCACGCCCCATGAGATTGCTGCACTGAGTCCTCCTCCTGTGTCAATTCTGGAGCCCCTTTTACTCAACTCCCCTTTGATTCCGCATGTTCAAATACAAACACTTGTTCTCCAAGTGCCAGTAAGACTTTAGAGATCATCTAGTGCTTCTCCACTTTATATTTGGTGCTTGAACTCTCTGTTGTCTCACAGAAAGATATTTGGTCTTTGGTACAGAGGTCCTTTAGGGGCGATAGGAGTGTCTTTTTTCCAGTGAGATAACTCTTGGTGGGCCTGTAAATAGCTTCGGCATGGGAGCTGCTTGCCAGAAGGACCAAGCCATGATTAGAGAGTTAGAACCTTCAGCTCTACCCGGCAACCTCTGCAGAGGGAAGAGGGGCTGGAGGTTGAGTTTAATCACCAATGGCCAGTGGTTTAACAATCATGCCTATGTAGTGAAATCTTCATAAAACCCCCTAAATAATAGGGTTTGGGGGGCTTCTGGGTTGGTGAACACGTCAAGGTGCTGGGAGAGGGCCCGGAAACTCTGCACCTCCACCCTGCATCCCTCATACCTTGCCCTGTGTGTCTCTTCCGTCTGCCTGTTTCTGAGTTATATCCTCTGTAATCAACATGTAATAGTAAGTGTCAATAGTAAGTAAAATGTTCTTTTGAGTTCTGTGGATCACTCTAGTAAATTATTATATCCTATCTGGAGGTGTAGGGGAGGTTGTAGGAATGTTCTGTCAGTCAGGTGGAAGTGTGGATAGTCAGGACACCCTATTGGTGGCTGGCATTTGAATGGGGGCAGTCTTGTGGGACTGAGTTCTTAACCTGTGGGGTCTGAGCTAACTCTGGGTAGTTAGTGTCAGAATTGAATTAAATTGTAGGACACCCAGTTGGTGTCCAAACTAGTTGGTATCAGTAGGGGGGAAGAAAACCCTCTTACGTGGTGTCAGAAGTATTGTCGGGGAGAACACAGTCACACTCTTTCTACAATAGTTCTCTTCAATGACAACCTGCAGCAACACCTCTTTGGATGAATAACTCACTATAGCAAGATGGAGCCACTTTCATTTGGGCATATATTTAGCTGATCACTTGCTGTGCAAGAATCTATCATTCCTAACGGTAATAAGGGCTAGCATTTGTTGAACACCTACCTGAATGCCAGGATCTTTCCAGGCACAGCTCATTGAACAGTAACAACATCCTTTGAGGTTATTATTAGTATCTCCATTTCACCAATGAGCCAATGGAGGCACAAGGAAAAGATTTAACTTGCCCCAAGGCAGAAGTTAGCAAATAGCAGAGCTGGAATTCAAATCTAGGTGGTATTGCTCCAGAAAACACTCTAACCACTGGGAATCCTGTTCTTGTCTTTACCCCATATCAAAAGTGGAAAATGCCAAGCAGGTCAAGGTCAACTATTGAGAGCTTGTTAGATGCTTCCAGATACCTTTCCATCACAGAGCCCAGGCTCTCAATTGACTCCCTGGGGCCACACCTCTGAAGTCTCAATAGATGTGGGGGTGATGGCCAAGCAGAAGGATCTGAAAATGTCCCACAAAGGTTCTGCTGTGGGCACTGCCAAGACAGACAGGACCACGAGGCCAGCTGGCACCTGCCTAAATCTATGCTTTCCAGCCCATAGCTCATCACACGCCCAACTGGAACCCAGGCACACCATGGTTGCAGCGATCCTTGAACTGGTCACTATGCAAAAGCAGAACAGAAGGGAGACTGGTACACCGGCACAGCTCCTTCTCAGCAAATGCACCCGCCTCTCATTCATCTCTACTTTCTTTCACAAGTGTTCCCAAACCATGGGTTTAATCATGCGCTCTAGAATTTGTCCAGGAGTTGACAGCATGCTTGCTTACATATTGCCTCAGAGTCCTCTTTTACTATCGTTAACTAAACTTAGGCCATGTCATACCTTCTTGGCACCTAACTAAATTTTCTGTGGCTCCACTGGTCATGATCCCTCATTCCCCTCTGTTGTTTCTTTCCAACCCTTCTGAATTGAAATCCCCTCAGCCACAAGCCAGAACCCCGCTGGTTTGAAGCAGTCTGAGCTGTGGGAGGAGATCCTGACCTCACAGGAGCCTCTCAGCCATGCTGGGCCATTGCGCCCAGGTCTCAGGTCTCCCTCCTTGAGGGACAGATGGGAGCAAAAACAACACCCAAAAGAGAAGTAGATATTGTTAGCTCTTCCATCAGATCATTCGCCCCAAGCAGCCTCAGCCACCATTTATTTTCACTCTCTCAGGACTTGTTTGAAAGGCCTTTTTCTCATGCTTACAATTTTGGTGGGTAAGATACAGCTGAGTATGGCATTATCCTTATGGCCCTAAATGATGTTTTTGTATTTGTCTTTGAGAGGGAGCCTGCAGGGAGAAAAGCTCAGGAAAACAAGAGTTTGAATCTGCCTTGTTCATGACTTTGGGCAGTTTATTTAATCTTCCTGAATCTCAGTTTCCTCAATTGGAAAGTGAGCCTCACAGTGTTTGTTTTACAGGGTGCATTGTATCATCAATCATGAATGTGAAGTACTCAGCACGGTGCATAAAAGATGCTTCACAAATGTCTGTTCTCTCTTCAAGTAAGTGTGTCTCCTTCAACCGATAATTCAGATTCTTTTCGATTTGGGCTCAGAGAACTACCTCCTGCCGTCTTTTTCTTACTAGCAACTTCCCGCCTCTCTTGCTTGTGGGCCTGATTGATGACTGCCTCACCTCCCTCTCTCTCTCCCCTCTTGCTTCATTTCTAGGGGTACCCTGACTTAACAATTTTGGCCACAAACAGACTGCCTATCTTTGCTTTGAACTTCCCTGACTCTACTTGTATAAACTTAATTCCTGGGGAAAAAGGGTCCTACCCACAGAGGCCGTATTTCTGCCTCACTGAACCATTCCAATGGTTGAAGGACCAGCTTCCTTGAGAGTCCACTTCATGGGAGAATCATGACCCGTGATAATAATAGGCCTGGCCAGAATAATCCTTCCAGTGCGAGGTAGGCCAACCTCCTGGCCCAGAAATCAGGCTTAATTGGAAATTAAATTGCTTTCCCATGCCAACTGCAAGACGCCTATATCTACAGCTAATTTATCAAGGTGATGCCTTATCTCAAGGAAGCCCATGGGAATAGAGTGGCTGCATCAGCAAAAGTGCAAACTTGGTCCTGATGAGAAGAGTTTTCTTTAAAGTACAGCTTGAACCCTTTGAGATTCTCATTTGGGGTTCAGTGCATTTAATGGCTTCTTCCCCCTTGCCAGGCTCTGTGCCAGGGCCTGGAGGTATGGATACCAGCGGGGCAGGCACCGCATTGGAGCAGCTTCCAGGGCTAGTGGCAGAAAAAGAACCGTGCAAGAAAAGTTTCCAAAGCTGTAGCACTTTACTTAGTTGTCCAGGGATGAGCAGCTTATGGAGGTAGAGAATATCATGAATAGAGTCACGGTTAATAAATTGATTTCTATATTTAGCACTGATACTAACAGTTCATGATCAAGGGTGTGTGGCACTCTTCGCCAAGCCCTTTACACACATACATTCCATTCTCTGGGCAACTGTAGGAAACAAATACACCAGGATTTTCATTATCCCCATTTTACTGATGAAGAATCTGAGTCTTAGAAAGTAAGTACCTTGCCTAATGTTACTACTTCCCAACTAATAGGCAGTGGGACTGGAACTTGAAATAAGGTAATTTCATGCAGAATTTATGCCCTTAAATACTATACTACACTGCTCCTTTATTTCCCCAGCTTTTTATTTTGAAAATATCCAACTACAATGCAAATTGTAAGCATGCCTCCCCTTCATCTAGGTTCACCAATGATGATCAGTATTTTATCATATTTGGATTTTCTCTCTGTCTCTGTCTCTCTCTGTGCACATGCGAATTTGTGTTTCTGAACCATTTGAGAGTTAGGCTGAGGAGCACAGAACAGAAGGCTGGTTTGGAAACATGTGGGGACCAGTTTGGCTGGAGGAGAATGCGTGTGTGGGTTTGGTCACGGGGACACAGGACTAGGGAGTGGGCTGAGGTCTGAGACTGTGGGGTTAGGGCTGGGAGTGCCAAATCTGGTAGTTCGGGGTGTATTGCCACATGGCATGAACAGCCAGTGATATGCCAGTGAAAGCAGAACTTTCATGCGTTCCCATACTGAGAACTGTATGATTGAAGATGTGTATTTAGTGAATGATATGTTTGTGGTTTCTGATTAAATATGGATGCTTATTGAAGACAATTCAGAAAATGCAGAGAAGCATCAAGAAGAACTTTAGGCCGGGCACGGTGGCTCACAACAGTAATGCCAGCACTTTGGGAGGCTGAGGCGGGCGGATCACAAGGTCAGGAGATGGAGACCATCCTGGAAAACATTGTGAAACCCTGTCTCTACTAAAAATACAAAAATTAGCTGGCTGTGGTGGCCGGCACCTGTAGTCCCAGCTTCTTGGGAGGCTGAGGCACAAGAATCACTTGAACCCAGGAAGCAGAGGTTGCAGTGAGCTGAGATTGCGCCACTGCACTCCAGCCTGGTGACAGAGTGAGACTCTGTCTCAATAAAACAAACAAACAAACAAACAAACAAACAAAAACTTTAAAAACTCACCTTTAATCCAAGCTAAAACCTAAACTAATGTTTCAGTGTATTTCTTCTCTATTTTACTTTTCCATACACATCTATTCCCACAGACTGGAACTGCATTCATCATACAGTTTTTTTTCTCCTGGCTTCCTACTTGATACGATATCAATAGCATTTCTCTAGGTTATTAATTAGTTCCTAAAATAATTTTTCAACAGTTTAATATTGTTCCATCAGACAGATGAACCAAAATTTATTTAATACACAATTTTTTCCATTGACACTTAGATTGCCTCCAGTTTTTCACTGTTATAAATAATGCAATAATACCATAATGAATACCTCTAAATAAAAGTCCGTATGCACAGCTGTGATGATTTGCTTAGAATAGATTTCTAGAAGTAGGGCTTCTGGGTCAATGGGTTAGATGGGCCATCTCTTTGGAATGGTGTGGAGGAGTCAGAAAGGGAAGAAATGGGAAGAAACGCAGTCTGCAGGCTGCTGCAGCAAAGCGGGTGAGAGGTTAGAAAGGTTCAGATTTCAGGAACGGTTCTGAGAGTGGAAAGGGAGTGACAGATGGAAAGAACAAGGCTCGAGACTGGGACATGTAAAGAGAAAGAGTAAAATCAGGAGAGAGAGGTCTCCTTTGGTTTTACAAGGATTGAGTAGGGGCTATAGAAAGACATTCAACTGGAAGGGTCTAGTGGTCCTTCCTCCCATCCTCCATCAATCCATCCATTTGTTAGGCCCCTACTCTATGCCAGGTCTTGTGCTGGGTGCTGCACATTCTTTCTTTCTTTCTTTCTTTCCTTTCTTTCCTTTCTTTCTTTCTTTCCTTTCTTTCTTTCTTTCTTTCTTTCTTTCTTTCTTTCTTTCTTTCTTTCTTTCTTTCTTTCTTTCTTTCTTTTTCTTTCCTTCTTTCCTTCTTTCTTCTTTTTTTTTGAGACGGAGTTTTGCTCTTGTTGCCCAGGCCGGAGTGCAGTGGTGTGATTGTGGCTCACTGCAACCTCCACATTCTGGTTCAAGCGATTCTCCTGCCTCAGCCTCCCAAGTAGCTGGGATTACAGGCATGTGCCACCATGCCCAGCTAATTTTGTATTTTTAGTAGAGACAGGGTTTCGCTGTGGTCAGAATGGTCTCGAGCTCCTGACCTCAAGGGATCCACCTGCCTCAGCCTCCCAAAGTGTTGGGATTACAGGCGTGAGCCACCGTGCCAGACTGCACGTTCTTAAATAACTAAAATGTAGCCCCTGCCCTTCCAACAAGTTCACAGTCCAGCCAAGGAGTCACCTGCAGGCCTGGAGCTTAAGAAAAGAGCCAAGGCAAGAGAGAGAGACTTGGGAGTCTCCCCCAGAGGTGAGGCCATGAAGGGGAGAGTGCAGAGATGAAGGGAGGAGGCGAGGGGTCTTGCTTGGGCTTAGTCTATGAGTCATCGGCTGTGTGGCAATGAAGAGCCATCTGCTGGGTGGCCACCACTTCCAGGAGGGGCCAGGCTACCCTCCATCCCTGTGCCCCCAGCTACCAGCCAGAGGAGGCTCCGTTTTGAGGGTAGCTTACTCAAGGGTGTTCCTTGCTCTGGCCTCAGTTTCCCCACCCTTACACTGAGGACATTTGGAGGAGTCTCACGCTGGTCACTGTGCCATGTGGCCTTGACTTCCAGTCACATACTGGCCACCTTCAGGCTCTCAGAAGCTCCCTTGGCCAGACTGAAATTTCCAGATATAATGAACATGGGGGAGCCTGTGCCTGATGTCTTTTTACCTCATGTGCCCTGTGAGACAGGCCAGCAGGCACAGCAGATGCTCAAAGGTAGTGCCAGAGCTTGCTTGTCCATGGGGCTTTGTGGTTCCAGCCAGCTTCTCCCTTCCAGGGTGGTGTCCTCAGGGGGCTCTGACCCAGGGTGCAGTGACTGCCACGACATCCAGGTCTGAGGCCTCCTCCACCTCCTCTGTTGAGCCCCCGGTGGACTCTATACAAAGACAAGGTTTTACTGCCCCTTCTTATTTTTTCATCCGTAGGAGAGTGTGGGCTGGGAGTGGGGCAGGAGTGTACAGGAGATTTTAAAGGTTCTGGACATGAAGAGCTTGCTCAATGAATACAGTGTGAGCTCTCCTGTCTCATCTCCCTAGAATAAAACTCTTTGTCACTGATACTCGCATCCCGGGTAGGGAAAGGAAAGGCAAAGAGTATGTTGAAAACATCTCTCACTCTTTTCTGGCCCACGTGGGTGATTTCAGTCACTCAGCCGTTTCCCAAGACATGGGAGGTCCCTGGTTTGCCTAGGATGCAATGAGGGAGATTTAAGCTCAGCCCTGATAAACAGCAAAGCCAAATAAAAGCAAAACCACCCATCATTTGTTGAATCCTTAATTTGACACAAGCCCTACACTAAACACTTTTAAGTGCGTTACTTTAATAAACCTGTGGTATTGGCATTATTGCACACATTTTACAGAAAAGGAGGCTAGGCTCGAAGGAGTGACTCCCTTGGACTTCCCAAGGTCACACAATTTGGTGGTAATGGATTCAGCATCCAGTGAACTCCAAAATCATGTTTCCAGAAAGTCCTGGATCCTCAAGGGCTGGAGGGGAACACAGCCATGGAAGCCAGCTGCGTCTGCAGCCCCCAGATGCCTTCGCTGGTGACTGCTCACTTCATGCCCTCCCAGAGGAGCCCCTTGGCTGAATGGAGCAGAGCACACTGGAAACCATCGCCATCCTTTCCCAGCGGCAGGTTCCCCTCTCTCCATGGCAAGAACAAATCAAAGATGAACCAAATGGCCCGCCAGCTCCAGAACTGAGGAGGGCTGTTCTTAGGATGGTAGCCTGAGAAGCCAGATGACTATCTTAATTAACCCCTCATGTCCTGGATGCAGGAACATGGGCGGCCTTGCTAAGGAGGAAGTGTGGATGGACAGACGGACGTGGAAATGGTGGATACAGAACTGGAACCTTTAAAGGGCATGCAGTGCCGAGCCTGTAGGGAATGGAAAGAGGAGGAAGCCCAGATTCAAGGCCAGCTCTGCGTCTGGCTTGCTGGGTGGCCTTCCCCAGGCCTCAGGTTCCTCATCTGCCAGCTCAACCTCTCAACTCCCAATGAGGGCCTACCATGTGGTAGGCCCTGCACCAGGTGCTGGGGAAGTAGTCAAGGCCAGGCAAAATTCCCTGCCCTCACAGAGCTCGACTCTTAGTGGATGAGCTGGATCATAAACAAATGAATAACGGAGATGTTGGCCAAAGCGTATAGAGTTTCAGCTATGGAGAATGAACAAGCTCTAGAGTAATGCACAGCAAGGAGACTGTAGTTCATAAGACTGCACTGTATACTTGAAATTTGCTAAGAGAGTAGTTCTCACCATACACAGAAAGGTAACTATGAAAAGAGACGGATATGTTCATTAGCTTGACTGTGATAATCAGGCCATTATCTATGTGTGTATCAAGACATCACACTGTATACCTTAAACATAGACATTTTCCATTAAAACATTTAAAATCACCAAGCAAACACATGTGTAATATTATTGCAGGAGCAGTAAGGGCTGTGCAGAAAAGCAAGGCAGCATTAGGCAATGTGTTGGGGGAGATGAGGAGGGACGGCAACCGCAGGAGGGGATTTGAATGAATTGAGGGAGAGAGCCTGGGGGTATTTGGTGGAAAGAGTCCAAGGAGAAGGACAGAAATGCAGAGGACGGATCATGCAAAGTCACAGGCCACTGAGAGGAGTCTGCATTTAATTCTAAATGTGTCAAGAAACCACTGGAGACAGTTTCCAGTAAGGGGATTATAATCGTATATGATTCATTTTTTATTTTAAAAATATGGGAATGGTCCATCAATGGATAAAAAGCAAAATGTAGTATCCAGACAATGGAATATTGTTCAAACTTAAAAAGGAAGGGAATTCTGACACAGGCTGTTACAGGAATGAACCTTAAAGACATAACACTAAGTGAGGGCCAGGTATGGCAGCCTGGAATCCCAGCACTTTGGGAGGCCAAGGTGGGCCAATCACTTGAGCCTAGGAGTTTGAGACCAGGTTGGGCAACATGGAGAAACCTCATCTCTATAAAAAATTTTAAAAAATTAGTTGGGTGTGGTGGTGGCGCACGCCTGTAGTCTCAGCTACTCTGGAGGCTGAGGTGGGAGGATTGCTTGAGCCCAGGAGGTAGAAGCTGCAGTGCGCTGTGATGACAGCACTGCACTCCAGCTTGGATGACAGAGTGAGACCCTATCTCAAAAAAAAAAAAAAAAAAGATATTACACTAAGTGAAATAAGCCAGACACAAATACTGTTCATGACTCACTTATATGAGGAACCTAGAACAGTCAAGTTAATAGAGACAGAAAGTACAGTGGTGGCTGCCAGAGCCTGAGGGTAGACAGAAATGGGGAAGGGTTTAGTGGGTGCAGTGCAGAGTTTCAGTTTTGCGAGAAGAAAAATGTTCTGGAGATGGTTGGTGGTGATGGTTGCACAACATGTGAATGTACTTAAAGCCACAACTGTGCACTTAAAAATGGTTAAAATAGTAAATTTAATGTTATATATGTTTGTCACAGTTAAAAATATAGGAAAGGATGCTATGCAAAGAATGGTCTATGGGGCTGTATTAGTCTGCTTGGGCTGCCATAATCGAATGTCGCAGACTGGGTAGTTAAATAACGAAAATCTATTGTCCCACAGTTCTGGACACTGAAAGTCCAAGATTAAGGTTCGGGCAGGGTTGGTGTCTGATGAAGTTTCTTTTCCTGGCTTGTAGTTGGCCATCTTGCCCTCACATGGCTTTTCCTCTGTGTGTGTGTACTCCTGGTCTCTTCCCCTTCTTACAAGGACACCAGTCATGTTGGATTAGGATCCCAACCTTATGACCTCATTTAACCTTAATCTCCTGCATCAAGGCCCTATCATCAAATACAGCCACCTTGGGGGTTAGGGCTTTGACATACACATTTAAGGGGACACAATTCAGTCTGTGACAGAAGTGACGGTGCTGACAGGTTTGACCAGGCGTGTTCAAAGGAACATTAGTGTTTGCACATGACCTTTTCAACCACAGTGCTGTATCTGTGATGTTGGCAAGTTATTCAGCCTCTCAAAGCCCCTGGTTTGGAATAAAAACAACTCACAGAGACAGGGCTGGACTGAATATAGGAATCCTTGTAAAGCCCCCAGAAAATAGGTAGCACTCAACAGAGGATGGCGATGGCCCTTCCCCTCATGTTTCCTGTTGCGTTTGAAATGACAGCCACTGTTTCTGAACTTGTGAGGCCTGGGCAGAGTTAATCAGCACAGGGATGTTGTGGATCATTCTGCAATCCAATATGCTTCATGGCTTAGAGACATCCCAGGCTCCGGGTGATAGCCGGCTCCAAGCTGAGTTTTGCAGACACCGAGCAGTAAGCCTGGGCTCGGCCCAGCCTGCCAAGCACAGATGGTTTGAAAAATGTCATCCAAACTGGCCCACAGTTAATCAAAAGATTACAGAAAGAAAATTAGGCTAACCCCAGCTTCTCAGATACAAGCCCCAGAATCACACCTCCCTACCTGATTCCTGCCCAATTCTCTGCCTCAGCTTCCAACTGACCTCATTCCAGCAATAAATGAAAATTGGCCAGACTAGAAATACAACAGGAAATCTTGCTGGGTGGTGTTTCCTTTTTTCTCCCCTCCCTGTAGTCTTGGCTGTCGGGCCTGCTCCCCATATGTTTTGTTGTTTGACTGTGAAAGGTGACCTATGGGTAACGGTTTAGGGGATGGATCGGGGAGCTTGAGTCTCAGAGGGCATTCTCCTCAATTGCACTTCCTCAGTCAGAATGGAGGTCCTGAAGTCTTGATTTCGAAAACAAGAGTGTGTGTTGCCTCTTGGCCAAACTGGGAAGGAATCTGTTTTGTCTTCGTTGCTTCTTACCCTGGATCTGATTTTCAGAAATGGAAAGAGTGTACTGGGGATGGGCTGGGGAGGGAAGTAAAACCCAGGGCTTGGGGCCAGACCGCCTAGGCTTCCAGTTGTGGCTATGCTTCATGCTGGCTGTGTGACTCCAAGCAGGCCGGTCCCCCGTCTGAAGCTCGCTCTTTATATCTGTAAGTGGGGTTAATTAGAGCACTCCACCTCCTAGGTTTCTCATGTGCACTAAATAAAATATTGGGCATGGAGTGCTCAGGCAATGCTGGGCACATGGCAGGTGCCACCAGCAGTGCTGCAATTTTGTTTAATCTTTAAATTCCAAAGCTGAAAGAGGCCTTTGAAATCAGCAGCTCCTTCATTTTAGAGATGAAGAGACTGAAGCCCAGAAAAAAAAGCCATTTACTTAGTGCAATGGGCTGAATATTTGTGCCTCCCGTCCCCCAAATTCACATGTTGAAATCCCACTCCTGAGGTGATGGTATTTGAAGGTGGGGCCTTTGGGAGGTGATGAGGTCATGAAGGCGGAGCCTCTTGAATGGGGTGTGTCTATAAGAAGAGGCCAGAGAGCTAGCTTACTCTCTTTCCTCCACGTCAGAATACAGCAGGAGATGCTGTCTGTAAGCCAGGAAGAGTCCCCACGAGAAGTCCACAGTGCTAGCATCCTGATCTCAGACTTCCAGCTTCCAGAACTGTGAGAAATACATTTCTGTTGTTGATAAGCCACCGTGTCTTTGTATGGTAGCTTAGGCCATCAGGTTGATAAGCAGCCTGATGGCCTAAGACAGCAAGCAGTTGTGAGGATTTGGACTCAAACCCAGGTCTGGCTCCAAAGCGGGTGTTCTTCTAAGAACACAAAATGGAATCTCAGTGGCTTCAGCCAGAGGGGACCAAGGTTAGCTTTGTGTTCATGGTCCTCCTCCCCTCATCCTAACAGAGAAGGAAGGCTTTCTTCTGCCCCTAGACTGAAGACCTGTGACAGAGAGCGTGGTCAGTGGTGATAGTAAATGACTTCCCATGAGTCTTTTTCAGGAGTCCTGGCCTTTCTTTCCTCCAGCTGGCCCGGGAGGCCTATGCAATTTCCTCATTTCCACATCCTCTCCCCCAAAGCTCCTCTCCCCTGCTGCCTGCCTTTCAGTGGGGTCCCTCCTCCTGCACTTCTGGGTGGGGTGCAGGTGGACAACGGGGAAGAACCGCCGCCTCACCTGAGCACCTGGCCAGCTGTGATGCATAGGCAGTGTGGGCCTGCACCCAGGGGCAGTCCCCCAGCAGAGCATGAGAGCGGAATGGGGGCAGGAACAGGCCTTTGGTCTTGTTTGCACTGACCCTTGTCTCATCCAGGTCGTTCTGGCTGGTCACTGCTGTCAAACTCCAGCACAGGAATTCAGACAAGGGAGATAGGGAGTGGTAGGCTCCAGAGCAAGCCTGACTAAGACCAGACCTCAAAAAGGGAACTCCAGCCACATGGCCTGATGTTGCTCGGCAGGGAAAGCATTTAGTCGTTATTTATTCAACCTTCCTTCCTCGGCTGCAGGTGCTTGAGGCACTCACTCTAGGTGATTCCCACGTGGTGAACGTGGTGAACGCTTTCACAGGGCTCCCATTCTCATGAGAATGGATGACCAATTCTCCCATGAACAACTAAATAAAAAGGATCATTTCCATTGTTGGCACATTTTTAATTATAGAACTTGTCATCAAGAGTGACTGGGGGCAGGGGGGATAATTTTGAAATAGCAGCACATCTGGATAGGAGCTGGGAAGAGGACTTGACCCACAGAGGCTCAGCCTTGTTTCTCTTGGCTACAAATCCAAGGTCGTATCATAGAAAAGAAGGGTGGGGAACTTGACTTTTACTGAGCAGCTTGTATGAGCCAGGTCCTGTGCCTGTCACATGTCCCATCTCATTCCATCTCCAGTAGCCACATGAGATGGAAATTACTGGCCCATTTACGGAAGGACACAGACTCAAGATGGGGAATGGCTTGCCCAAGGCTGTCCTGTTGGTGCATGGCAGGGTTGGAGCCCAGGTCCCTCTGGGTCCAGAGTTTTCCCGCCCTGCATCCTGCTTCCTTCCACAGTGACTTCACATCGCCACTTCCACCCTTGGGAAGCAAAGGCTTTCAGGGATTTGGGACCTGGGTCTGCTGAGAGAGATGGCCCAGGGGAGATTCTGTAACCCTAAGAAGACTGGGGAAGATGAGGGTCCCTGTGGCATGGCAAAGGAGGCCCTGGACTTAGAAGGCTGATGAAGACCTGACTAGATCCACTTCTCCCAGGGCTGTGGTGTGGCAGCCTGAACTCTCCTGCCTGCCAGAGGGCCCCGTTTCCAGCTACTTTTAATTTGGAGCAAACTAGCCGCTCCCCTGTGGTCCTGAAGTTAATAGGATGTCTGTGCAGCAGTGCCAGGATAAATGGCCCTGAACAAATTACTCCTGCATGGTAACAGGGTTATCTAGGAGAAAGACCCGGAGGCTCCAGAGGGGCAGGTGATCCCTCCTTCTTCTCTGCCTTCTACTGTGGGACTATGGAGACCCTAGTGAGCTGAGCACCTGAACAACCCAAATGGGTCAGGGAATGCTGGGCCTGCTGCAGAGGGGCAAGGGTGGTGAGGCCAGTAGGCTGGGATGAAGGCTACTGGACATCAGGAGGGCCAAGGTGAACACATGCCCCTCCTGGCAGGCTCTAGCTTGGGGCTGGAGAGGTAGGCAGGGACCCAGAAGCCCTGGATAATCAAACTTTCTTCCTGTGACAAAGCACTGGCACTCAGAGGTTCCAGGGTTGCAGAGAGTGAGTGGGGCTGTTGTAACATGACCAGAGTGCTTGCTCAGCCCCTCACTGCCAGGACAGTGAGCGAGCCAGGACTCGGATGGTGGGGACTCTCTTTCCCCAGCAAGGGGCAGCATTGAAGCTTAGCTTTTCATGGGACAGGTGGCATTCTCCTCTTGGTAGAGGGATGATGATATCTCACAGGTCTCAAAGTCCCCAGTGTGAAGGCTTCTGCTTTCCCAGACAATTCCAGTAAACAGCTGCAACACCTCAATTCCAGCCTGCCTAGTGTCCAAAACTTTGTGTGTATTTTCCCACACCCAAGAACACTTCTCACACTTGGCCTGTAAGAAGGGAGAGCCATGGGGGAGTGGCCCTCATGGGACAGAGCCTACTCAGTGTCTGGCAGGTGCTTTGGGCCTGCACACCTGCCTGAGAGGTGATAGGGATACTGAGAGAGCATGGGTATGGCTGTCCTGCTGATCTTGGCCTCTGGAGTGTTCCCTTTCCCCATAACCCAGGTGATGACACTTTATGGAATTTGTCACAACCCTTTGCATGACAGGTGGCTGCTCTGATCAGACCCAGCAGGGAAAAACCCACCAACAGAATTAGTGGGACGCTGGGGGACTCTCTGCTGGTGGCAAGGTGGGGAGTAGTGCAGGCAGGCGTGACTTCTCCAGCCCTAGGAGTGCAGAGGAATGTACCTTGTCTTGGCTGCAGCAAGACCTGGGTTCTAATCCCAGCTCTGCCACTCACCAGGGGAGCCACGACACTTAGCTAAACCCCAGTTTCCTTACCTGCTGAAATGGTGATTGCAATCCCTACCTCCAGGATCAAGACTAGAAAGAGGCAAGGAAGGTGCCTAGGGCACAAAATGTAAGCGGGGGCGGGTGCCCTGCAAGAGCAGAGTTGGGATTTGCCTGTGAGCTGATATCTCTTACTCATATCATCATTACATTAAAAAACAGCCTTGTGCCATTGATATTATTATTATCTCCAATTAAAAGTGGGGAGCCTTGGCTTGGGGTGGTGTTCAAATGACACAACTTCACACAGCTGGTAAGAGGCAGAGTTGGTACTCCAGCCTGGCCTGCTTGAAGGCAGAGTCCATGCCCGGGTCCAAGGTCAGTCTCTTGAGGATCTTGAACAGCAGTGGGAGGAGGCAAGAGGAACAGTGTGTCACTGATGGGGCAGCTGAGGTTTTGCCTCGAAAAAAGAGGAACAGCCTGGGCCTGGGCGGGAGGGGAGAGTTACGGCTCCAGGGCCTTGTCCTTGAGATAGATCTCATCTTCCCACACCCCTTTTCCCCACCCCCGCAGCCTCATGGGTGGCCTGGAGGACACTAGAAGCTCTCCTGGATTGGATTCCTCCCTTCTGCTCACTTTGGCTCTGTCATCTGTGCCTGGGGTAACATTTGTTCCCAGTGCAGAAGGAGATGAGTTTAAACCTCCCCAGCCAGAATGGAGCCTGCACAACTTCTGGTTCCTGCCAGCGGCCCCCAGGAAGTCTGTGAGGCGGGTGGAGGGGAGCTGACTGTGCAGAAAGAGGAAGACGCAGGTTCCCCAGACCCCTGATTTCACCAAGCATCCGAGCCAGGAGCTGGGCTTCTCCTAGGTTAAACAGCAGGCGAGGACCTGGCTCTGGGAGTCAGGCTTTTAACTCCTAATAAGGAATCAGGTGAGGGAGATGGCTCTGGGTAGGCCCTTAAGAAAACAAGTTGAGCAGAGGGGAAGCAGTGGTCTAAAGTCATCCAGTGGCTGGACGTGGTGGCTCATGCCTGTAATCCCAGCACTTTGGGAGCCCAAGGCAGGAGGGTCTCTTGAGCCAGGAGTTTGACATCAACCTGGGCAACATAGTGAGACCCTGTCTCTATAAACAGTCAAAATTAGCTGGTTGTGGTGGTGCACATGTGTGGTCTCAGCTATTTAGGAGGCTGAGGTGGGAGGATTGCTTGAGCCCAGAAAGTCGAGGCTGCAGTGAGCCGTGATTGCATCACTGCACTCAGCCTGGGGAACAGAATGAGACCCTGCCTCAAAATAAATAAATAAATAAAGTCATGCAGTAACTGACAAGGCCATAGGCTTTCATAAAGTGATCATGAGATGTTGCTCTTAGAATCTGTGCCTGGTGCTGAGAAAACAAGTAATGAGTGAGAGGGAGTCCCAGCCCGGAGGGGCTCTCAACCATGAGAGTATCCGCTAATAACAGAAGTCATATCCATCAACACTACTGAGCACCTAATAGGCAGGGAGCTTTATCTGCACAATCTCATTCAACCCCATAAGAAGGGTATTGTAATTCCATTTTATAGATGAGGAAACTAAATGCCAGGGAGGTGAGGGACCCAGTCCGAGGCTTCCGAGCCACAGTGCAGGGTCCGGGGATGTCTCAGTCTAGAAACCAACTGTGCTCCTCACTGCATTCGTGGTTTGAAATTTTTTTTTTTTTTAATGCCAAAGAGATTCTTTAAATGTGGGAGAAATCCAGTAAATAAAACAAATAAAAATAGAGCCAGAGGGGTGGGAGTGGGGATGCCAGAAGCCTGCCCACCCAGCCTTTCCTTCTGGGAACAATCTTAATGCCCTTCCCTAGACACTATGCAAGCTCAGACCCAGCCTGAATGTTTTACGTGGCTGGAGGCTCACGCAGGCTGGAGGCTGGAGGCTGCAGACTCAGCTTGCTGCAGCTAAACAGACTTCAGAGAGCATTTGCTGAGCACCTGTGGGACAGGTGTTGCATAGTGCTTCCTAGAAAGCTCCTGTACCAGGGGTCATCTCAGGCTGACGGCTGGTGTCTGTGCCGTGCGGTGCCGTTGCATTCGTTTAACACGGTAACACACATACTCCATTCTGGGCCCCATGCTAGTAGCTCTGGCCACAGTGGTGAGCAAAAAAATGCACATGGTCTTGCCATGATGGAGCTGAAGTCTAGTGGGGAAGAGAGCCTTTAGCAAACATGTTCCTAAAGGGAATGCAGACCACAAATTATGATCAGGGATAGGAAGGAAAGTTCAAGGTTGATGAGATATGTGAGCAGGTGGACATGAGCAGTTTATCTCTGCAATAAGCGCTGATGAGAAATCTGGGCTAGCTGGCATCTTAGACAAATGGCAAGAAGGATTTCTGGCATGGCAGGAGGTGGCCAAGGGTTAGGAACAGGCAGGACAGGGAGGGTGATCCTGGACCCTCCTTGTCCCCCAGGTATTTGCAAGGCTGGTAAGAAACAGTAAATTGCCATAGAACAAGCAGGTACCTGGTCCAACACATTCTTTACATTCCTCAGTTCTGCAAGGGACAAAGAAAAATCCCTCTCCTGAGGGTTGGATTACTGCAAATCTAGAACTCAGTGCAATGAATAATGAATAAGTGAAATCAAATTAAAATCAGAAATCATTAAGCAATCATAATGTATCCATGTAGGGTTGAATCTAAATCCACCTAGGGGAGGTGTAAACATTAGAAAGCCGTTTTCTGGACTCTCTGCAGGCCTTTCTCAGCTACCCTGCTCCCAGCCTGGCCCTGCTCCCATGTTCCTCACTATTTAACAAATATTTAGCAAACACCTGGATCGGGTAGAACACCAGTCACCTAGCACGTGCCTGGCGCAGAGCCGGGGCTGTGTAAACACTTGGTCCTCTCTGCGGAGCTGAAGCAAAGAAGACAGATGCGGTTAAGACACAATCCTGCCCTGGTGCCTGCCATGGGCTGCCTCTCTGAGCCCTGGCCACAGGAAAGGCTGTACTGAAGCAGTTCACAGGAAGGCCAGGTCCCCACGGAGTCCCTTCTGTGTCACATGGATCTTAGTTTCTGGGATTCTGAGCAGAGAGAGGGAGGCATTCTGACTCTCCAGCTGGTTCCTTGCAGAGGCCAACACTCTGATGTTGCTCCCTCTGGCAGCTTCGGCTTCCTCCCACCTTCTCAGCCCTGCCTCTCCTCATCTCAGCTTAGATGTCACTGTTTGGAGGCACTCCTTAGTCTGCCCCAGACATCTCTTCTCTATGCCTGTTGACCCCCATGATTCCCCCATCTCAGCACTCAGTGTGGCATCCAGGGAGCATCTGTGTGTGGGGTCTGGGTCGCCACTAGACTGCAGGTGGGGACAAGCCCTCCATGAGAGGCTGCAATGGGTTGCTGCCCCACACCCATTACCCTCTTAGGTCCTGCTATCTGTAATGAGGAAAGAAAACCTTCCAGCTGTCTCTGAGGATTGAATGGGGAGACTTTGTGAAATTTCCTAACCCCTTTGCTTTCTCCTTCTCCAGGAGGTAAAGCCACTGAGAGCAATCACAGCTATACCCATTAACCTCCTGTTTACCCCACTTCTGGCCTCCAGGAATTCTGCCAGGCAGCCTGGCCCTCCACATTGGGGGCTCAGCCCACCTGGGTATCTTGGAAGAGCAGTGCCCCACTTCAGAAGGATGGTAGGGAAATAACAGGAAGGTCAGAACATCCCAAGGAAGGAGATAAACAGAATCCCATCATTCCCACCACCCACACATGCCACACAACGTACACTGGGCCAGACCCGCTGGGTGGCGGGCACCTGAGCCATGTCATGAGATCTGGCTGCATATAGCCTTTCTCTGCTCTCATTGTCATTTTGTAAAATCCCATCAAAGTTTTGTGGGCTCCTTCCCTGAATATTCTGCCTGCTGCTTCCAGTGCCTCTCTCCCCAGCCCCCAAAGACTCTTCCTGAAAGACAGCATGAATATTTAAAGACGTTTTTTCAGCCAGTGGAACCACATCATGCTGCTGCTCTCCCTTGACATCATCTCCACAAAGTTGGCCAGACCCCTCTGAGGGCCTCACCTTCCCTGGTGCCAAGTGTAAAATGGGGTTTAAGACACAGGACTGGGCCCTGAGGAGTTAGCCTTCTTTCTGCCTCCCGGCTGTGGGCCCATCTGGGGCTGCAGCCCTAATTCTGGTCCATAGCCACACTTTCTGATCTGCCCAGACAGTTACTCCTGCAAACCACCTGCCACCCCAGTTCCTGGAGAAGCAGAAAAGACAGGCATGGACATAGGCATGAAATGTGGAGGGACAGGGATCCAAGAAAGCAGAACGATGAATGAAGCCCCAGAAGCACGAGACGCTGGAACCCTATGAGAGGAGGCTCTTGGCACTTGAGGTGCAGAGCTGATCCGGTTTCTGAAGCCACCAGGGCAAAGCAGATGCCGGCCCATCACCACCTCCCACTGGCCCCCTCAAGCGTCTCTGTTCTGCAGAATTACTCACAACCCACTGCATCAAATCTCTCTTTTATCAACAAAATACAACCTTCCATGGATAACTTCTTGAAACTCCAGTCACGCTAAGCCACTTCCAATGCTCTGGAAAGGGTTCTATCCCTCTGCCCGCCCATAACGTATCAGCCACACACCACCAACTCCATTTCCAAAGTTCCAGGCAATTACAGCCAGCTGAGTTCCCTGGCTGGGTGCCCGCCTACTCAAAGCCAGGACGCAGGTTGTCAGCAACCTCGAATCCCAGCCACCAATTTCCCCAGCTTTTTCCAAGACCTGGGTGCACCAGAATGGTCACGCTCACCACACCGAGGCAATGCGACCAGCCAGGCCATATCAAGACAGAAAGCAAGGGTCAAGGCCAGTTTCCATACCTTTGCTGAGGGTCCCAGTGATGAGCTTAAAGATGGTCTGGGCAAATTTCACGAACCCAAGCTTGCATCTTTTGGAGCAGCCGCTCATGGTGGCGGAGGGGAGCCAGGCTCTGCTGTCAGCACCCAGAAGGGACAGTGCCCACCTTGTGCACCCCAGGAACTTGGAGCCTGCCTGGGTGAATGAACCCTGAGTGACGGATGCACCCCTGAAGCCAGGCTCCGGGAACAGCACAGCTGCCTCTGCAGCGAGTCTGGCTTCTGCATCCAGAGAGCCTGCAGGGCAAACTCTCCCTCCCTCTCTCCACCCACTCCTGCTGTCCACTTAAGTCCTCACCACGGGAGGACCTCAGGATGCCAGGGCCGGGACAGCACTGCCGGGGCACAAGGTACTCCAAGGGAACCGAGGAGGAGAGTGAAGTTGAGCAGAGCAGGGAGGGAGGAGCTGGAGCTCTCCCAGGCTTTGCTGACTGTCTTTCTTACATGGCAGCGGTAATGTAGCAATTAATACTCAAGTCAGAAGGGAGGGGACTGCTACGCAGAAAACACTCAGCCCCACAGCCTCCCACACTCGCTCTCCCACTCTTTCCTTCCTGGTTAATCTGATAGATCAATTCTCTGTGCCTTGATCAGGATCTGGAAGAACTCCCCGCAGAGCAGGAAGCAGCTGTCGGCACTCAGCAGAAAGTTTGTAGGCAGCCTCAGAGTGGCCTGGTTTGCATCTCGGAGAAGCTGGGCTGAGTGCTGAGCCTCCGGGGAGCTGGCCTGTGAACATCGGACAGACAGACAGAGCCCTCGCAGCCTGTCCAGTAACCTTGGCACCAACAGCAGGTGCTGTCTGCCTTCCTGACTTGGAAAGGACAATGCCCCTGACCACCTCCTGCTCCAGGCATCCCCGACTCAGACTACTGAATTCCAGCCTCCACCCCTGCGGAGCAGGCACGAGTCTGTGCTCTCTCACCGGGATAGGAGAGGAGTGCAATTAGGGCTTTTCTTGATTGAGATAGTATTCCTCAGAAATGTCATAAAGGAATGACCGAGATTCATATAATTAGAATACAATGCAGTACTCTTAACAGTGAAACTGCAAGGCATTATGCAAATGTGAAGTCCAGCTATTGCTCCATAAAAAACCTGGCTGCCATTCAGTACCATAGGCTCCGTGAGTTGGAAGGGACCCTGGTGGCAGGGACATCTCATTCCACCCTCTTCACCAGGTGTGAACCTCCCCCAAAACAACCCTGCTTTGCTTTCCTCAGAAAGTCCTTGTGGGCCCTGGCCATGGGTACATCTGTGAATGCAGTGTGGCTACTTGTGAATAGCAGATATGAAACACCTTCATCTGAATAAGGCTATGCCTTGGAAAGTCTCTTCTTCTGCCTCGACTGTCTCCCTTTGATCTGCTTCTCTGGGATGTTCAAGAGGAATCCGTTGCTTAAGAGACAGAGAATGGAGACTGAGTTGACAAATGCCAGATAAGCCAGAACTCATGTATCAGGTCTGATTTTTACCCCGTGTTCTGGGAGTCAATGTGGAAGTGAATCTTGAAGAAAGAAACTTCAGCCTTCAGAGTGCTCATCAACAAATTTCAGCTCTGAAAAGAGGCCTGGGAGACAGTCTGCAAACTCAGAGCCTCCTCAAAACCCCGAAGCCCTCAAGCCTTGCCAGCATGGTAGGAGTCAGAGCATATATAACAGAAGTAGCTCTAGCAGGAAATACCCCATTGTGCTAGATGTCTTAGGGCTTAAAATTGCCGTGTTATGCACTCTCTGTCTTAAGAGTTGAAGGTCCCAGTTAAAAGGCACATGGTGGCCGGGCACGGTGGCTCACACCTGTAATCCCAGCACTTTGGGAGGCTGAGGTGGGTGGATCACAAGGTCAGGAGATCAAGACCATCCTGGCTAACATGGTGAAACCCCATCTCTACTAAAAATACAAAAAAATTAGCCGGGTGTGGTGGTGCACACCTGTAGTCCCAGATACTTGGGAGGCTGAGGCAGGAGAATGGTGTGAACCTGGGAGGCGGAGCTTGCAGTGAGCCAAGATTGCACCACTGCGCTCCAGCCTGGGCAACAGAGTGAGACTCTGTCTCAAAAAAAAAAAAAGGCACACGGTGTCTGAGAGTGTTAATGGCACTTAGTCTTTGGTTCACTCATTCACTTATCCAATATTTACTGAGCTCCCAGTGTGTAGGAAAGAGCTGAGCACCCAGGATGCAGAAAGGGCTGAGCCAGACAAATAAGACGACAAAGTCAGAGCCCTCATGGACTTACAGAGGAGGAGATTCACCACGAGACACTCAGTCCTTGTTGAGAATCAGTTTATCTAACTAACTTCTTTCACTTTGCAGAATCTTAGTGGAATTGAGGCATGAGGCAGGTAGGTGTTAAGACGGTCATGGAGCACGACCTGGCAGGCAAGGAGTGGGCAAAGAGCAGACAACCTAGGCACCATGGAGAAGGATCAGAGACAGAAAGTTTGGAAGGGAGGGTGTGGGACCCATCTGATCATTTTACCAACAATAATACTGTCCTCTGAATAGGTGAGTTCACTTTGCAGGACATAGGACTCTCAACTATGCCCAGTTTCTCCTCTCTTCCATCCCACCAGAGAGGGTAAGACTAAAAACTGAGAAGCCAAAGGAAAAAAGGCTGTGACCATAGTGATATAAGGTGATCCAGAGCTCAGTCTTCAGCCTGGAAATCTGGCCAGGAATCCTGCTGGAGGAATGGCTCCCACAAGACAGTTAGCAGCCTCTGTTCAGGGATGATAAGAAATGTCCAGGGTGGATCTGCATTTGGGCCCCAGCTCAGGAATCTGGAATCCCAACATTTGACCATATTTTGGGAAAGAAACAAAAGCATATGTTGTTTGACCTGACAAATCCTATGAACATCCCATAACTCCTCCAAGCCAGATGTATAATGGATAAGAGCACAGATCTTCGCACTAGGTATTTACTGACTCACTTGTTCATCCTACACATGCATATTGAAAGTATACGATTATCATGGACTCTGTTCCAGGTGCTGAGGATACAGTGGTAGATAGAACAGACAAAGTCCCTGGGCTTATTGACATTATATTCATGTGGTCCAGGGACAGAAATAGTCAACAAATGGGCCTCTATACAAGAGATAGTGCTTTAAAGAAAAAGAAAACTGATCAAATGGATAGAGAGTAACAGGAGTTCCGATTTCAGATAGGGCCACTGGGGAAGGTTTCTATTAAGATGACATTTGAACAGAGACTCAAACCAGCCATACAGCTCTCTGAGGGGGGGAAGAATAGTTAAGGCTGAGAGGATAACAAGCACAAAGGCCAAAGACAGCCTTGAGCTCAATCCTAGGGTTGAGTTCAACTCAGCAGCTGTTGAACAAACAGGTTATCCTCACTGAGCCTCAGTTTTTTCTTCTGTAAAATGGGAATAATAATCCTTATCTCATAGGGTCTGGGGAAGGTTTAAATGAAATTAATGTGCTTAATATAGTGGCTGGCATAGTACATGGCAGAGGTTATTACGTCAACGGCAAAGGTTATTGCTGCTGCTCCTACCTCTCCTACTGTTGATGCTGATGCCATTCCTGCCCCATCCCCAAAACTACCACCTACCATCTATGTGACTAGACAAGAAACATTCTCTATCGGTCTGGAGTCCTGAACAGCTGTTGTGTGCCCAGTGCCAGGCAAATGCTGTGGAGGGCTCCAAAGGAAGTGTGAGATGGGATCGTTGCTCTCACATGAAACCATTATAAAACACTGTTTTTATCAAGGGAGGGGTAGAGAATTCCAGAAGAGGAAGAGAAGATTGAGATCACTGAAGCTGTGGTAAGTGGAAAAGAACTCACAGAGGTGGAAACCAAGCAAGCACAGAAAAAGGAAGGTGAAAATAAATAGAGGCTGTGCAGGTGAGACTTTATAATTGTTCGAAATTATGGAGCCAGCTCTTTGATTTTTCTCTCTCCTAGCAGTAAGCATTTTGGATTCTCCTCTGATCTCTGCAAGGCATCATGTGTTTGAACTCTCAGCCTTGGACAAATAAGTCAGGCCCAGAGAGGGTCAGCAATATCCAAAACACCACACAGCAATATCCCCCCAATACATGGGCAAGGGACTCAGTGTGCCAAGAACATTCCCATCAAAGGAAGGCAAGGTGTGCCAGTATGCACTTCATGACAGGAGAGTACAGGAGAGAATCGTGCTCTGCTCAAGGAATGTGCTATCCTGCAAATAAAGAACAGGGAAGAGGATTTACATAGCACCTGAGACCCTAGAAATGAGACCATCAGCAGGCATGTGTTAGTCAGCCTCTGGGTCACAGATGTGCGTTATCCAAAGGAACTTGGGAAGTCAGAGTTTTCTCTCCACCTGAAGCGTTTATGGGAATCTTCACACCCCAGTTCCAGGCGGAAGTAGGACAAGCAGATGGGGGCTCCAGCTGGTGTCTGGGCCTGGGAAAGTGCTCCGACTTCGAGTGCAAGGCTAAGAGAGGACAAACATGCTGTCCTTCAAAAGTTGAAAGGCTGTCCTCCTCAATGATGATAATGACAGCATCATTCACCAAGTTTCTTCCCCGTGCAGGTGACTGTTCTAAGTGCATACACACCTTAAATATTTATTATAGCCCTATGAGGTAGCTATTACGATATTATATATTCTATAGGTGAGGAAACAGGCCCGGAGAGGGAAAGTAACTTCTTGATGGTCACACAGCTGAAGCTGAATTTGAATCCGAGATCATTTGACATTTGACTCTAAAATTTACAAAAACTTATTTGATATCTCACCAGGGCTCAAAATGAAAGTGACTCACAGTGTTAGAGAGGTATATTTTGCCTCGATATTGGAAGAAATTAGCAGCTGTCTATTAAATCATACACTCTCCATCCCTGGATGCATCGTGGAGAGAGATTGAAGATGTTTGTCCTGGAAATAATTCCCTCTAAGGCCAGAGCTGTGGCGTGGGAGGGGAGGCAGGGAATGACTAGACAAGGGATCAGTCACTGTCCAGCCGGGAGAAAAAGACCACAGCAGCCAGTTTAACAGAGAGGACTTCACATAAAGACTTGTTAAGCTAGCATTGGAGGACTGCAGGAGGCTAAAAGGAACACTGAGGAACCATAGAGATAGGAAATGCAGGAAGCAGCTACCACTCCTAGAGTTGGGTGGGGGTGAGTAGAGGATAAAGGAAATCAAGACTGGAATCCCCTGGACCTAGAACTTCAGCAAAGGGACCCAGTGAGGCAGAGGCAGTGCCTGCTGGCTGGTGCTGATGTCTCTGAGGTTGTGTGATGAGCTTCATTCTGGGAGTTAAAGAAAGAAAAACACTACAAACTGGAACCAGCTGCTGCAGCTGGAACATATTGATGCTAGGGTCAAGAACTATTGCCGTGGAGATGCAGGCAGAAGTGAACTAGAAAAAAACGCTCTTCTTCCAGCCTGCACCTCTCTCCCCGCGTAGTGACAGAGCCTGTCACAGGGCTGCCCGCAAAGCAGAAATGAGCAGAGCAGAGAAGGGAGCCCTGAAACCTGAGTGTTGAAGGGCTTAAAAACCAGCGCCGTCTAGATGTCTTCCTTCCAAAAATCCTAGAGCCTTTTTCTCCTCACGTGTTCATTCAGCAAATATCTATCCGACACCTACTGTGTGTCAGCCGTTAGGGATATGCTGGTAAATAAGACAAAATCCCTTGCCTCATGGAAGTTGCATTTTACAGGCTGAACAGGGGAGGGGGTACTCAGACCACAAACAAACAAATTCATAAGGTAGAGAATTTCAGGCAGTGAAAATAGTGATGAAATGAAGAGTGTCCGGTCTGTGTTTTCTAATGAGCAGGATAGGGCCCTCCCAGAGTTTGCTGGTCAGCTCATAGAACAACTACAAAGAGGAAAGGGACAGGTTCCGTGGGGGTCGGGATCATTGTCATAATCATTATAGAAATATCACTGTGATGTGTTACTCTGTTGCCAGATGCTGTTCTGAGTGTTTTATTTGGATTAGCTCATCCTAGTCTTGTAACAAGCTCATGAAGTAGGTATTAGTATTTATTAAACCCATTTTATAGATGAGGAAATGGAGGCTTAGGCAAGTTATGTTATTTGCCCCGGTGGGAGGAAGGTTGAGCAGTGTGATTAATGACTGATTGGAGGAAAGCACGGGGGAAGCAGAGGGAGGCAAAAGCCATCAGTAGTTCTGGAAACAGAAACAGGAAAGGTATAAAGAGAATCTGGTCTGGGAAGGGAGACGGTTACAGATTTTGTATGTCTTGGGAAGACAAACATCCAGCTGGTAGATGGAAATGAAGATGAGGAACTCAGGAGAGCAGGTAGGAGCTAGAATTCTCATAAATAAATGATTTTTGTTGCTGCTAAGGAAGAAAATAAATGTGGCATCCCGGCAGGCCAAATATATTAGCATTTAAATACAGGCTTACACAGGTGGGTTAAAAAAAGCAATTTCCTAAGAATTAAATCAGATTTTGTTTCTTCTCTAAGTCTTAGAAAAATCAGTTCTGCTTGAGTGTGGTCCTCAGAGAGGGATTTTGCCTTGCTCTAGGGGCAGGCTAGCTCCACGTTCTCAGTGGGACTCCATGTCTTCTTCCCATTATAATTACGAGAAAATGATGCCTAAGAAGCCGAGGGCAATTCATTAGCACTGTTTGCTGGAGTTTCGAAGGCTCATTTGTTTTGAGAGAAGGGCGCCTCATGTTGGGGTCTAGATGCACTCCGCACTCAGCTGTGTCAGCAAGTCTGCAGGGGCCGGCTAGGCGAGGTAGAGAAACCTTGGTTTTGCCATGGAAGTGGTAAGAAGGGCCAATGTGCAGCTGCTGGTGCTGCCAGGGCAGAGATAGGAAGAGACCAAGTTGGTCCTTGAAGCAGACCTTTCTCCCTCTGTTGCCTCCAAATGCCCAGGGTCTTTATACCACCTCATTGCTGCCCGTTGACATGTCCTTCCCAACTCTGCCTTTTCTGCTCTTGTTGCACGCTACACTAAAAACTGGACTCAGTCCTGGAGCACTGTATACGGGGGCTCCTTTACTGTGTGATCATGGAAAGAGAAGAACTGCCTTAAATTGGATACCAAAGGCCACAGGTATGGACACTGGCTGGTCCCAGAATGGGACCAAGAGAAAGCCCTACAAGACAGACTAATTTATATCTTACATCCACTTTCTCCTCTGCTTTCTAGAGTCATGAAAAGCAGGACACGGCCGCATAAAGTAGAGAGATTAGGGCAGGGATCCCAATTCTGAGATGCAAATTGATTCTCGATGCTACTTTTCTGTCTCTTTCCCATCAAAATATACCTGACCTGTGTTCCAGGTGCTCAGGGCTCTGCTCTTTCCAAATGGCCCAGCTGGCTTCTTCCACACCCTCTGTCTCCAGGAACTGCATCATCAATGTCCCAGAGCACCCAGGTCAGAACAGTGGGAGTCATTCGCAGCTCCTCCCTTATCCTCTTCCACCCAGCTTGCCCATTGCCAGCTCCTGTTACTTCTACCTCCTTAGTGTTTCTCTGATCAGCCCATTTCCTAGAAGTCACATGCAAGTTTTTCTCAAAGTATGGTCCAGCGTCCTTGTAGTGGATTGAATGGTGGCCCCCAGAAAGACATGTTCACAGCCTGGAACTTGTGAACATGGTGACTTATTTGAAAAAGGAGTCTTTGCAAATATAATTAAGCGTCTTGCAATAATAAGATCATCCTGGATTATCTGGCTAGTCCCTAAATCCAATGACAAGTGTCCTTTCAAGAAACAGAAGATAAGGAAGACAAAGGAGGAGGTGGCAATGTGAACATAGAGGCAGAAATGAAAGTGATGAAACCACAAGTCAAAAAATGCCTGGAACCACCAGAAGCAGAATTCCCCTGAGAGCCTCAGGAGGGACCACCACCTGATTTTGGACTTTCACCCTTCAGGACAATGAGAAAAAAATTTCTGTTGCTTTAAGCTACCCAGTTTGGGGTAATTTGTGACAGCAACCACAGGAAACTAATATGGTTTATTTAAATCATAATTTCTTACAGGAGTTACAAAAAATGTGGGTTTCAGGGCCCATGCCCAGACACTAGGAGGACTGACTCTCAAATTTCAGCAAGCATCACAATCACTTGGGAACCTGGTAAAATGCTGAGTCCTGGGCCTGCTCAGAGAACTAGCTGCTGGGCATGGGCCTTGGAATCTGTATTTTAATAAGTCCTACAAGTAATTCTAAGGACAGGGACTATGACCTTTTCCTCTGGTACCCCAGTGCCTGGCACAAAGCCCAGGGCAGAAGAGGAGTAAGAAAGTTAACTGGAGGAATGAATAAGTGACATTTAGAATCACACAACTATGGCTTCTGACTACATAGAGACAGAGTCATCAAGCCTATTCAGCAGCCGGAGAGAATGATGTTCCCCACCTCCTTCCCTAAAAGACATCTTTCTTGGTCTCCTGACTGACAAGGGCAATCATTTCATGTAGCTGTGGAGGAAGGGAACTTGTGTCTGTGTACCTACTAAGTGCCAAGCACCATGCCAGGCAAGTTCATCTCAGAATAGTGAATGGTCTCCACCCTCCTCAAGTCCCAACACAGTTCTGGCTGTGGATAGCTTGTAGAGACCGTGAAAATCAGACAAAAGTTCTCTGGTCCTGGATTAACAGGCGGACATGGAAGAAGGCAGAACCAGGCCCCAGGGGAAGGGATCAGGGAGAAGCTGCTGATGGAGCCTCCCATTCCCAGCCCTGTCTTCTGGGTCCCAGAGTCTGAGCTAACTGACATCACAGCCCTGGAGCTGATGAAGACCTCACCTCCATGGCTGAGAGGCTGAGGGTTGGACAGCGGGGCTGGGAGTAGAGCCTGATCTCTTTTATTGCCCCACCAACCATCATGTCCTTCTCCTACCCCAAGACCTCCAGTGACCTTCCATTGTCATTCCAACAAAATCCGACATTCTTACTGGGACCCACAAAGCCCTGGGTGACCAGGTCTCAGTTGCCTCTCCATCCTCACATCTCTCCCCCTCCCTCACTCCCTTCCAGCCCTTCTGGCCTTCTTGTTGCTCGTCACACAGGCCAAGCATGCTCCAGATGTAGAGCCTCTGCATTGCTCTTCCTCAGCCTGGAACATTCTATCCCCAGCCAAGCTGATTCACACTTTATTGAGGTCTTTGCTCAAACATCACATCCAGAGAGGTCTCTCCGACATGCATTAGAAAGGCACTCCCCGGTTTATCTTTCCTCAGAGTATGTGCCACTCCCTACCTCTCTGTTATATATTTGTCTGCCTAGTATCTGCTCCCCCACTAGCCTGAACGCTCCAAACAGCAGGGACTTGGGCTGTGTTCTTCCACGCTATCCCCAGTGCCTAGGGTGGCATGTGCCTTTCAGTAGTGGCTCTGAAAATGTATGTTGAAAGTGTAAACCAAAAATAAAATTCTAAGCCCCACCAACTCACTGAATGAAACTTCTCAGCCAAGGGGATCCAACTAAACCTGAAAAACTAGTTCGGACCATGACAAGCAGTCGGGGGAGCTGTTGGACATGCCTTATTATATATACCCTTCTCCGTTTAGAGTTCAGGCACACAACTGACCCATTAAACATCAAAACAGAGACCCTAAGACAGACAGAAGAGACTCTTCGCAACAATAAGATACCAAATTCCAACCTGACTCTAGCATCACATGACAGATAGCAGGCCCTGAAATAAACCGAAGTATTTTACCCTAAAATATATTTCTTTGACATCTTTTGAAATGATCCTGCAAAACTCTCTTTTGTGGGGAAAATTTACATTCTGTAGAGAATCCTCTTCCCTTCCAGGTCTTTTTCTGGTCCAGAAGAGATTGGCTGAGAAGTACCTTTTCATGGTCTGAATAAGAAACGTTTGTCATCTATTGCGTTTGGGGCAGCCGCCAATGAGACTTCATCTACATAATAAGAACCTTGGTCTCTATAACCCCTTATCTTAACCCAGACACTCATTTCTATCGATTCCAAGTCTTTGGATAACAACTTAACTCTCAACCAATTGCCAACCAGAAAATCTTTGAATCCACCCATGACCTAAAAGCCACTCCCCACCTCTGAAGTTGTCCCGCCTTTCTGGACCCAACCAATGTATGCCTCACATGTATTGACTGATGTCTTCAGTCTCCCTCAAACATGTAAAACCAAGATGTAACCCAGCCACCTCGGGCACATGTTCTCAGGACCTCTTGAGGCTGTGTCATGGGTTATGGTCCATAAGTTTGGCAAAATAAGCTTCTGAATTGACTGACCCCTGTCTCAGATACTTTTTGTTTTACAAAGGAAAGAATGCCCACCTCCTCATTGTCGGACAGTTGGCCCGTCCCTCTCTTCAGGAAAGTAGGCTCTCTCCTGCCTCCTGTGTACTTTGGGCTCCAGATGTTCCAGTAGCCACACTCTGTTAAACAAATCCACCTGAATATGCTTGAAATCTGGGTCTGTTCAGGACCTCACCTAGTTTAGAGCAATACTGAACCTGGATAATAAGGGTTTTGGAGCCTATAGGAGTAGAATTCAAAGCGTGCTTTGAGGTATGAATCACGATGGTTGCCTTGATAAACAACAGCCATCAGAGGACACAGAAAGGTAAAGAGGGCTTAGAAAAGAGGAGAGGGAGGCTGGCCTCAAGTTATTGCAAACAGCCATAGGGATTTTAGGAATACGCAGGTCTAATATTTGACTTGAAGTTGTTTGTGTAACCATTCTTTAGCTATGTGCACATAACCCAGTTATTCCAACCCATTAAGTCTTTATTTCCTTATCTTTAAAATGCAGCTAAGACCCCCTACCTAGTGGAACTGATGCCTGCATTGAACAGGGGGGTGACCAACTGCCCTGGTTTTCTCAGGACTAAGGGGTTTCCAGGGACACAAGATATTTTGTGCTAAACAGAGATAATCCATAGCACAGAAAAGCCCTTGAACAGAGCACCAGACTCTCCTAACAACAATAATAATGCCAGTGGAGAGCCTGCATTATTTTAACCAAAGCTCTATACTGCTTTCAGATTTGTGGTCACTTGCATTTTACATTTTACAACATACATTGTCACAAATGACCCCCAATCCTTTGTGGCACTAAGGTCTGGTGACAGAAACAGTAAAGGGGTAATTAGTTACAGGTATCCAGTCCCTTTGGCTTTTATGTTTCCTTCCCCTGTCCCCCCACCCATCTGGGTCTTGTCCCCAGAGATCCATTGATGGAGAATATAAGAGCTGCCCTGCTGTTCACAGTCAGACAATGGACCATCTCCTAACACCCTCAAGGCAAGCCACCAAGAAAGGGTGAAGAAAGGCCTCATGATGAGGTCAAACCACAGGTAGCTCTGGGCCTATGTCAGAGCAATCCCTCCAGAAATTCATCCAGAGCCGGTGAAGGAGGGAACTTGGAGAGGAAGTATATCGGTTAAGTAAGAGTCCCTTTAAATATTCATCTCCATTTTGGTAATTACATCACTGCCTGGATGGGCTGGCAGAGTCCTGGGCGGCTAATGAGCTGACTGGAGACGATGGCAAGTTTGCCCTGGGTCCCAGAGTGGGGTCCCTGAGTAGGCACTGTTTCCCACACTCTGGTGTAATGCTCACTGCAGATCCGAGAAAACCACCCTTGTCATTGTGCCCAGGGCCTCAGATGACGAAATCAACTCAATTCTTAGTGGAATTCCAGCCCAGTGCCAAGCTGGAGCGTTCTGGGAAGGGCAAGAGGCAAGAGGCACTCCAGATGAGAATCCAGGCTTTGGGGTGACTTTACTTCATTTTTCTCCATCTGGCCTGCAAGCTTGCTCACGACAGAGAAGGCTTCTCTTGCTCCTTTTATGCACATGCCTGCTGCACCACCCCTGTCCAGGTTATCTCCCTGCCTGAAGAATGCCAATATCCTTCACTTTTGTATCATCCTCACATTCCTGTGAGCAAAGGAAAGGCAGGCCCCTTCACCTGTACAAGCCTCAATTTCTTTGTCTGTGATATGGTTGGAAAAAGAGCTTCCAGGTTGTATATATCCAGGTGAAGTGTAAATGAAGTAATGTACGGTCTCCCACCATATAATGACATTTCAGTCAACACTTGACCTCATATCCGAAGGTGGTGCAATAAGACTATACTACTGTATTTTCACTCTACCTTCTCTATGTTTGGCTGTGTTTAGATAGACGAATACTCACCGTTGTGTTACAGCCATCTGCAGTATTCAGGACAGTCCCATGCTGTGCAGGTTTGTAGCGCAGGAGCAACAGGCTGTACCAGAGAGCCCAGGTGTGTTGTCGAATATGCCATCTAGGTGTGCATACGTGCACTCTGTGATGTTCACACAACAGTGGATTCACCTAAGGACACATTTCTGAGAACGCATCCCTGCTGTTAAGTGATGCATGACTGTATGAGAATTTCATTCCTAATCGTAAATTGTTGCATGGGCATGCAGTGGCATACTGAGTGAGAGGCGGTGCCTTGTGGTGGTGAAGAGCCCAGTTTCCATACCTTCCAGCTATGTGATTTTACACAAACTGAACCTCATAAGCCTCAGTTTCCCCATCTGTAAAATGGGAATACTAAAGTTACCTACATCATATGATGTAGTTAATGAGAAATGTGTGTAAGGACCCACCATGTAATAAGGGCTTGGACCATGGTAGCTGTCATTATTGTCACTATTGTCATAAAGATGATCATGAATCCTACTAGAGGCATGAAGGAACACAGACCCGTGACAATCCCCTCCAAGGGGTTATATCCCAGAATCACCAGGAGTCTGGCATTCTTGCCCACAGCTCTACTCCCAAGATCCTCGTATCTCTGTCCCTGGAAGTGAGTCTGGGAGTTGGATGTCCTTGGACTACAGAGCTTCCCTGCAGGAGGGCAGAGGACTGGACACAAGTGGACTTGAGGAGTTCCCAGGCTCCTTTGCATCTGTGGCTTCAGCTCAGGTTGGGAAGGGTATGGGTTGTGTGTCTCCAAAGCGTCAATAAAGGACTTAATCACAGGACAAACCTCTATTAAGATCCTGCCATGTCAGTGGAAAAATGCTTGAGCTTGGCTCCATGCCTTCCATCAGGGAGCTCAGGCCTTCAAAATGGCTGCGAGGGGCCGGGTGTGGTGGCTCACGCCTGTAATCCTAGCACTTTGGGAGGCAGAGGCGGATGGATCACCTGAGGTCAAGAGTTTGAGACTAGCCTGGCCAACATGGTGAAACCCTGTCTCTACTAAAAATACAAAAATTAGCCGGGCATGGTGGTGGGTGCCTGTAATCCCAGTTACTTGGGAAGCTGAGGCAGGAGAATCACTTGAACCCAGGAGGCAGAGGTGGCAGTGAGCCGCGATCGTGCTACTGTACTCCAGCCTAAGCAACAGAGCAAAAACTCTGTCTCAAAACAACAACAACAAAATGGCTGGGAGGTAGAACAATGAGAGGCATTGGAGCCCCTCTCTAAAGCCCCCCACGGGACCCTCTGCAGTGGTGTCTGTCCCTTCCAGTTCTCGCTCTTTCCTGTCTCTTACCCATATGGATGGAAGGTCCGGAGATAAACAAAAATGTTGTCAGGACAAAGAAATTACTATCTCAACAGCTGGCACCTGCCTTCCTCTTCTGGAAGGAATTTTGTTTGTTGAGGGATGGATCATGCTGGTCACCTTGATAAACAACAGCTGTCGGAGGACACAGAAAGATGAAGAGGGCTTAGAAAGAGGAGAGGGAGGCTGGCCTCCAGTTATTGAAAAGAGCCAAAGGGCTTTTTAGCAATTTGCAGGTCTATTATTTGACTTGAAGTTGTTTGTGTGGCTACGAAGCAACCCCCTTTGTCTCCTCAGACCTCCTGTGAAGTCAGTTACACACAAGGGACTGGTCAGGTTTTTAAAAGTGAAAATTCAGAAGAGAGATTGAATGAAAATTCAGATGCTTTTGATGCAGAATGGACCAATACACAAAGGAAGCCAGTCAGCTAAACTGGCCTAGTTTAGGGAAGCAGGCACTCAGGGCTCCAGGTGACTGGGGAAACCCTACCCTACACATACTACCACCTGCCTTAACACACACACACACACACACACCCACACACACATACACCTATACAATAGCAGATAAATCAGCAAAAGAAGGGGTCCACTATTTGGTGTGAGGACATTCTGGCAAAATCCACTTGAGTTTTATAGGATAAGGCATCTTAGCTGACTTCCGGATTTTAAAAATAATAGATACTAACATCAACTTGCACACTATACTGTCCAAAGTGCTTTCCCATATTTTCCTCCCTTTTAATCCCAGCAATTTTAGTTTCCATTTTCCGACAAGGAGACTGCAGCCCTGAGAAGTCACACTGCTCACTCACAGTGACACAGGCCAGGGTCTGCTCCCCACTGCTGTGGGCATCTTTGCTGACTCAGCAGAGCTCAAGCATCTGGTTGCAATAGTTTTCTGATCTTTAGGATGCTAAATAGCTCCAAAAATACTTTAGGGTGATTTCCAGGAGGCTAAGCTAAGTCTGAAAATGGGGCTCCATCTCTGTCATGACCTACCCCTCACCCCCAACCAGGGCAGGAGCTGGGACAAACCCAACCCAAGGCCCAGCAAGGGGAGCAGAGTGTGTGCTTGGTCTGGCAGAGAAAGGATGGGAAGGAGGCTACCTCCAGCAGGGAGGTCTGCGGGGGATCACATGCGCCCAGACCCCAGAGATCTGCATGTGTACAGATGGGGGAATTTTGGGTTCAGAGCCAAGGACCTCAGAAGAGTGAGCATTTCAAAAGATCTCTGCTGGGGAGCCGGGACTGCCCTTGGGACCCACAGAAATGGACTATTTTTGACCAGGACTCACTCAATGCCACTTCCTCTTTCTTGATGGGGAGAAAGTCCTGCAGAGGTCACCCTGTGCCTAGGTTGGAGGTGTTTTCTGTGCTGCCCCCACTGCCTCACTAGAGGGAGCTCAAGCTCCCACTTCTACCATCAGCCCACCTGGCCAGGTGAGGTTTCCCTTCTGCCCCAGAGAGGATGTGGGTCAGGGGGCTTGGCAGAGGCAGCTCTCCCTCCCAGTGATGGGAGGTCTCAGTGAATTTTGGGAAATGTTTTCAGGAGTCACAGGCAGCAAAGGCTAGATTTGACTATAAAATGAGTGTTGTTTCTACTCATAGTTTGCAAGCTCTGCAAGCCTCACTCGGAACCTGATGGTCTATATCCCACCCTCAACCTGCTCCCCCATCCCCAGGTTCAGAGTTCTTCTCAGCAAGTTCTGCTAAGTACAGAGACCAGAGACCCAGACACAGGGATGGGAGTGGGGAGAGGCAGAGGGCATTCAACTGGGCCAAGGTCACCATAAGAAATATCCCCCTCTCTGGATAACCAGGATTTATTTCTGGACACTTCATACTATTCCGGCCTCCAACCCTCTGCTGGATTCCTTCTGCCCAGCCATGTGCTCAAGAACAATGATAAGAACGATCACCCCTCAAGGAGGCAGTATGAGTGGTGCTGAGACCTAATCTCCCCCAACTGGATGTGATTGTCATAAGACCAGAAACATTGTCTATCTTGTGTACCACAAAACCCTCAATGCCTAGAATAGCACCTGGCACACCGAGAGCATTAAATATTTTATGAGTAAACTAATGGCTCCGATCCTTACTGCTTCTTTAACCTTGGACCAGTTACCTCATCTCTTTGAGTCTCAATTCTTTCCTCTGTAAAATGGGACAAAAATATACTTACTAGACATGGTGGTGATGAGGATTACATGACAGAATCAGCTAAGGCATCCAGCACGGCATTTAGTTAGAAGTAAGCCTCAATAATAACAACTAAAATCTCATTAGGAATTCATCTGCGTCAGGGTGAGAGTGAGAGAACCTGTGCATATAATCTCATATAATCCTTCCAGGAGTGCGGTTCTATTATCATCTTATTTTTACAGTTGAGGACACTGAGGCACAGCGAAGTTCAGTGACGAGTTCCAAGTCCTTTTGCTGGTAAGTGGCCGTGGAACCCGATTCTTAAGCCCAGGCCATCTGACTCTGCAGCTTTGCTTTTACGCTCAGAAACTGCTTGCTTAGTAGAGTCCTCTTGGATCTGATACTCTGCAAATGACAATGCACTGTTTTGGTTGTCTCATGCAGAGAACAAGGCAAACCTCCAAATACCCTTTCTGTATCTGACAATTGCTTTTGGCATCTTTGATCCCAAGCACCCAAGAGGTGAGTTGCCCAAGGATCCAATGATCAATGGTCAGCTGTCTGATACGCTGTGGTGTAGAAGCAGAATGGGGTCAAAGGTTGTGCAGTCCACATTGGGGGCTCTCAGCCTGCAGAGCCCTCAGTAGCATCCAGTTCTCTGGTCAAGTACAAATACCGGTGCCCCTCCTTTTCCATTTTACAGAAGAGGAAACTAAGGCTCAGAGAGACAGTGACTTGCATCTTTAACGAGCACCCTGGGCCATTCTGACGCAAGTACCCCTCCTATCTTTGGAAATTAAAAAACAAAAGCAAAAACTAAAGATCTACCACATAGGCACTTACCCTAGGGTGATCTGTTTACTGGGAAGAGAGGGGACAGCCAGCCCTGTTTTGGCTTTTCAAGAAATAGGAAAATGCCAAAGAAACGTCAGTCTCCCATCCATGGCTGATTCCCCATTCCTCCTGCCTTCCGGCATTAGGGGACCACCCCCGTGGTCTGCCCTCTAAGGAGAGTGCTGAGTTGGCTCTGAGGCAGCAGCCAACCCTGCAGAGAACACGAAGCCTGGAAAAAGGGAAGGAGTGGAGACTCTGAGCTCCTCCCTGCGTCCTCCCTTCTCTACCTCCCTTCCCTTCCACTGGAAAAAAAGAAAATTGCCAAGTAATTGCTCCTCAACAACCCCTGCTGGTCCTCAGTCATTTCTTTCTTGCTGAGATTATAATTAGGGATCAGTACATTTAAATGGGAAATCCGTGAGCAGCACAGAGCCTTCGTTTGTCAAATGCTGTTTCTTGCACCCTGCAAATGGTGCTCAGAGTCAGCTGTGGGCAGCGGTTATGAGGTGAGGTCCCCTAGTGAGGAGGGGTGGTTAAGTCAGAGAGCACAGCCCCTTGACTCTTGGCAAGGGTACAGGAGCACCAGCAACATGGATGAGCATTTACTCTGTGCCAGAGCCTGGGCCAGGTACTCTCTAAACCTGATTTTACCACATCTACACTTGGAGGTAAGCGCTAGTTTTATTCCCATTTTATAGAAGAGGACACTAAGGCCCAGAATGACAGTGACTTGCCCCAGGCCACACTATGGGGACTTGAAGCCCCATGTGACTGAGCTCTAAGCCTCTCTCTTTTATCCTAAAATCTGACTGCTTTCCCAATGGAGCAGAGGTCTAGGTCCCAGACCTGAATAAATTCCAGGTTTTTGTCTCTTTTCCTTCCCCACTAACATCTGGATGTAGTCACACCTGGCTTGGGCCTGTATTCTCCCTCATGTGCCCGGGATGCACAGGTCAAGGCAAGTCTGGTAGGGCCGGGAGAGAGGAAGAGAATCCTGCCCTTCCTCTTCGCTGTGGCTTCTCCCTGGACTAATAAGATTGCCCTCCTACGCTGGGTCCTCAAAACATGCTCTCTGAGCAGGTAGGACCCACAACATCCTCTGTATTTTAGAGAAGAGGAAACAGAGGCCTCAAAGAGATGAAGTGACTTCACCCAAGGTTCCTCGGCCAACTATTGGCCGAGAGAGTCAGGACTTGGGTGCGGGAACTCTTGACACCCTCATCCCCACATGTAGGGCTGGGCTCCCTCTGCAGGGAACAGGTCTATGGAAATGGAAAACAAAAACATCAACAGGTGGGAGAAGGAGATGAAGCAAAACTGTTTTGGGCACCTATATGGTTGCTAAAGCGAAAAGGCTTTGGAGTCACTCTGGCAGTATTAAGTTTTGTCTTGGCTTTTCTAAGCATCATTTAAAACGTGAGGCTGTTTGTGGTCCTCACCTGGTGGGGAAGACGTGAGGACCCACCGGGATCACAAATGTAAAATGAGGACCCAGTGCACTGTTCAATACATGTGAGTTATGAGCAGTTGCCATTGCTAGTTGTGTTACTTAATAGCATATTGATATGAGTGAGTCTTATAATAACATTGTGAGATATTGGTATGTCCATGTTCCAGATGGGAAAACCAAGGCTCAGAGAGAAGAAACCTGATTTAGACACACATCTTGTAAGTGGCAGATCCAGGTTTCAGGATTCTGAGTGGCACCCAGACAGATCAACCCATAACCTCAGTCTCCAGGACAAGCATCAAGTGCCTTGACCACTGCACCTCTCAACCATCCTGCACCCCAGAAAAGTGCACAAGGTACAAGAAATCCTTCAGGTCAAGGACAAAGGCCCAGTGAAGTGACTCTCATTTTTCTGGAACCTTCTTCTGTTGCCAGTCACCTGCTGCTGGGGCCCTTTTAGCAAGTGGTAGATAAAGAAAAATCCCTAAAAATAAAGTATAATTTAAAAAAACCTTTTTTTTTTATTTTTTATTTTTGGAGACAGAGTCTCACTCTGTCACCCAGGCTGGAGTGCAATGGCACAGTCTTGGCTCACTGCAACCTCCGCCTCCTGGGTTCAAGCGATTCTCCTGCTTCAGCCTCTAGAGTAGCTGGGATTACAGACGCGTGCCACCATGCCTGGCTAATTTTTGTATTTTTAGTAGAGACAGGGTTTCACCATGTTGGCCTGTCTGGTGTCGAACTCCTGACCTCAGATGATCTGCCACCCTCAGCCTCCCAGAGTGCTGCAATTACAGGCATGAGCCACCACACCCAGCCTAATGAAGAAATCTTAAACCTCTGCCCATCTCTTCAAATCTAATTTGTAACTTTTTAAAAAGTTCATGAGCTGTCAGGTTTCTTTCTTTTTCCTTTTCCTTTCAATATTTGCTCTCTCTCCTCTCCACTCTCTCTTTGTCTCTAACTCTCTCTCTTTGTCTCTCTCTAACTCTCTGTCTTGCTCTTCTTCCCTCTTTCTCTTTGTCTTCTGTCTCTGTTTTCTGGCTTAGGAATATCTTAGTAAATTAATACCTAGAATCTGGAGGAGCTATAGACCTCTCCTTTCTGCCTCCCCTCTGAAACTTTCCACTCTGAGCTTAGCGGCCGCCTGAGCCCAACCCCGGCTCAGCACCTCTATGAGTGCAGCACTGTTATATATCACTGTAATTTTCTCCGGCCTCAGAAACACACAGCTAAGCCTCTCTCCTCATGGTCCTAAATGTAAATGAACACTGTCCCTAGCTGGGAAGGCCAGAATCATAAATTGGCTGTGTTTCTGCAAAGCAAAACTTTTTAACCAGAAAGATGTACACTCTTTATCTTCTCGGCTGGAGGCATAGAGAGATTTAAAAAGAAAAAAAAAAAGAGAACAGAGGACCCACTGGGAAAGTGGGGATGAGGGGAGAGAGAGAATAAGCAGAAGGCAGGAGAGACAGAGGGTGATTGAAGGAAAAGAGGGGCTGCAGAGAGGCTCACAAGAGCCATAGCCATCTCTCTCATGCCATAGGTAAAAAATTTAACATTAGATTTTTCATTTCACAGACAGATAAACTGAGGATGCTAGGAGCTCAGCAGCAATACGAGAAGGCAGGGTATTATCTAAAATTAAGAACAGTGCAGCCAGGGTGGGAAGAGAGGGAGCTTTGGAGCTCCGTAAGCTCCAGGAACTGAAAAACCACAGTCTGCCTCATCTTTCTCCCTGTCCGCGGAACTGAACTAGCCTCCAAAGCCAAACGGGTTGTTCTGCTGACTTAGCTTTGCATGGCGAATGCATTTGAAGCTTCTGTAGGTTTCCAGAAAAATTGTGCATTTCCTAGGGAGTAAACACCATAGCTTGATTCATATTATCAGTTTTGGGGTCCATCTACCCCATAAACCACACATGACTCCACTTTGCTGAAATAGGAAAGATGGTGCAGTGATGCAGTAATATTAGCAAGAAACAGCCAGATAGGATCTAAATGGGGCAAGGGTGTTGATTTGAGGTTCAGGAGAAGCCTTGTGCCATTTTCCCAACCTCACCATATAAAGCATGGGTGAGGGCCAAAGATAAAAGCTGCTTCCGCCCAGAGCACATTCCCAGGGATCTCCTGGTACAGTCCACAGTACTGATGATCAAAGCAGTAACAGCAGGGTCTTTGCACCACCTAGGCCAACTGAGGGTTCATAAGCTAAGCAGGCGTTCAGCTTTGTTACCCTTGGAGAAATGCTGCATTTTCACTAAAGAGCATTTCCTGTTGCAGAGAGGAGAGCTCGGCCCCCTGCCGGGATAATCACAATAAAGTCTCCGTTGATAAAATGGCCAAGGGGCAGTGTCTCAGGTTTCTCTGGTTTGCAGGTTATGGAGCTCACTTGTGAGCTCCAATCCTTGTGAGTGGAAGCATCTTTCTGAGACGCTGCACCCTCTGCTTTCCACTGTACATTCATGGTGCTGGGCTTGGGGAAGCCAGGGACCAGGACTATGGACTGAGTGCTTCCCACACCCATCACCCCAGGACACATGCTGGAAGATGTTCTCTTTTCTAATAAACCATCTACTAAGAATATCCGTTAGTCATGTTCTCTTTTCTCCTGAAAGTCAGGCGTGGGTGTCTGCCTAATGTCCGGGTCCAGTACAGTGTCTTCTGTGTGCTGAAAGACAGTCGGAGTTTCTCTTCTTCCTGTGGTTTTGTGGGCAGTGTCGTTTTGTGCCAACCTGCTGTCTGGGACTGATGAGCGCTCACCCAGCCACCCTGAGACTTGGTGGTGGACAGATGCACCCTGCTTCCTGAGATAGGTGCTGGGACCCACAGGGTGTTGAACAGATCCCTCTGGTCATGAAAATGGCCCTCTGGCAGCCTCTCAGTGACCTGTGTAAACCAAAAATAAAATTCTAAGTCCCCCAACCATCTGAATGGACCCCTCGCCTCGGCCAATAGCCTTCCAAAGTTAACCTGAAAAACTAGTGCAAACCGTGGTGGGAAGGGAGGGTCGAACGTGCCTCATTATTTCCTGCTCCCTTTTGGAACTCAGGCACAACTGACCAGCATTAACATTAAAACAGACCTTAGGATTGACAAAGCTGATTCTTTGTAGCAATAAGACACCAAATTCCAGCCTGGCTGTAGTATAGCATCACATGACAGAGAGCAGGCCCTGAAAAAAAAAAATCAAAGTATTTTGCCCCAAGTTATGTTTATTTGCTGTATCTCAAAATAGTCCTGCAAAGCTGTCTCTTGTGGGGAAAATCTATATTTCGAAGAGAATCCCCTTCCTTTTCGTGCTCCAGGAGAGAATTAATTCTGATAAGAAACATTTACAACCTATTCTCTCTGAAGCCTGCTACCTGGGGCTTCCTCTGCATAATGGGAACCCTGGTCTCCACAACCTCTCATCTTAACCCAGACATTCTCTTCTGTTGATTCTAGGTCTTTAGATGATAATACAACTTTTTCAACCAATTGTCAATCAGAAAATCTTTGAATGTATCTATGACTTGAAGCCTCTGCTTTGAGTTGTCCTGCCTTCCCGGACCAAACCAACGTACATTTTCTATGTATTGATTTATTTCTTGTATCTCCCTAATATATATAAAACCAAACTGTAACCTGACCACCTTGGGCAGGATCTCCTGAGGTCTGTGTCACGGGCTATTGGTCACTCATATTTGGCTCAGAATAAATCTCCAAGTATTTTATAGAGTTTGACTGTTTTTGTAGACACCTGGGACAGGAACTCTTGGCAGAGCAGACCCCTGGAGGCAGCACCCCTGCTGCTGTGCCTGCTTTCAAAACCCCATGGCTCGTCCTTCGTCCCCTCCTCTCTGTCTCTCTGTGACTTGAAGAAGGATGAAAGGCGGCCTGCAGGTGGACCACAAAAGTGGGAAGCATCATTCCCACCCAAGAAAGGAAAGAGAACAGAAGACGCCTGATCAGAGCCTTCCTGAGGTCTCATCTCCCCTATCTCCGGGGAGCTGAGAACCACCCCCAAGGATTTGGTGGGTCCCCTCCCCAACAGGCCCCTCCACCTCTGGTGAAAGAGCTCTGCCCACTTCTCTGCTTAGTCTGAGCTGATAGGAGGGAAAAGGAGAGCACTGTATGAGTCACAGGTCTCATTACCTCCCCTCATAGCCCAGGGGAAGGGGAGATGGCAGAGGCGGGTAGCAGGCAGGGCTGGGGATGTGCCATGGGGTTCCCCTGGCTTCTCCCCACAGAGGCTGAACCTCCTGGGGGAACATTTGAAAGCCTCAGAGACCAGCTATGGTGCCAAATACTAATGGCCTCAGTTTCCCTTCCTATCCCCCACCTTTGCACGAGTGTGAGTACTCACCCCCCGTCAACTATGTGACCTTGGGAAGACCCCTCTGAAAGACCTCACACCATTCATGTTAGTCCTCCTTCCCCACCTCCCCACACCATCCACACACCACATGCATCAAGCCCCACCGACTTCAGTCCTCAGCATCCTCGCCCCTCAAGAGGGCTGAGAAAAGGAACCATGCTCTTCACGAGCCACCATACAGACGTGGGAATTCCCCTGAAGGTCAGAACCACAGCTCCTTCTCAGCAACTCCTTCTGGCCCCAGGAGTGGGAGGTCTCATGGTCCCAAACAAAACGGAATTGCCTGTGACTCATACCCAGCCCTGCCTATTGAGAAATCTACTTCCGGTGTTGGGGGTGTGGGGTGGTGCGGAACTGGAGCCAGGAAGGGGTGTGTTTGTGTGTGTGTGTGTGTGTGTGTGTGTGTGTGTGTGTGTTCCTCAGCTTCCTGGCTACTGAGTCTTCTCAAGACCAGAGCTCCCTGGCTTTTCAGAAAACCAGCTCTCAAATCATCTAGATCATCTATCCCCCTTACTAGGTAGTCCAGTGTGGCCCAAAGCCTATTTGGACTTTTTTTTTCTTAAAGGAGAAGAAAAAAAGAACCAAGTGAAAACAGAAAATAATTCAGCCACGTGAAGCTGAATTATTATAGCTGCCCCATGTGAGTCGGGAAAGAGAAGGGTGCTTCCTAAAACATGTTAGACAAGGCACTCTGCGGCTTAGTCCCATCCTCCACGCCCCGAAGTCTGCAGCTCTCTCATCATCTTTGCTGCTTGAGTTTTGAGAGGGGCCCAGTGTGCCTTCTGCAAAGCCTGTGCCACTTGCTTCGAAATGTGGCTGTCTCTGGAGGGTTCTCACGAGTCCCACGCTGGATCCTGAGGGCACAGAACTGAAGCTGTTTCAGTTTTTGGTTTGCATGTTGTTGTTACTGTCGCAAAAGGGAAATATCAACTTGGATATTAACAAAATGGAGAACTGAGACCCACCCTGCGATTTTTGCCATTTTCTCATTTTGGTAGAACAAGAGCAAAGAACAAAGGCGCCTTCTAATGGCATAACCTAACTTTTAAGGTAACAGCATCATTATATGTTTAAAGCAAGAAAAGAAGAGGAAATAATGTTTGTCAAAATCTATCATGTGTCAGACATTTTACCGAACTTTCTCCCCTAAGCCCAATGACATAGGTACTTGTGTCCCCATTCCATGATGGGGAAATGGGGGCTAAGAAAGGTGCGGTGACTTGGTTAAGGTCATACGTGTAGAGATGAATGCTAGAGAAAGGATTCAAAATCAGGTCTGGCTGTTGCTGAGTTTCCTGTATTTTCCAAGTTCTTACACTTTCCCTAACTTCCCTGCCTTCATCTCTGTCCTCTCCTCTGCTTACTCTGTTCTTTTCTGTTCCTCAAACACACAAAGCTCATTCCCACATCAGGACTTTCTGTCTCTCTTTGTTTGGCTGCTTCCTTTCTTATCATTTGGGACTCATCACAAAGGCCACCTTCTTGTAAGGTGACCTGACCATTCCTTTTAAAGTAGTACCCTCTGGGATATTGCTCTGTTAATTTACTTTACAGTACTTCTCACTCACCTACTTTGTTTATTTCCGTAGTCTGTGACCCCCTACCCACCCCTCACTGACCCTGCAACAGACACTAGAATGTAGGGCTAGTGAGAGCAGAGGCCTCTTCTTTCTTGTTCTTCTCTATATCCAAAGAGTCTGGAGAAATGGCTGGGACATTGAGGACATTCAGAAATATTTGTTGGATGGATAGGTGGGTGGGTAGATGGATGGATAAACAGGTGGGTGAGTAGACGGATGAGTGAGTGGGTAGATGGACAGGTGGATGGGTAGATGGATGAGTAGATGGATGGATGGACGGATGGGTAGGTAAATGAATAAAATGGTAGATGGATGGACAGGTGGGTGGGTAGATGGATGAGTAGATGGTTAAATGGACAAGTGGGTAGGTAGATGGATGAAAGAGTAGATGGATGGTTGGATGGGTGAGTAGGTAGATGGATTAGTGAGTAGATAGATGAATGGATGGATGGGTAGATGGATGGATGGATGAAGATGAATGAGTTGGTGAATGTACGTATGTATGAATGTATGGTGTCTACTATATGGCAGGTTCCAGTGAGGATGTAGAGATGAATAAAATGATGTCTCTTTGATCCAAATGTTTGCTTTGAAATGAGGGAGACCTTCTCAATAGTCAAGTAGTTGCATCAAAGTATATTAGGTGTTCTGAGGGAATATCAGATCTCAAAAGCACATTTGGGATAGAAATGAGGAAGGGATCCATTTTTGCTGCTGGAGGGTGATCAGAAAATGCTCTATATGGGAGATAACACTGTATCTGATCCACGAAGGATAAGTGGTTATTATTCAGGTAATCAATGAATTTAAAAGCTTCCCTGCAGCCTAGGAAAAGGGAAAGAAGCTGAACACAGTCTTAGAGTCTAAAAACTGCAAGCTATTTGGTGTGATGGGACAAGAGGTGTGAAAGATCTGGTCTTGATTGCTACTGCATATTCAGTGTTTAGCATTCAATTACCCTACTATTGGCACTTCATAATAGTACTCAAGAATAGGTCCTCAATAATTATTTGTTGAAGAAAGGAACAAAAGGAGAGCACAGGGAAAAGTAAAGCTGGCAAGATTGACCTGTGCTGGGTACTGCTGGGCTAAGGAATGTAGATGCTAGTCAGAGGAAAATGGACCATCACAGAAGGGTTGATGAGATGCATGTTTCTGATGGTCACCCTGCTAAGCACAGGAACTGTGTTGGGGAAAGTCCAGGAAGTGGCAGGAATAGACAGAGTGGACTATGGCTATGGTCCGAGTGTGGGATGTTGAGGACCTGAGCTAATCAGGATAGTGTACGTGAAAAGGTAAAGAGGGATTCTAGAGACTTGAGGAAGGTAGAACTAGAGTGCTATCCATGGTTCCATATGGATGAAGAAGGGAAGAGGGAGGGAATATAAAGAGAAGAATTTTCCATGCCCCTGCTGGAATGACTAGATGCTAGCCACTGGAATACAAAATGTATGGGGTGGGGTTCACCATGAAGCTAATGAAGGTTATGTGCGAGAATCCCTCCCTTTCACATCCACTATCAAGGTCCTAAACCTACTCTTGTATTCATTGTTTTCTTTTTATTTATTTTTTCCTAAAGAGCCCCTTCCTGGCCAATTATAGAATCCTCAGGCTCCACCAAGCCTGGATCTTCCCCTGGAAATACAAGGAGAACAGTTTGGGGGAAAGGATTCCATTTGGATTGTGAATTCCATTTGGGGCATGGTAGGTTAGAGGTGGATGAAAAACCTTGAGGTGGAGATGTTCTGCAAGGAGCACAGTGTGGGACAGGGCTTGAATCCTGGCTTCATGCTGTGTGGACATGGGCAAGTTGTTTGAGCTCTGTGCTCAGTAAAATGGGATGTTAATGATAGTACACCCTGATAGGGTTGTAAAGATTAGATGAGACAACATAGGTCAAATGCTTAGAACAGTGCCTAGCACATAGTGAGTGTTGAAAACAAGTTGCGTGTTGGCTTTTGGTATTCTGTGGGGCAGTGTATATCTGAGAGTCACTGGAGTTGAGGGTGGCCTTGGGGGGAGTTGGATTGTGTAGCAAGAGTGTATTAGGGCTTGATATGAGGAAGACCAAGGACAGAGCTCTGATATTTATCAGGGTGAGCAGAGGAAGAGGAACCAGCAAAGGAGGCTGACGAGGACTAGCCAAAGGGGTCCTGGAAGCCAGGGGAGGGGAGAATACCAAGCAGACACTCAGTCATGGGTGTCACCTGCTGCTAAAAGTCTAGCAAGAAGGTGACCACAAGAGGCTGCTGGCATGGGTTTTGGGGACATCTCAGTGACCTTGTCAGAGGGCTCTCGGTGGAGAGTTGGGTACTGAGGAATGAAAGTCCCATGCAGACGACAGGTGTAGATGGTCTTCTGCAGAACCTTGGCTTTGGGAAAAGACAGGAGGCAAGAGGCAGAGGAGAACAGAGGCAGAGAGAAGGTGTTAGGGTGGTTGATTTGTTTTGCTTTGGGAGGACATGATTCACTGTTTAAAGATGAGATTCACAGGCTTTGGGGGCTGTGATGAAGAGTTGGTGTGTAAAGTTTAACAATTTGAGGAAGAAATAAAATAATTGATTAAAAAAAAAGTGAATGCCTTGAAAGAATTAGGAAGGGGAGGAACAAGTGACACAATAAGTGGCCAACCCTGAACTGCTCTCTGAGTCTCGAAGGAAGGGGGCAAGGGTGGGAAGGTTATAAATAAGCTTCTAGGTAGGAGGACAGGAAATGGGGCAGTTATGCCTGATAGCCTCAGGTTTGTTGCTGTGAAGTAGGAGGATAGATCATCTGCAGAAACATAAATACACAGCTTCTCCCACACCGTGGGCACTTAGGACAAATTATGATTACGAAACTTAAAATCTCAAGGGAATATTAGGGTTAGAGGAACCCGAGTTGATGGTAAAGTTATTAATATCCCTACAAATTGTTTTACTTCGATTAATATAAAGCAGTGAACAAAGCATACCGAGTAAAAACAACCTCAGAGGCAATTTGCACATCTTTGTTAGTGCTCTACCGTTAATTTTAATTTGCAAACCTTTGTTTGCTTGTAGGTGCTTGAAGCATTTCAGGATCTTCCTACCCTGAAGTTTCAACTTACAAATAAATGCTAGCTAATAAATAAAGTTATGAATCATTTCAAACTTACAATGAAGTTGAAAGAATCTTACGATTAACACCAATATACACACAACCTTGGTTCAACCATTAATGTTTTACTAAGCTTGTTTATTTAAATAAACCTTTTAACTACAAAAAGGAAAATTACAAAAGTACAGAGTTCCCATATACTTCCTAGCCTGTTTCCCTTATTATTAAAATCTTATATTAGTATGATACATTTGTAATAACTAATTAACTAATATTGGTGTGTTATTAACTAAAATCCATACTTTAAGTGGTGCGATCTCAGCTCACTGCAACCTCCGCCTCCCAGGTTAAAGCAATTCTTCTGCCTCTGCCTCCTGAGTAGCTGGGATTACAGGCACATGCCACCAGGCCTGGCTAATTTTTTGTATTTTTAGTAGAGACAGGATTTCACCATGTTGGCCAGGGTGGTCTTCAACTCCTGACCTTGGAGGTGTACTTACAAGGTATTTCATAGAATGTCCCTCAGTTGGGATTTGTCTGATGATTTTCTGGCAATTACACTGTGGATGTGGATTTTTAGAAGAAAGACCGCAGAGGTAAAGTGCTTTTCTCATCTCATATCAAGGATACACACTGTCCACATGTCATCGCTCTTGTTGACCTTGATCACCTGGCTGAGGTAGTGCTGGTCAGGTTCTCCACTGTGAAGTTACACTTTTTCCTTCCTTTCCATGTGTACTTTTTGAAAGGAAGTTACTAGGTGCATCCCACAGTTCAAAAAACTTAATGAGGAATTACGCGTCACCTCCTTGAGGGTGTAAATTTGTATTTTTTTTAATCACGTATCTATCCATCAATTAGCTATTCCTTTACCCATCCATCAATTCATCTTACTTTTTTAGACGTTTAAAAATAAGTTTGCAGATTTATATTATTTTGTTGCAGGCAACACATATGCTAAGGCACTTTGTTTCTGCGCCTCATCTGGTCCTCAAACCAAATGTCAATTCTTTTTAGGTTGTACACAGTTTCTGGGTTCTGCCTCCTGGGCCTCCACTGGAGTCAGAATCACCCACAAAAAGTCCTAGATTGTGAAAAAGATACCAAACCTGGGGTATTTGTTCTATTATTTGGAAACTGGTAGACATTTCTCAAGGCCCCTTTCCAGTCCCCAAGGTTAGTGGTCTCAGCTTTGCCATGTTGACATCTTGTTCAACACTCTGGGTGGTGCCCCACACACTCGCTGCCTGAAGGCCATCCTCTCTCTCCTGTTCTTCCATGTCTTCCAGGGCTTTAATGCAATAATTAAAAAGTAATAAACCTCCATTCCTCCTTTTCTTCTGCTGACCTTCCATTTCCATTCTCGGTTCCTAGTTTCCTTTTTTGCTAATTATCCCCATCCAGAGGGACACTTCATTCACACCCTGAAACTGAAATTCTTCACTTCCCAATACATTGGAATATATTAGACTTTCTAGTACTTCATATAAAGTAAATTCAGGGTTGTAGATACAACATTGCTGCATTTTATACTATATATATATATATATATATATATATAAAATAGCTATAGTGTTATACATTTTGCAAATATGCCAAATTAGATATTTTGTGCCAGAGTGCAAATAGCTGCATGGGAATAGCCCAGTAAGTAAAATAACTGAAGGCTGTTAAACGTGATATGAGTCTGGTAAATTCTTGCCTAAGTGGAAACCACTTTAGAAACTTTTCTGTTTTCCAGTCAACAATGTATTTCTTTGTTGATGCTCATCACACTTAACTTTTTTCATGTATTTTGTCTTTCCTTATACCTTCCTCCTCCATCATATTGCCTTCTCCACAAGAATTGGTTGTGTGCTGGTTAGAACAACCCATAATGACTGGCTGGTTGGGTGGATGCCTTGATGGATGGATAAATGTAAGTTCCAGATGTTTTTAAAGAATCATCTAACCTCTTGCTTGTACCATGTAGTCATCTGTCCTCAATTCAGAGGTACTGGTAGTGATGGCTGACCACCATCACTGTAGTATTACTTCAGGACTTAAAAAATGTTGTTTACTAAACTAACATATAGTAACGTTGACTTTTTTGTGTGTACAGGTCTATGAATTTTAATGTCTAGATTTGTGTAACTACCACCACAATTGGGATACAGAACAGGTTCTGTCACCCCAAAAATCTCCCTTGTGCTAATCCTTGGCAGCTGTGCTCTCCCCAACCCCTAGCCCTTGGCGATCACTGTTCTGCTCTCCATCACTCTAGTTTTGTCTTTTTTAAGAATGTCTTATAAATGTACCCCTTTAAAACTGGCTCTGTTCACCCAGTATAATACCTTCGAGATTCACCCCAGGTGTTGAGTGTATCAATTGTTCACTCTTTTATTGCAGAGTAGCATTCCATGGTAAAGATGTGCTACCATTTATCCATTTACCAACAGAAAGACATTTGGATTATTTACAGTTTTTGGTGATTGTGAGTAGAACTGCTATAAACATTCACACACTGGTTTTTGTGTGGACATACGTTTTCATTTCTCAAGGATAGCTACCTAAAAATGAGAATGCTGGTTCACATGATAAGTGAATGCTTAACTTTATGAGAAACTACAAAGCTGTTTTCCAGAGTGGTGTACCATGTGCATTTTCACCAGCAATATGTAAGAGTTCCAGTTGCTTCCAATCCTCACTAGCACATGGTTTTGTCAGTATTTTTAATGTACTTAGGGTATGTAGCAGCATTTCATCATGGTTTTAATTTCCACTTCCCTAAAGGCTAATAATATCAAACATCTCTTCATATGCTTATGTGATGTCTGTAGGTTCTCTTTGATGAAGTGTTTGGTCAAGTCTTTTTATCCATTTTTAACTTGGGTCTTTGTTTTCTTACTGTGGCATTTTGAGCTTATTTATATATCCTGGTTATGAATCTGGGCCATTATCTTGAAAGACACAATCCCGAATGCCATAATCTCAAATGTTGAAATCTCCAAAGATAAGAATCCCTAAAGTCTAAAATCCTGAAATTAACAATCCTAAAAATGTAAATCCTGAAAATATAATTCTGGGAAAAATAATTTTGAAAAGTTTAGAGATTATTTACATTTGAAAATATGTTTCTTTATTAAAAACATATAAAACATGACAGAGCACCTCACAGGCCACTTTACACAACAAAATAGGCAATAATAACATTCATATTTTTGTAAACATAAACACTCAGGTATACTAATGGCAGTCACATGGGTATAAGAGCTCTGAGCAGATGAACCATATTCATAAATAAATAGGTCAAAAAGTGAAATGTATATACACATATCACTAATCTTGGTGTTGTGCGCACCTCACTTCATAACTGCAGTCATCTGAAATACCTAAGTCTTAATAAGATGGATCAAAAACTGCAATGGATTACCATGGCATGTAGCTGCCCAAAGAGCTGAGATCTGGAGACATTTTATCTCTCACAAATGCAAATGTACAAAAGGATAGCTCTTCCTTGGTTGAGGGAGTTTTGATTTTTTACATGCACACTCTCTGGTTACGCACAAAGTCAAAATTGCAATAAGGCACTTTCAGGAAGTCAAATTTTCAAAAAAATGCATACAGTGAATTAGAATTTTCTAAAAGTCTATACGTAATTTATACCTCCAGTGTTGAAAATAATGCAATGATAAAATACATAGCATAGGGGACTGGTGCTCTGTGTGAAGGAGCAGAAACCATATATGACTGAATAATTTGACAGGGGAGTTTTCTTGTATTCTTGGCCTGCATTTTCAGTTGTATAATCTTCGAAACACTTGCTGCACTTGTATTTGGAGAGTGGCTATGGTCTACAAATTTTCTAAGTCCACGACATCCATTTAAAAGTCTGGTTATTGCTTGGTTGTTGCAATTAAGGAATTTTCTGCTTTTGCAGCACTAATAATAATTAGCTTTTAAACTTTTATCTTTCACCATTAAACAGCCTCGTATACTTAACTTATCACAACCTTTTTGTGAGAAATAATTTCACAGAACTCTTCTGTTGTGTTTTAACGAATACAGTAAGAAGGAATGATATTTGGGTTCCCCAATACTAAATCCACATTAGTAAGGGTTTTTTTGGAAAGATGGAACCAAAAGGACATGTATATAGGTATATAAGAGGAGATTTATTAGGGGAACTGGCTCACATGATTATGGTGGCTGAGAAGTCCCAATGCAGGCTGTCTGCAAGCTGAACTCTGGGATACCTGTAGCATGGCTCACTCCAAGTCTGAAGGCCTCAACACCAGGGAGGCTGATGATGTAACTCATAGTCAGAAGCCCAAAGCTTCAGGACCCAGGTAGCTGCTGAGGTAAGTCCTGGAGTCCAAAGGCCAGTGATCCTGGAGTTCTGATGTCCAAGGCAGTAGAAGAAAAATCTGTCCCAGCTCTCAGGGAGAGACCAATTCGCCTTCTGTATGTGTTCTCTTCAGGTCCCTGGCCTATGGGATGGTGCCCACCAACACTGAGAGCAGATCCTTCCCACCTAGTTCACTGAAACTCACATACTATTGGTCTCCTCTGGAAACACCCTGACAGACACACTTAAAATAATGCTTTACCTGGTTTCCAGGTATTCCTTAATCCAGTCAAACTGACGCTTAAAATTAAGTCTGCAAGTCCATCCCTTATCAACTTGGCACCCATATGCATCTCCTTAAACCATACTTAATTTCCAAATAAAGATAATAATAAGGTAATAGTTCTGCCTAACATGACACAACTAACATTAGGTGGCATACAACTGAAAATGCACCAACTTCGTCCCCAGAATTTGGATTTCAGGCTTTCAACATTTGGAATTTTAATCCTTTGGGATTTTGATTATGGGGATTTTTTTAGACATTAAGGAGTTTTGAATTTAGGGATTTTGAACTTTTGGAATTTCAACATTTGTGATTATGGCATTCAGAATAGTATCTTTTAGGATCATAATCAGTATTGCCTGGGTATATTGTCAGATATGTGATTTGCAGATATTTTCTCTCAATTTGTAGCTTGTATCTTTGTTCTCTTACAAGTGTATTCATACAGCAGATTTTAAAAAAAAATGTTGGTGAAGTCTAGTTTATCATTTTTTTCTTTTATGGATAGTGTGTTTAGTATCATGTCTAAGAACTTCTTGCCTAAAATAGTTTTCTTATGTTTTCTTCTAAAAGTTTTATAGTTCTACTTTTATACTTAGTTCAATGAACCAAACATTTGAACCAATTGTTCGACCACATTTTTGACCAACTACCCTTCTTCAATGATTTGCCTTTACACATTCATTAAATATCAATGGACCATATTTATGTGGATCTATTTCTAGACTCTTTACTTTGTTAACCTAATCTATGTGTCTGATTTGTCACCAACATCACATTCTCTTGATTACTATAGCTTTGTAAAAAATATTAAAATCAGGCAGTATGATTTTTTTTTCAAGTTTACCCTTTGTTTCCCCCAAAATTGTTTTGGCTACTCTAAGTCCTTTGCAAAAGCAAACCTTTAGAATCAGCTTGTCTATACAGTATGTCTCTCAATTTACTTAGGTCTTCTGGGGGATCTTTCATCAATGTTTTGTAGTTTTCAGCATATAGATCCTACACGTTTTGTTAGATTTTTCCCTAAGCATTTCATTTCTTGGAAGCTTTTTGAAATGGTATTTTTATTTTTAATACCAGTTTACAACTGTTCATGCCTAAGTTGAAACACAATTTATTTTTGTATGTTGACCTTATATGCATTGATGTTGCTATATTCATTTATTATTTCTAGGACTTTCCAAAAAATGAATTCCTTGGGATTCTCTATGTAGACCATTACATTGTCAATGAACAAGAACTCTTTTATTCTTCCTTTTAAATCTGGATGTCTCTTCTTTTTCTTACCTTATTGCACTGGTGAGGACTTCCCAGTATGATGCTGAATAGGAATGGTAAAACCAGGCATCTTTCCCTTAGTCCCAATCTCTGGTGGAAGGCATTTACTCTTTCACCATTAAGTGTGAAGGGTCAGGTATGCATTTTTTGTCTGGTTACTCTTAATCAGGGTAAGAAAGTTACCCTGTATTCCTAAGTTGGCTAAGTCTAAGGCAAGGAATTCCCTTTAACCAAGTGACATTGAAACTTCACATCCTGCTCAGATTCCACTGGTGAACACTTGGACTGACTACTTTCCTTCACTTCACTATACTTTAAATCCTTGAGGTCAGAAACTGCGTCCTGTTCAACTTTGGATCATCATCACAAAGCTCTTCCTACCCTCATATAAGACTGGACATGTCATCACTTGCTGTGTAGTCACATACTCAGGAAGAAGTGGAGGATGAATCAATTTTTATAATTAAAGCGAGTTCCGCTGCTCAGTTTTAGGTATAGTAATGTGCTCCAATCTGTCTCCAGGACACAAATGCACTAGTCATACCCTGCTCCTCAACATCTTCTAATCCCACAGGACAGAGTAGAGTTTAAGTCTGTTCTCTGCAACAGTTTTCAGAGTTCCCCTATCCATGATATGCTCAGGGGCCCCATAAAGTTTATAAGTGTCTTGAAGGGAAGACCAGTAGAGTTGGTCCTTTTTCAATAAAGCTAGGGGATGTGAGCAGCTGCATGAAAGCTGTCCTTGGCTTGCCGTGTCCAATAGCCAGAAGTCCCTATAGTGGGTTAAATGGTGTCCTCCAAAAATTCATGCCCCCGCCAGCACCTGTGAATGTATCCTTATTGGGAAATGGAGTCTTTGTAGATATAATCAAGTTAAGTTGAAGTTATATTGGATTAGGCTGGGCCCTTACTCCAATGGCTGGTGTGCCTATATGGAGAAGGTGATTTTAAGATACAGAGTCACAGAGACATGCAGGGAAGGAGGTCATTTGAAGACAGAGGAAGAGACTGGAGTCGTGCACCTGCCAGCCAAGGAATGCCTGAGATTGAAGGTAATCCCTAGAAGCTAGGAGCAGGCAAGGGAGGGTTCTTCCCTAGAGCCTGCAGAGAAAGTGTGATCCGCCATGATCAACACCTTGATTTCAGGCTTCTAGTCTCCAAAAATGTGAGAGTGGAGCAGTTGTTCTAAGCTACAACTTAAATTTGTGACAATTTATTATGGCAGCTTACAATGTGAATACAATCCCCAACATATGTAACAGTCACAGGTGTCAGGATCTGGAGTTATCTTCAGGAGAAGAGACACCCACTCCCTGTGTTATTCAGGGGGAAATTGTTAACAGATCTACTAACTCAGGCCTTTTCCCAAAAAGCTCTTTCAAAGTCTTCTCTCTTGGTGGAGGAAACTTCCAATCAAAATGACCACAGACCTTAGGGACAAGGCATTTTCCTGTCCCCTCTTGAGGGTAAGGCTGCAGAGAACTGGAAGTCTAGTGGACCACAGCCACAGGGCCCCAAGCCCCCATCTCAGTTGTGATTGTGGAGCACAGCAGGAGCAGGAAACAGAAGGTTGTGGCAGGAGCACGGAGGTTGCCACCTCTCAGAGAAGGGCAGGTTCAAGTGGGTGGAGTGCTGACAGTGCTTCAAAGCTGTCCCTGAGGCTCCAACCTGAGAGGCAGTGCTGGGCGCCAACCTCTGCTTCAACTGACAGGATTGTGACCCTTCTCGGTTGTGTTTTGGGAAACTGTTAGAGTCCTGAGTGACCGTTGTTTGAGTTCGCAGACCCAGCTGCTTCACAGCTGACCCAGAGGCTTTGGGATGGCACTGGTTCTGGAATCTACCACCTCACATGCAGAACCACAGACCTTCTTGCTTCCCCAGTAATCCCTATGCAAAGCAAGGCAGCTTTTTTCTTCAAGCCTTCAAATTACACACGTAACAAAATCTTGTTATGTGTCCTCGCTCATTTAATCAAAGCAATTGCTTTCTACTTCCTTATCCAAGGAGGGCCAGTCTTGGCCATTCCTAGGTGATGTGCAGGAAGACAGAGAGAGAGAGGGAACACAGACTCACTGGCATCTGGCAGAGCCTTTCTTGTAGGGAGCCTCCCAGGTGATAGGGCTGTGTGGACTTGGAGCCACGTTTGACTCCCCTGATGGTAACATGGGCTTTGGAGCTGAGACTTCATTTTATTCCATGCTAGACCAACGGTGTGAGGCTTCAGGCTTAAAGCTAGCCTTAGCAGGGTGCGCCTCAGCTTATGGGAGCTATTTGTGATCTGGCCCTGGCTTTCTTCCGCAACCTCAGTTTGTGATCCCACATACCCACTCCAGCCTCACGGATGCCTGAGCTTTCCTAGAAGCCTGCACTTTCTCTCTAGCTCTGGACTTCTTCACAGGCTCTGTGTTTTAGTTTGCATTATTCAGTCGCCACATTTTGAACCCTTCTCTATGCCAAGCTGCTTTGCTGAGCACTGTCTTATTCTTGATTGTTATTATTAAATATTTCAAACATAATAAAGGTGGTAAATCCCAATGTATACCTTATTCTGATTCAACAAAGGCAACATTTTGCCATTTGCTTCAGATCCCTTTTGTTTTAAGAAATAAAATTTATAGATGCATCAGAGTCTTTCCCTTCCCAATTCCATTACTCTCCTTCCCCTTCTGGAAGAAGAATGCTTGCCAAAAATTGGAAGGCAGCCCTCCTCCTATGTTTTTATACATTTACTACAAGTATACCTATTCATGCCTGCTCAAGCTCTTTCTCTTCTTTATTGTGAAAAGGTCATAGCATACGATCTACTTCTTAACAAATTTTTGACCGTACGGGACAGTGTTGTTGGCTGTAGGGACTTCGTTGTCTAGCAGATCTGTGGAACTTTTTCATCCTGTGTAACTGAAACTCTGAACCCATTGAACAGTAACTCCCCTTTCTCCCTCCCCAGCTCCTGGCAACCACCATTCTGCTTTCTGCTTGTATGAGCTTGACTACTGCAAGTACCTCCTATATATGGAATCATGCAGTATTTGTCCTGTGACTGGCTTATTTCCTTAGCATAATATCCTCAAGGTTCATCCATGTTGTCGCCCACGACTGGATTTCTTTCTTTTTTAAGGCTGAATAACCTGCACTCCCGTGTCATTATTCACAACAGCCAAGAGGTGGAAGCAACCTAAATGTCCACTGATGGATGAATAAAGAAAGCATGGTATATACATTCAATGGGATATTATTGAGCCCTTTCCTTTGTAATAGGTTATCTAATTTAGTCTATGAAGATCTTATTATTCCCATTTACAGATAAGGAGACAAAAGCATGGTTAAATTATGTAATTTCTCCAAAGAACAAATAGCTAGTAAATGGGGAAGGCTTGCAAATCCCTGCTTGGCTTAAGTAAGGCCTCCCTAACCCCCGCACGCCCCACCATTACTTCTGCAAACCCATTTACTCTGCACACACAGTAAGGTCAGGATCATCCCCTGCTCTTTTGGCTCATATGCTAACCAGTACCATTGCATCCACACCAGAGAACTAAATGGGACAGATTACCCATCTCTCTTGCTTTGGAGGACAGACACTAGGCACTTGTCCACCCTGCAGTGCCAGTTCGGAGCAGTGTCTGGCACCCGGTAGGTGGGCAATAAGGAGTTTTCCCACCTTATTGAACGCTGGAAGCAAACAGTGAACAGACAGAAAGGTGACTCTGATCTGAACCTCTCCAACTCCTGGAGGGAATGCTTCACCTGGAAACACACTCTTGCCTATGCCTTTGGGTTAACATTCACCATAACTCTTGATTTTATATATTGTGGGCTTCCCAGGACTTCCCTCTCAATAATCAGAAAAAACTCAGCTTGCCCCCATCACTTGCCCGTTAGACACTGGGCAAAGAGCCTATCTCCCTCGCCCAGGCTTGGTTTCACTCATATTTGCAGATAAAGGATGGACAACCAATAGCAAGTGAAAGCCTAAAGATGATTCATCTCAACCAAAGAGATGGTACCAAGAAGATGCGTCCTTTACATTGACACATCTGGAGCCATAATCTGCTGAGACTATCCTCAGGGTTCTTCCTACTCTGCGGGGACTCTCCCATTTCAGACCTCCATTCATCACCATCCTGGTTTTGGCCCAACTAAGATGAGCCACAGTTACTTTTGTTTATTTAGTATATTATTTTAATTCAATTTCTTTTCTCAACTTCAATAAAATCTTTTCCTCTTTCTGAGCAATAAGACACATGAAATAATAAATTAGATGAGCTTATTGTATTTTTCTAACACATAGCAATGTGTGTGTGTGTGTTATGCAAACTTACATTTGTAAAACATCTATATCCATCTGTGTTCTAACTCATATCACTTTGTGTGCCATACCTGGTGGAACTGTACTCAGGAATAAGCTGCCAGTCTTTGTTGACCTGGATTTGCCCATGTTGAATGCACAAGTCAGGAAATAAACTGGTGTGCAGGCCTCAGTGAGAAAACCAAACCAAAGAGGAGAAATCATCCCTTTTCTGAATATCAGGATTACAGACCTGGTCCAGCCCAGCCTTGACCGAGTATTCCTGGATACTTGAGTTCTCTAGGAGAGGAGTTTTTGCTCAAAAGCTCTAACCTCAAGCTTAACTTCTTTATCTGAAAACTGGGGTCAATAATTCCTAGAGATCAGACAGGTCCTTAGTTACAAACAGCAGAAACGGACTCTCCCTTAAATAACAAATGGGGCCCAGCACAGTGGCTCACGCCTGTAAACCCAGCACTTTGGGAGGCTGAGGTGGGTGAATCACTTGAGACCAGGAGTTCAAGGCCAGCCTGGCCAACATGGCAAAACTGCATCTCTACTAAAAATAAATAATAATAATAATGATAAAAAAGCCGTAAGTGGCAATGTGTGCCTGTAATCCCAACTACTTGCGAGACAGAGGCAGAAGAATTGCTTGAACCCGAGAGGTGGAGGTTGCGGTGAGCTGAAATGGCACCACTGCACTCCAGGCTGGGTGACAGAGTGAGACTCTGTCTCAAAAAAAAAAAAAAAAAAAAAAAAGGAATGTATTGAACACCTTTGAAGGCCAGGGCCTCACAGAATTGCTGGGAATGTGAACAGTCTTGGAAAGTGGAAAATGGTCAGCAGCCATGGAATCTCAGAGGGCCAGGCTGCAGAAATCACACCGCAGGTTCTCGCTGCAGGAGCCAGGTGATACACAGACAGGTGCTGGCTGCCAAGCCCCCAGCAGAGCCCACACCTTCACATGCTCAAGGCTCAGTGTCCTGGGACAGAGTGTCTGACAGACCAGATTAACTGAGGAATGGCTGGCTCTAAGGAAATGAACTCCTTTGGGGTCCACAGGTAATGCTCACTTGCCACTGTCATAACGTACTAAGAGGAAGGAGGGGGTGATGCCTGATCACCAAAAGTAGCAGCTGACCCCTAGACTGACCTTTCCAAGTTGCCTTGAGAATGAGAAATAATTTATACGAAGTGTCTGATAAAGTGCCTTTGTACAATTATTGTACCCAAATAATTAATTTCATGAACTGAGAAGATATACAGAAACCTTGAAGGAGAGGGAAAAATAGGTGCTCTAAATTAAGCATGCAATGCAATAGCAGTTATCTTCCTGGGAAGACTCCAAAGAGTCAGCATAGAACTGCATTTTAAAAGCTCCCTCTTCCAGACAAAGCTGCCAGTCATGAACACGTGGTGTCTGCCGACAAAGCCAGCCCCGTGGTCTGCTGTTGGAGCCAGCTCTTTTATTGCCAAAGGACATTTAAATGGAAAACAGCACATCTACCAGAATAAATGTGTCCTCAGGGAAGGAAGTGGAATTCTGGGCTATGCTGCCCCGACAACACCATGAACCAAAAATCTGACTTCATGGCCCCATTAGGGGCTGGTCTAGGGTGGAAAGAGAAATATAACGTCACAGCAGAAAGTTTGCAACTGAAGTTCATTTATTAAAAGACCTAAGACCATGTTCTCTTCTGGATATATAGTAGAAATGATGCTTTAGTTAATATTTTTAGTATTAATGGAATGAAATGAAATGGAATGGAATGAAACAAAATGTCATTCTTCTTCCTAGAAATCTCCAAATAGCCCATTTATGGTTACCTTCTGGCATGCCCAATACCAGTTTGCAGTTTTAGGCCCAGCCAGCTTAAGAATTACCTGAGGAGTCTGTTAATGGTGCGGACACCTGGGATCCCCAGGGTGGCCTGGAGATCTGAGCCAGGGGGACTCAGTGAAGCCCCAGGATTTGTGTTTTCCCTAAGCTCACCAGCCAGGGAACCTCTGCCCTGGTGGCTAAGCCTGGGTTTGCCTTTCCCTTGCCGTAGAGAAGGCTTGGTAGGACAAGCTCTGTGAAAATAAGCCCTGTTACACCAAATAAAATTTCACAGGGAATGTTAAGAAACACTGAATTATGAAACATAGAATATAGCAAACATTTAAGGAAATTAACTCATATGGGGATCTCTTCCCCTGGGCACAATTGTTACACTGGCTAGAAATCATTCTTAGCAGTTTAACAGGTCTCTTAAGGACCCCAACTAAACAAAAGGTTTGTTACATTGGCTCAAATTATTGTGCCTATTTAGTAACAATTCTGGCTAATGTGTCCCAAGGGCCCACTGGGTACCTGCTCTATGCTATAAGTTTTTGACACCCGATTCAATTTAAACCTCATCAGGATGGGACAGTATGATTCCATTTCACAGCTGAGAAAACTGAGGTTCAGCAAGATCTTGCCCAAGTCAAGGTCAGTATTCAAATCAAGGTCTGTGTGATCCCAGAGTCTATTAATCTCTGTGCTGTGTATAATAGGATCAGCATGGGATTTCTTCATTTATTGTTCTGTCCTACTGATATTCACACTGGCCACCCCTGGTATGAGCCAGATTTATTGAGGTTTCTCTGGGGCTTCTCTCAGGTGGGTAATGGAGCCAATTGCATGGCCTGCCATCCATCATTTCATGGAAAACAGGTTAAGAGGACACTAAGGCAGCTGTGACACGAGGAAATGTCACAAAATGACAACACATACCCTCATGGCCAACTGGCAGAAGCCAAAATGAAAACTGTGTGGAGAACAGTGGAGTGGGATGTAGCAAAATTACAGAAGTTCCTATCCTTGAGCTAGCAAACTGACATCTGGCAATTTATCCTAAAGAAGTAATCATGGCTGTGTGCAGTGGGTCAGCTAAAAGAATGCTCATTTCTGGGTTATAATAATGAAATTTCGAACCAATCTAAACCATAGGGAATTACTGAAATAAATTCTAGTACCTGCATACCATGGAGCACTCTGCAGCCGTTTCAAAGCTGCTTTGAGATGACATTCAGCCACATGGAAAGCTATTCATAATATGTTGCATATATGAAAACGGATTTAAAAAACCACAAAGAGGTATTAAATGAAACAAGCAGGAAGCCTCCGCACTTTGAATTCCTCCATAACAAATTACACCCTAACTTAGTATATAAACAAACTGAAACTTAGGAGAATACTTTTGGTAACAAATAGCTGGTTTCAGCCAATCACAAACAGCTGAGTTTCAGCCAATCACGGACAACCAATTCATCGCACCAGGCCCAAATAAGACAGATGTCTAGCTGTAGCCAATCAGGTGATTTATCTGCTTTGTTTCCATGTTCAGCCTATAAAAGCTCAGTGCTCATGCTCCTGGGCTCCCGGAACCTCTTCTGGTTCTGAGTGCTGTGGATTCGTGAATCATTCTTTGCTCAAATAAACTCTGTTAAATTTAATTTGGAAATTTAAAGTTTTCCTTTAACAGAGGTTATAAAGAATTCTATGAAGATGGTACTCTCATTTTGACAGTGAGAAAGATTTTTTTACTTGAAGAAAGGAAATACCAACATTTTAAGTGTCTAATGTTCATTATTCCTTTTCTTGCCTGTATTTTATTTATGTTTCCATGATGACTCTGTTTTACTTTTACAGGTAGAAAAAAATCCATAACTTTGTTCAAAGTAAGAAATGTTGGTCACAGACAACTTGAAGGGATTTGGATGGTGCATCTATATGAAACCATCTTCCCCCCACCCACTTCTTCTGGCTGTCTCACAGACCTCAGCCTTCTGCTGCAGTTCAGAGCTCCAGACAGTGCTAGTGATTCACTACATCCTAAACAGGGCTGTCTTAGAGTCTTCCTGGAAATGCAGAAATCCCCAGGCCATGCATGCCCCAAAGTGATGATGTCACAGGGAGTCTGGTTTCCCTGCTTGTCACTGAGCAATCCTAGGGTGCTCTCAACACATGCGCTTCTGATTCTCCAACCCTTGCTGCACCTACAGATCCCCAAGAGGAAGTTGAAGAGTCACCCAATCTGGAAGGATTCTCACGCCCTAGAGAGTCAGAAAAGGAAATGAACATGTGTTCTGCTTTCCCAGGGTCCATGGCAGGAGGGCTGCAGCGGCCTCATTTATTCATTTGTGCCAGGCACCCTGTTAATCATGGAGATACCACGCTGACCTGCCTTCAAGGAGACCATATTCTAGTAGGAGAGCTGAGCAGCGAGATGGCCATGTGTAGATGGTGCTATATGAAAGGTAAGCACAGCACACCCTGGAAGCACTTAGGAGGGACACTTCACCCATATTTGGAGGTTCTGAGAAGTTTTCCAAAGGACATAATGCTCAGCATTGATAGAAAAGAGAAGTAGGGAGTGGTCGTTGGCACAATCTCATAGAAGGAACAGGATAATGCTGGAAGATGCCTTTTCGCAATCTTCCATTCGTGGCTCACGAATAAGGGTGATTCTGCAGTCACTTACCAGATCAATAGGGTCTGAGGGCCCTGAGTCCTATTGTGGGGCCCCAGAACCCTGGTCAGTTGACCAGATAGAATCTGAGAAGAGCCAGATTCTATCTGGAATCCAGGAGCCCAGGGGAGGGAGGGTAAGCAAACTCAAAGCCAGGCGTCAGGTCTGACCAAGCCTCCAATCTGAAGGTGGCTGGGCAGAGAGGGAGAATCTGGGTGTGAGACTGTGGGTAGGGGTGGAGAGGGTGCAGCGGGAGGAAGAACCAGCTGCAGAGGGACAGCGGAGGGAGAGACAGAGGTGTGGCTTGGCAAAGTCCCCAGGAGAAGCCAGAGGTAGTTGCTGCTACTGCTGTCTGTCAGGGCTGGAATTGTTCTTTCATCCTCCTCAGCCTTTGGTGTCAGCAGGAGTAAACCACAAGCAGGCACAGAGGGAAAGAAGGGACAAGGATTGAAGAGTGGCATGACATTAAGCATAAGAGAGGAGATGGTATACATGACTTAATAAAGGAGGGCTGGAGATGAATGAAGATGCCCCTAAGTGGCATGGGGATTTCTGCATTTCCAGGAAGACTCTGAGCCACTCAGAGATTCAAGAGATCTGCACCACTCAGGGATTTTCTCCAAGGTCAGCTGCGTACCTCCCCACTTCCTGACACTCTGCCTCAATCCAAGGCTCTTTCCTAACCTGGATCCCGCCTCCCTCCCAGGGGAGTGTTTCCTTACGGTTGTATTTGGCACCCATCAGCATGCAGCAACCGATTGTCACTCAATTCCCAACCAGTCAATGAAGAAGTCCCTACACTGGGCTCACTCTGGGCTTGTTTCAATGGGACCACAGCAGTTGTCCCATCCAACATTACTTGATTTGTGCATTTATTTCCCATTCATTGCTTTTTCTCCCACTGCTTGAATAGAGTTAGTTATTTGTGGGAAGGACCCTGTCTGCCTCATTCATCACCATAATCCAATGCTTAGAACAGGTGCTGGTACATAGTATGTCTCAATTTAAAAATTACTGAATGAATGAATGAATGATTGTGTATAGGGGAAAAGAAAACAAGCTTCAGAATCAGATGCAGACAATCCTAGGATTGAGCCCAACTCCACCCCTGGGGTAACCTGTAAGCCCAGCATCCTGATATGTCAAATGGGATATGCAGGACTGTGGGTTTGCAAAGTGCCTCATATCAAATAAGTATTCTAAAAGGTAGTTATTTTATTTTATAATGATTATAAAGAATGAGGGGAATTGTGCTGTCATACCAGAGGCAGGATGGAGTGAGAGCCCACCCTGCTGACTGGGCAGAAGCACACAATCTTTATTGGTCAGGAAGGGGAGGAGAGAAGGAGCAGGACGAAATGGCTGGCTCTAAGGACCGCCAACCCATCACACAGAGGAAAGGGAAGCCTGAGCTCCCAGGTTGCTCTACTCTAGAGGGCAGATTTAGTGAGGTTTCTCAGAGCATTCCCTACGCAAGTACCAGAGCAGACAGCATGCCCCCTATCATTGCTCAGTAGCACCTATGTTTGGTGGGGAGGAGGCTTATCTTGGCTTAGCTCCCTCCCCCCACTGCCCTCGTTACCCCCAGGCATATGTCAGTGTCTTTGCATCTTACTATGCAGATCACCCTGATGTAGAAGCCAGGTGGGGCATCTTGGCTTCCTGCTCCTTTTCTTTCATATGACACCGAAAAGTCTCTGGATATTGCAGTTGGGCCAGACCTGCAGAAAAAGAGAACATTCAGTTAAACAGAAGAACATATTCTGGAGAAAATGGGGAAGAGAGTGAAGACACAGCTGGTTCAAGGGAAAAATGCCAACTGAGCACAGAGAGAAAAATGCCTGCTGAGAGCTCCACAAATAAAGAAAAAACTTACATAAAGTGGTGAGAAGCACAGGAGAGGACAGGGCCGGGGCTGAGAGGCTGAAGTTCCAGGACCGGTTCTGCATTTGCTGCTGTGTGACATGGGGCCAGTGACTTCCCATCTCTGGGCTTCAGTTTTCTCAATTATCATCTATTCTCCTGCTTTCTCTATAACATTCATTTATTGATTCCTTGATTCAAGAATATTTCTTAAGCACCCAGTTTGTGCCAGGTACAGCTGTCAGTGCTAGTGATTCAGCAATGAACAAAGTGGACAAAAAGCACATCCTTATGTGAGCCCTCATGCATGCAGCAAACACAATCAGTGAAATATGGTGCAGATTCATTTGTAATAAGGAGAAAACAGAAAGCACAGAAGGGGTCAGGCAGTCTAATCTGGAAGGGTGACCTCTGAGTCAAGACATAAGGAGGTGAGGGAGTGAGCCAGGAGGACATCTGGGCAAAGCCTGCTCCAGGCAGAGGGGACAGCCAGTGTGAGAGCTGCCCTGAATGCAAAGCCTACCCACTGCCCCTTCTTTTGGTGTCTCCACTGGCCTGCTGGCTGCAGCAGCCTTCTATCAGACCTCCCAGCCTCCATCTCCTCCCCTGGGGTCTTCTAGCCCCACATGGCCAGCCAGGGTGACTCTAAAATATAAGTCAGACCCCAACACGTCCCTGCTCAAAACCCACCAGGTGCTCCCACCACATTCAATGCAGTGCAAGTCCTCACCATGGTCCTCTAGCATCTCTCCAAGCCCATCTGCCTCCTCTCTCCCTCACTTGCTCCTTTCCAGCTACACTGGCCTCTGCTGTACCTGGGACATGCCAAGCAAGACCCAGCCTTGGGGTCTTTGCTCACGGCCTCTGCCTGGATGTTCTTCCCCCAGTTATCCACAGGTCTGGCTTCCTGACTTTATTCAGAGGCCACCCTCTCAAGAAGACACCCTTGACTGTTTCGTCTAAGCAAGACCCTGTCACATCCAACCACTCGCCTCGCTTTATTTTCCCTTACAGCATTTATCATGACCTCCCATCATTTTATATATTTATAATAGTAGATATGATCAATGGATCAGATGTTTATTATGTGATGGACACTGTTCTAAACATCCTAGAATTAATTCATCTTCTCCCAAACTCCTTGAGATTGGTATTGCCATTGACCACATTTTATATATCAATAACCCAAGATAGAGAGAGGTTAAGAAATTTGCTCAAGGTCTCCCATCTGGTGAGTGTCAGATCAGGATTCAAACCCTGGAGCTTCCATTATGAGCCACAACACTCTAGACCAGGGCTGCCCAGTAGAACTTTGCAATGATGAAAATGTTCTGTGTCTGCACTGCCCGAAGTGACTGCCACTGGATATGTGTAAGTGTTGAGCATTTGAAATATGTGTGACCAAGGAACTGAATTTTGAATTTTATTGCATTTCCATGACTTTAGATTTAAATAGCCAGGCTAGTGGCTACCAAATTGTACATAGAGCCCTCGCACCTCTTATTTGCTCCTTTGTTAATTTCTGTCTGCCACATAAGGATGAAACTTGCCTATGCATTAGTTTCCTCATTTTACAGTAAGGGAAACACCCCTGGTACAAAGTAAATACTCAATGCTCATTAATCACCATCATCATCACCATTATTATAACATTATCATTATTAGTCTCCATGAGATCGATGACTTTATGTTTGTTCACTCCTGAATCCCATTACATTCTTTAGCACATAGCAGGTGTTCAATAAATATATTATGAATGAATGAATAAGTAAATTGAGTTAAATGTGGCACTTGGATAAGGATAAACTCTCACAAACTCAAACTCTCTCTCAAGGGCTAGGCGGGAACTGTAGCTAAGTGAAGCGGGGTGATACAAGATCATGGGGAGGACTGAGGGTAAGCTGAACAGAAGAGAAGATGTCCCAGCTAAATGCTTTCAAAGTGATTTTGGGGGAGTGGGAACAGCGAGGAGCACTGCGGACCAAATGGAAAGCCCCTAGCTAGAAGACACCCAGGGGCTGCCACTTTGGAACTAAGTCCCTTTAAAGGCCTTTGTCCCTCCACAATGACAAGTATCTGGTTCCATTCACCAGAGATTCAACTCTAGGCATGCCACAGTCTTAATTAGCACCCTGTGTGTGTAAAGCAATCCAGGCGCCAAGGCCCAGAACACCGGTGACATAGGCAGTGCTCAATGAAGGCATACTTGTTCCTGTCGTCACTCAGTGCAGAGCTTCCTGGGGAAACTGAACGATGCTTCCAAAATTACATGTGCCAAAAAGAAAAAAATAATAATAATAATAATAAGGAAAAAGGAAGAGAAAAGAAAAAGAAATGCAGCTGGCTTGTGAAACAGGAGCATCCGTCTGGGAAGCAGGCCATGGAGTTGACAGCAATGGCAGGTAAAGGGCCCGGGACCATGTACGCCCATGTCTGGAAGGAAGTTATGCTTGGACAGGGTTTAGCTCAACAGGCAGCACCTACAGCTGGCCTTCTTGAGCTTACCCTGGGGCATTCCTTTGTTTCTTGAATAGAACAGCAGGCAAAACAGCCCACACTACTTAAGCTCCTGTTTCGTTCTCCCTCCAGCCACGTGCAGTTGTGTTTACGTAAGTTTCACGTGCTTATGACGTGAACTCTGCGTTGGCAGGAACTTACCACTATTACTTCACCTCCATTTGCCTTCCCTCAATGGCTGGAGAGCCGTGTGTGTGCTGTTCTAGGACTCGGCCTGTCCAGTATGAGTCACAGCTGTGTGATCTTGGCCCTCCCTGACACTGACTAGGTCATAGAGTCCAGGGTGCTGATTTTCAAGTCCTTCCACCTTAAAAATAGTACCTGTCATTCAGTGATTCTCAGTCACAAGAGGCTCTCAGCAGCTCTACAGCCAACAAACGTGGTTGGTTTGTCCTTTTTTTTTTTGTTGTTAGGTGATGTATTCATTTTCTATTGCTGCTGTAACAAATTACCACACATTTAGTGACTTTAAAACAACACTAATTTATTACCTTATAGTTCCAGAGGTCGAAAATCTGCAACAATTCTCACTGGGCTAAAGTCAAAAGCCGTGTTGCTTTCTGAAGTTTCCAGGAAAGAATCCCTTTCCTCGCTTTCCCCGGTTCTAGAGGCCGCTCACGTACCTTGGCTTGTGGCTCCATGCCTTCATCTTTAACATCAGCAATGTTGCATCTCTGTGCCTGGCTTCCATAGTCATATCTTCCTCTGGTGCTTCCTTCTCCCACCTCCCCTCTTCCACTTTTAAGGGCCCTTGTGATTACACTGCACCCACCCAGATATTCTAGGCTTGTCTCCCTATTTTAAGGCCAGCTGATTAGCAACCTCGAATCCATCCGCAACCTTAATTCCCCTTTTCCATGTAACTTAACGTATTCAGATTCGAAAATGAAGATGTGGACATCTCTGGGGGGTCAATATTCTGCCTACCACAGTTGCCACATTTTTCTTTTTGATTTTTTTTAAAACATAATATCTAGCTTTCTACCTTTTCTTAAACAAAGATCTGGCAACACAGGACCCAAATTCTTGCCTAATGTGCCCCATTACAGTATGGCAGCAATGATCTTGGATTGAGCTGCTCCCTGTTTGCCCCAGGCCCCACCTGCCTTACTGCACCCTCATACAATGCCCAGAGTAGGTTGCATTAGGCGGTCAGTTATCCCATCAG